>NC_000003.12:122493452-122796483 GCF_000001405.40 Homo sapiens | reverse complement strand
TGAGAAATAAATTTCTGTGTTTATGAACTACCCAGTTTATGGTATTTTGTTATAGCAGCTCCAGTGGACTAAGACAACCTTCCAAATCTGACTAAAGAACTCATTGCAACAAAACTTATAAAAGGTTGAACAGAAACTGTACAAAGTAGCTCCCAGGCATTATTCAATTAATAAATATAAAATCTTGCACAACAGCCTCTTGAGGGTAGACTGTCACTACTAATCATTTATCCATACTTATGTGGTAAGTATGCCTTGATTCTCAGCCCTATGGCTTTTTCTTCTCAGAGAATCACACTGGCAAGTGGTAAAGTGAGATGTCCAGGGTACCATTCTAAGCAAGCATCTTCACTCATCTGCAAGCTTTAATTGAAAGTCACAAATCTCAACTGAGAAAGCCATCTAGTCACATACACACATTTTAAAGCTGCCGAGCACCACCTTCCAGAAACCAAAGTGTCAGATCTGAGTTTCCCAATAGCTCTTCCTGGGCTGGAGTCATCTATTACACAAAACGAACTCATTATTTCCTTACATATGGGCACCGTCAATCTATTTTCCGACCTTTCATCCTCAACATCCCCATATCCCTTTGAAGTCAAAGCATCAGTCATTTTTGTCAGGTGTAAAACACATACACCGCACGTGCACGGGGATGCTCTGATGTTCACAATGTGTAAAAACTTGAACGTTTAGAGATCGCTTAAATCCCTGGTGTTGCATAAAGGGCCTTGATAAAAAACATAAATATTTGCAAGGTTGCCTTTCCATATTTGTCGCTTTGGGGACGGAGGGTTCCTAAGTCAGAAATGGAATGCTAGCAACACTCTATCACCTCACACAACCCCTATGCCGGGGCCAAGGGAGGCGGCTGGCAGGCCTGGAGCGCGGGCAGGCGCCTGCTCCCGGAGGAGAGACAGCGCGGGCTGGCGCTCCGCGACCCCTCACCTCTCTTGTCCAGGAGCCACATGAACGCGAAGCAGGGCAGGAAGCCGATGGGCCCCCACAGCACGAGCAGCGCGATGTCCCAGCTGGAGAAGCCGTAGGCCTGGCGCGCCGAGTTCTGGATGGGACCCCAGGTGTTCCAGACCAGGCCCTGAACGAACGCCAGCAGCGAGAAGAGCAGCAGCACCAGCCAGCGGCGCCCGTATACCCGCCCGGGACCCGGGACCGCCGCGGGCAGCGCCGCCGCCGCCGCCTCCCGGCTTCTCCAGGAGGCCCCCAGCCCAGGCCCGAGCCCGGGCCCCAGCAGCGGCTGCCTCTCCTCTTCGCTGCTCCAGCGAGAGCCCATGGCGACGCGTCGCCCGCGAAGCCACTGCCGGGCGCAGTCCGGGTCACCGCCGACTAGCCCAGCGCAGAATAGTCCTGAGCAGCAGGAGGCGGAGGCTGCTGTGGTCGCCCTCGGCCTCCGGACCGCGCCTGGTGCGCCTGCGCGGCCCGAGCCGGGCCGGCGGGGAGGCGGGGAGGCGGGGCAGGCGGCAAGGAGGCTGGGGTCCGCCCTCCCCTCCGCGGGTGGCGAGGAAACACCGGCGAGAGGAAAGGAGCCAGGTCCCAGACGGAGGGCAGGTAGCGCTGAAAAGGCAGGGACCAGCGCGGCTGAGTCGGGGAGAGGGAAACTCCCAGAGAGGCTGTATTCGAGGAGGTTGGGCAAGGAACCCTGGGGTGTTTGGAGGAAGTGTCCAAGTTAAATCTTGTGCCTAATAAACAACTCAGTGACCTGTTAAGTGACGTCAGTTAACCTGATGCTTGCTTCTATTTTGGGCTTATTCTCATTTTTGTTGAGTTAGTAACTTCAGAAATTATAGGCGAAGGATAAAGTTTAAGCGTAGTTGGTCCCAGGGGATTATCTCATAAAAATCATTTCTTACGTGCAATAAGTACTACCTATTTTTGTTACTTTTTTGTCTTACATATCCAAAGAGGAGATTCCAAACTAGCCAATTTCATTCATATATATGTAAACTTTACCCATTTCGCCTGCCAATAGGCGAGCAATAAAGGTATGTCCAGTAAAGTTGGAAGATTTTTGCCCCAAAGATCCATCTCCAGTGATTATGATTTGACCACAGGGTAAACGAGAAGAAAGGTGGTTGTTGATCTCTTCACACAGCTGTTTGTTTATTTTGGTATACAAATTCAGAAGCCTGACAGCTGTGGATTAGTGTCCTTGAAAACCTAAAGTCAAGCAATTTGGCTTGTCTGGATCGGGAAATGAGTCACAGGGAACGCAATCACAGGATTCTTTGCCCGAGGTTCGTATTTCCCGGCAGCCACTAAAATCAGAAGGAGTCAGGTTACCACCAGAAGGGCAAGAGAGGTGTAAGAGAAGCGTGAGCTAGCCTCGCATTCCAGGCTGCCAAGAGCGGCTCGCGAAAGCTCACGGCAGAGACCCATCCCACCGCCGGAGCCCCACTAAGCGGCAAACCTTCCCCTAAAACTCCAATCCTTTAGGGTGGAGAAAAGCCGAGGTGGAAAGGAAGGATCTGACTAGAAAAGGAGAAACAGAAACGAAGCTAAGACTACAATAAAGAACGCTAAGGTCCGGGTTAGGTAAAAAGCGCCACAACTCAGACCACGTGTTTGTATTTCCACACCCGGGGTATCAAAACAAAGCTGCGTGGTCCCGCCCAGCATCCGTCACGTGACCTCCACGTGAGAGCCGGCGTTTCCGTAGGAGCCGGGCGGGAGTCGCCGGGGCTCCTTCCTGTGGTGCAGCTTCGGGTCTCGGAGTTTGGCCCCTACTCTGACCCCACCCCAGCTCCGCTCCGCCTTGGGTTCCGGCAGAACCCGCCTTGCGGTAGCCATGGCAGCAGGCTCCGAGGCGACCACTCCTGTGATCGTTGCGGCTGGGGCTGGAGGGGAGGAAGGTAGGTGCCAGGCTGAGGTCCGACCCTGAGTACAAACCCAATGCCAGTTGACTCTCGTGGCACCCCTCGTGGGGCCGTTTGCCTTAGCCCCAACCCAGGTCTCTCTGGCCTTGCATTAGACTATGAAGAAAAATCTATATTTTCTAGTGAGCGTGGCATTTCTCGAATTGTGGCATCCAGATTTTTGATCGTCGTAGGGTAGCCTACGAGTGCTGTTTCACGCATGGGGTGTTATTTTTGTTTTGTTTTGTTTTATATTTGCCCATCATTAGCTAAATAGAGGTGTTTTGAACGTTTAGAGGGGATTAAAATTAAATTTGTGAAATTGAAGGCAACCTTTGAGATTAATGGAAGTTATCTGAGACTTTTGTGAACAGGGATTATGCGCTTTTATTCTATTTCAGTGAACCCTGGTTTAGCAAGTGGGGATGAGGTTTGGAGGCCCATGAGCCTGAGATCCCTGTTATTATTTATTGAATGATTGCACCGTGCAGGGCTGTGTTCTGAATACTGTCGCAGGATCCAGAGACTTTTGAATATTTATAACAATACCTTTTCCAAAGGAGCCTAGAAAGGAAAAAGAATGACTTACTATGTGGTCACCTGAACTATTCTACCAGTAGTACACTCTGTGAGGGTTGTTAGGAGGAGGGATCTCAGTGGGGAGAACATAAATGCTTCAAGGAGCGAATAGTTTGAGGTCGGCCTTTCTTTTTCTTTTCTCTCTTTTTTTTTTTTTCTTTTTTTGAGACGGAGTCTCGCTCTGTCACCAGGCTGGAGTGCAGTGGCGCGATTTTGGCTCACTGCAACCTCCACCTCCCAGGTTCAAGCAATTCTTCTGCCTCAGCGTCCCAAGCAGCTGGGACTACAAGCGTGCCACCACGCCCAGCTAATTTTTGTATTTTTAGTAGAGACGGGGTTTCACCATGTTGGCCAGGATGGTCTCGCTCTCTTGACCTTGTGATCCGCTGAGGTGGGCCTTTCTGATTGGATGAGATGGTGACAAACTCAGGGAGTGGTGCTGGGGTTCAGGAAGTCAGGGAGCAGAAAAGGATGGATGTATTTAGGGGTCAAACAGTTTGCTGAAGGGGGAGATGCCCATTCCAAGCAGAAGAAACAAATTATAGCCTCCTACTATCTGACCACTTTCTACCAGGGAGACAATTCTTGACCTTCATCTATACCTCCATTGCATTGATCTTTCCATTTTCTATCCACTGCACCC
Organism: Homo sapiens; assembly: GCF_000001405.40. Taxonomy (NCBI): domain Eukaryota; kingdom Metazoa; phylum Chordata; class Mammalia; order Primates; family Hominidae; genus Homo; species Homo sapiens. The sequence continues at coordinate 122,792,391 of NC_000003.12, read as the reverse complement.
CCTTATCCAGAATGTATGTCGTTCCTTTGAAAAATTCTCTTGTCCCTTCCTGCACTTTTTTCTGACAAAACTCTTACTCTGGATGAAGTCAACCTTTTGCCCTCTTTGTACCTGCACCCGTGGGCCTGAACTTTGCTGGAAAAAGTCCTGCACAAACTGATGACCGTATAAAGTGAAAATGGCCAAACTCTTGAATATTCAGTCAGTATGGGCTTGAGATCCCTCTGATCCTCTGTTTCTCTAGTGAGCCTGCTAACGTTCTCCAATGACAAATTCCCAAACTCTATAACCTCTCTCTGCCTCTTTCTTAATTTCAGGTAATGACTTTGCAAGTCAGGTCAATTCTGCATCTAATCTGTCTACTTTTTTCCTTTCACTATCAGACCGTACTTCAAATCATCCACATTTTCTCACCTCAACTACTACTGTATCTTCCTGACTGACTTGTGTCTCTGTTTTCTATTCTGTGCCCCTCTAATCCCTTCTCCACTCTGCAGCAAAAAGTGACTCTTCCTTATGTAAAATTCTTCAGCGAATTACATTGCCCTTAGAAGTTAGAATAAAACCCAGATTCTTAACCGTGGCCTGTAATAATCCTTGGTCTGGGCTCTGCTGATGTCTTTAGCAGGATCTCTTGTCACTCACCTCCCCTTTGGCTTTTCACATAGCTGGCTTAATCTTTAGCTTTTAAAGTATGTCACCACCTGAGACCTTACCAGATCAAACTATTTAAAACAGTCACTGTGATTTCTCTTGCACCCCCCAACCCTAGATGTTCTGGAATACAGCATCCTGCTTCTGTCATTTTACTTACTACAATCTGTAATTATTTATTATTTGTTTTTTCCATTAGATCATAAGTACCTTGAGGGCAGGACCTATGTCTGTTTCATTCTCTACCATGTGCCCAGCTGCTAGTACAATGCCAGGCACATAGTTGGCACATGCCACATGTTTGTTGAGTGGATGAATAAGGGCACTCCATGCCAAGTCCAGAGGCAAAAGGAGAAAGCATGGCATGGTCCAAGAACTGAAAGAAGTTGGTGTCAGGAGTGGTAAGAAAAGAGGTATCCTGAAGGTTACCTTAGGCCTAGTTAAGGAATCTAGACATTAAGACAGTAGGAAGCCTTAAAGAGCTTTAGGTGAGGGAAATAACATGATTAGATTTGGTTGTAGGAAGATCACTTTGGCTGAAGGGTAGAAGACCGATTGGAGGGAGAAAGACTGGAGGACAAGGTACTTAATCCCTTTGAGCCTCAGTTTCCTCCTCTGTAAAATGCATGATTATTGTGAAGATTAGAGTTAATATGTGTAGATTATCTAGCATAGTATCTGGCAGGAATTGGATATTCAAGAATCGTGACCATTTTTATTATTAATAGAAAGTGCCAGCCTTAGTAACTGATGTTGAAACTGAAAGAAAAGAAATTAGAGATGTTATGTAAGAGAATGAGAAAAATAAATACATTAAATAAAGTCAAGTGAAAGGGTCAGTATGTTCAGTACAATGATGAATACAATGGGAGTCATAGAAAAGTTCATTTTTAAAATTTTTGGTTTATTTTTTATTTTTGTAGATACAGGGTCTCACAATGTTCCGTAGGCTGGTCTCGAACTCCTGGCCTCAAGTGATGCTCCCACCTCAGCCTCCCAGAGCACTGGGATTTCAGGCATAAGCCACTGTGCCCAGCTGAAAAGTTCATTTTTGAGCAAACTTATTCCATTATCAAAAAATATTTGAATGGCACATGGTAAACAGACCTTTTTCATGTGGTAAAGCAAAAGACAATCTTTGCCCCAAAATAATTATAAATATCATTTTTGGCAATAAAGACATAGATAAAAAGAACAGTAGTATAAGACATATCCTAAAGGTCAGATGTAATTAGCTGGGATATGATACTCAATATGATACACATTAAGTACTTTGGAGGCTGAGAGGAGAAGGAACTAATAGAAATTGGGTTGGTTTGTGCTTCCTAGGATAATTTCTTGAAGATGAGCCAGGTGAGGATACCAATTCTACTAAAGTAGAAATAATGACAGAGAACCTGGGTGAAAAAGGGGAAGACTTGTATCCATTGAATCCAGAGAAGAGCAGGGTGAAAACAGAAATGCTGAAGTGACGAAGAGGGAAATCATGGGTTTCAGTCTTTGCAGAAAAATAGAGCAAGGTACCACAAAAGTAAGGAAGTAGAGAAAGGTACTGGAGATTTGAGAGTGAAGAAGCATCCAGGCATGCTGGTGCATGCCTGTAATCCCAGCACTTTGGGAGGCGAGGCAGGCAGATCGCTTGAGCTCAGGAATTTGAGACCAGCCTGGGCAACATAGTGAAACCCTGTCTCTACGGAAAATACGAAAATAAACTGGGCATGGTGGCACACGCTTGTAGTTCCAGCTGCTTGGGAGGCTGAGGCACAAGAATCGTTTGAACCTGTGAAGCGGAGGTTGTAGTGAGTTGAGATCGTGCTATGGCACTCCAGCCTGAGCAACAGGGCCAGACCCTGTCTCAAAAAAAAAAAAAAAAGAAGCTTTGGCATGATTGCCATAGGGTTGCGGGTGATTAGGAGTGATAGGAGTGAGTCAGTGCTTGGGAGCAGGAAAGGGTAACTGGTAGAGGTGAGCATAAAATCGTGGAACTAATCACCTTGGTTATGCTTGATAGCTCATTCTACAGAAGTGGAGAAAACAAGTGCTTAGTTTCAATAAAGTTTTATACATTGCTAAAAATCAGGTATTCTTATACAGTTATTTGAAAGAAACATTTGTTTAGCATCATTTTATGCTAGGCACTGGACTAACCTCTAGGGAGATAAAAGTAAGAGGTCTGCCTTCAAGAATGTGATATTGTTTGTTTGAAATAACAGCTTAGAAATAATTAAAAACAAACATGAAACTACTTATTGTTAATTAAGAATTAATTTAAATTCTGAATGTGAAATGTTACTCTCAGAATCATACATAGATTGAAGCATTCAGTGAAATTAAAAATTGCAGTTATTTGAGTGTGATTCTATCTTTCAAACTGAGGTTATTATATTTCTCTCTATTGGGCTGTTTTTTAGTTTTTAGTTATAGCCAAGATTATTCCTTGATAAAGAGGAGAATGTGTTAGTAACTCTTCTTCCAGTGCTTTCTGAGGAAATATCTCATCTAGAGTTGTATGGAATTGATTTTCACTTAGAACTAACATTCCTACATAACTGGATTTATCTTTTTCAGTTGGAGACCCGTACTCACCATGTCATTTTTGTTCTCATTTTTAAAAGGGGCAAAGGGTGGAGGAGTTTAAAGAAAAGCAAAAGTCTGTGTTATCTCAAAAAGTAAAAAATTCCCATGTTAGAATCCATATGTAATTCATAATGTAGATAAAATTTTTAATTTCACTGAATGCTTGGTATTGATGAGTATCAGAAAAACAATACCATTTGTTTTATTGTGGTAAAAACATATAACATAAAATTTACCATGTTAACCATTTTTCAGTGTTAGTAGTGTTAGGTAGGTACACAACATTGTGAAGGTGATCTCTAGAGCTTTTTCATATTGCAAATCTGGAACTCTGTATCCGTTAAACAATAACTTCCCTTTCTCCTCTTCCCCCAGTCCCTGGTAACTGCCATTTTATTTTCAGTTTCTAGAAATTTAACCACTTTAGATACTCCATATAAGTGGAATCATATAGTGTTTATCTTCTTGTGACTGGCTTATTTCAGTTAGCATACTGTCTTCAAGGTTCATCCATGTTGTAGTATATGATAGAATTTCCTTCCTTTTTAAGGCGGAATAACGTTCCATTGCACGTGTAAGCATTTTGCTTATCCATTCGTCAACAGACCTTTGAGTTGCTTCCACCACTTAGCTATTGTAATAGTGCTGCTGTGAACATGGGTGTGCAGATGTCTTTTCAAGACCTTACTGTAGAATACTTTTGAGGAAAAGTAAGATAAAATAATCATTTATTTTAAATTATCGAAAATTCACTTGGGGAGGCTGGGGTTCAATGGAAACATTTGGGTAGAAATTTTGGAGGTACGTTGCAAAAACCTTTAGTATTTGAGACATCATTCCTTCTAGTGTTAACTTCACTTAAAATATAGACAGATTTCCTTTTTCTTGCTTTGGTTTGAGACTAGTATTACTTTTGAATTTATGAGCCATTTTTTGAGGTAAAGATAAGTTTTCTGGGTTAACTGAACAAGGGTTTATAAGTGTAGGAGGATGGAAAGAAGCTAAAAGGCTCATGAACCTTTGGTAAGTGTCCAGGATGTAACTGTCTCAGGTGCCCAGCCTGAACTTCCTGTGTGTTTACTGCCACACCAAGCATTGGTATTGATAAGGCTAGGTCATAACAGCCGCAGCACTAATGTTTGTGGGTTTTTTTCAGTGATAGACATCACCTTCTAGACCTTGAAATTCAAAGGGTTTATGGTTAGCCGTCATTGTACTTAAGTATTATGTTACCTTTCAGGAGAATTTTCTTAGTTTGTGTTGACATTTTAAAATAGTGGTTACAAAATGAAAAATTCTTTTTGGTGTAAGTTTTACCATTCAGTCTTCAGTACTAATCCAGTAATTTTGTCAGATAGTACTTGCACGATTCCATCAGGTTTTTCTAACATGACCCAAATGGTCATTATTTTTTGCCCTAATATCTACCATTCCAGAGGTTTTAAACTTTCTTATATGTATATACAATAGTTGTTTGATGAAACACCATATATACACTTAGATGTATACATTCAGAAATAAATGATCTCACTGTGCCAGGACCCAGTTTTAAATTCATGCTGTATCATTATAGTGATTCTCTGTAGTGTAATGTGTGACTTACTCTTATGTCAACTTCTAAAGGTTTTTAAAAATCTTTAATTTTTTCATTAAAATTATATCTGATGAGAGACAAGTTAATTTCAATTTCAAGATTTTTGTTATATTCTGTTAATATTCGGAGTGTCCTGGACACATGGTAAATGTTCCTTATTCTTGTCTTAAAGTCTAAATCTCAGATACAAATCCAGGCCAGGTGTTAATTGACAGACACCAGATAGTTGGCGTTCTCAGAGAAATTAGGTTTCAAATTATCTTGTACTTTACATTAATTTTAAAAAATTACTGAGAAGGACGCAATTTATTTTTGATGATGTTTCACTATCTCCAAAGAATTAGTTGCAACTCAGGCTGTAATAAATTGACTGGAGAACATCCTACATTTGGAGAGAGAAAAAACTATTGGGTAACACCCAGATCACTAATCTGTTTTTTTTCAGTAGTTTCTAAATCATCTAGTTAAAAATTACTACCTGCTGCAAGTTTAGACCTAAATACCCTTATCCTTTGAAGACTGTTGAGGTTGCTTCAGAATTTTTATAGCTCTTTGCAAAATATTATTAGCATGGAATAACTGGGTGCATCCATAGGCTGTTTAACTAATACAGGGTAGCATTGCATTCTTCTTTAAAGGAAATTGTAACATTTAAATTCATTAATTTAATGGCCCAGTTTATTGTTGATTAAATTATCAGAAGCTAAATTAGTTTTATCTCACAACCAGCTGATTGTTTTATTTCACGATGGGCCTGAAATTCTGTAAATATGCTAATTTCCTGTTATGGTGAACATCCTGCTACTCTGCTTTGCACACACTTCATAGTGCTCTCATTCATTTAGCAAATGTTTTGGCATTTAATATATACCAGTCACTAGGCCAGGCACTCTCTCAGCAAATTTTAGTGTTGGAGGTCTCCTATTAAATAATCTCTGGGATGTGTGGGATTTTTAGATCAGATAATTACATTTTTTAAATTTAACTTTATGCTAGAGAAGAAATATTTACTTCTTTATAGCTTTTTTGTCAAAATACTACTCATGTGTTACTGTCGCCTGTGTCCATATTTATAGAAGGCTACCCAGTTATATCTACCCAAGTATGAACCATTTTGGGAATAATCAAAGCCATGTGATCTATTGGCTCTAATGTAAGGTAAGTAGAATAAATAAATCGCTACCCCAAAGTAACTCATGCTTCTGTTTTTCTCTGCCCTTTAAAGTTCCAGAAGCAAAATGTTCAAAGGTTGAATATTTTACAAGCTTGGAACTGAAAGAATGCTACAGTGTGTCAGACCAGCCATGATTCATCCAGCCCAAGCCACAGAACAGTGTAGAGGGAGAATATGGTTATCCTTGAAAATGATGGCCTCAGAAAGCAAGGTGTTATACCAGCTATGAATTAATAACAGTCTAGACTAGAAGGAATTTTGTTTTTTTTTTTAATCTAAAAGGATTCAGGAGGTAGTAGTTGGTTCAGTAGCACAAAGATGAACATATTTGCATTCTTTTGGTTAAGGTTTGCGATTTCCTGGACCTTTCATTTGTCTCTCAAGAGGGCTAATCATCATGTCTGCTTTTCAGGCAGTATATAGAAAAGGATGAGGGCAAAAAGGCTGACTCGCAACTTCCATATGTGCGCGCGTGCACACACACACACACACGCACACACATGGAAATTATAGATATATATTCCCTATCTATCTATCTATCTATCTATCTATATTTGGCTACTCCTGTCTGCAAAGAAGTCTGGGAAATAAAATTTTTCAGTCAGTCCTGTTGCCCAAAGTTCTTTAGTAAGGAAGAAGAGAATGAGTATTGGGTAAGTAGAAGTTAAATAAAAAATTATTCAGTGACACTTGTTAAGGCATGGTAAGGAAGACTATTCAGGACCATCACCATAGATGTAAGGACTACTGTAACGGGGTCCCACAGCTGGGGAGAGAGATTGGGCCCAACTCCAAAGACAGCATGGGCAAGTGAGAATTTACAGCCAAGGAGCAGAGTCAGTGGATAAGAAATTACTAAGAGGAAACATCAGGGGTAAGGGGAAATCTGGAAAAACCAACCTAACAGGATTCTTGCTGAAGGCAGGCCAAGGTGATCAGATACCACCTGGAGGTTGGCTGGGGGTGAAGAACCTGATCAGATATCAGGGATGGGGGCAATTCTTGCTAAACTGACTTAGCAAGGTTCTTTCCTAAAACTGGGTTTTACAAGGAAGTGCATAGATGGACCTAGCAGAAGAATTAAAGCCTGACTAAAGTTTGGCCAAGCAAAGAGTCTTTGTCACAGGCAACTAGCACTCCCTGCCATGAGTGCACGTGCACATACACTCATGCACTCCTCAAAACATTCCTCTCTCCCTGGAGCACATGTGAATGATTATCTATGAATTGATCTTGAGCTTTCCTGTGTATCCTTTCAGGTTATATTTTTTCTTCTGAGTTTTTAGCCCTAGTTAAATCACACAGTCAATTCTCTAGAAATAGGATTGTGCAGTGGAAAGAGCACTGGACTTGGACTGAGGGGACCTGATAAATCTGGTTCCAGTCCTCTGACATCTAAGCTTCCATTTCTTCCTTCAATTAATGGAAATGAATTACCGTCTCTGCCTGTTTTACAGGCTTCTTATAAGATCACATGAGCACTTTTAATGTCTGTAAAAGTGCATTGTAAACAGTGAAGCATTAAACAGTTAAATGTATGGTATTGTTATGATGCCTGTGTTCAAAATCAAGCTACTCATCTTCCCAAAAGAATGAGCTATTGCTCCTGACTTCTCTTATGGCAAGTCACCAAGTCTAGACACCTCAGTCTTTTGGCTACATCTGACTCCCACCCCACATCTCTGGTTGTAATAGCCTTTGATATTATTCTCTTAGTATTTCTTCATCTTCACCATATCTGACTTACTCACTGCCACCCCTGTTGTTCAGGCCTGTATCATACTTATCGCTTGGCTATTGCAATAGCTCTCTGAGTCAACTTCAGGTCCAACTCTCCCTTCCCACCTCATATCTCTACATATTTCTAGACAGCCCTCATTTTTAGTGGATATAGTATACTATGGGATTGCCTTGTCATAATTTAGTAAATATTTTTCTGCTTTGGGGCATCAGGTTGTTTACATTTTTTGTTGTTATAGTGTGGTAGTAGACATTTGTGTGTGTGTATGTGTATGCTGTACATAGCTTATGATTAATTATTTGTTACAGTAAATTCCTTTAACATGAGTTACTGAGATAATGAACAGTTCTTTCATTTTTCCCAGTTGTTTCCCAAAGGATGATTCCAATTTATATCCCATGAAAAACAGAATACTATTTATCATGAATATATTATAGCTTTTCATAGTGTAGGGATCAAAATATGCCACCCCCAAATATGCCACTTTGGTATATTGATTATTTTGGGTAAAAGGCATTGAAAAGGCTGGGCATGGTGGCTCATGCCTGTAGTCCCAGCACTTTGGGAGACCAAGGTGGGTGGATCACAAGGTCAAGAGATTGAGACCATCCTGGCTAACATGGTGAAACCCCATCTCTACTAAAAATATAAAAATTAGCTGGGCATGGTGGTGTGTGCCTGTAGTCCCAGCTACTCAGGAGGCTAAGGCAGGAGAATGGCGTGAACCCGGGAGGCGGAGCTTGCAGTGAGCCGAGATCCCGCCACTGCACTCCAGCCTGGGCGACAGAGCGAGACTCCGTCTCAAAAAAAAAAAAAAAGAAAGTTGCCCTCCCTGTACCAGGAACAAGGAAGACATTCTTATAACCAAAGATGGGTAATAAAGGCTGAGAGAAATCTGTACAAACAAACCTTGTTAAACCAACCCTTAACTTCCCAGTCACTTTTCCACAATTAACTGCAGTCACCCAACTTCTTTGTCTTGTCATGTTTTCTAAATTTACTCTTTGTCCAACCTACTATATAGATGTTAAGTAAGCTCTAACTGCTTCTTTCGGTCTTCATTTTTCTTGTGAGGGCTCCCATGTACATGTAAAAAGTACTGAATCATGTTTGTATGCTTTTCCCTGTTAACCTGTTTTACGTCAGCCTCAGCTAGAGACTTTAAGAGGGTAGAGGAGAAATTTGACGTTTTGTACAAGTAGTCTACAGCAAAACTTTAAAAACGTATAATAAAAAAATGTGGGTGTTCATTTTCATACACGCGGAATCCAGGCACATCAAGTCCAGGAAGATTTGGTGCACTGCAATATAGGTAATCTTGTACTTAGATTCATAGGCCTGTATGGAAGGATGAAGAACTTGAATGCAAAGTTGCTGTACATGTCAAAAGTGAAAAACACGACAAGCAGCAACCATCTCAAGGAAAAACAGAAAATTGTATTCTTGGTCACATAATGTTATCCTTTACAAGGCTCTTTACCATGTAAAGGTCACCTGAAGATAAACCAGGGGCTACTTTTCAGTGAGACCAAGGGTGCCTTCTCTTTCTCACTGCACACACTCCCTGAGTCTTCTGCCTTTCCCTTCTAAGCATCCACGCTGCCCTCCTCACTTAGAATGATGACTGTGTAGAAGGTAACAGATTGTTCTCAAAATGTCAGCTGCCAAGGGCTTAGAGCCTGCTGACTTTCACTGAGGGCTTAAGAAGGGATTCCAAGTTTTTGTCCTTGTCTGAGAAAGGAGGCCAAACTGATTTAAGTTTTCAGTTTCTTTAAAAACAAGCCTTACCTTTAGACAAACACAAATTACTCAAGTTCTTTGATGATTCCTTCCCTATCCCTCTTCCTTTTATCGTAGAGAAGAAGGTTGGGTGATAGAAGAATTTGGATTATTTAAGAATTTTTCTTAATTTTTTGAATTAAGTGTAATTATAGATAAAGTAACTAAAATAGAGGGTTAGCTGATTGTTCTTGAGAATCATAAATATATATTTTGAGGGTCAGAGAGTATAAAGGAGCATCCCTACATTCTCAGCAGTGGCCTCCTGATCTCTTGAGAATCCTTTCTTTCTAATCCTTTTTTTGACCATTCACTGCACATATAGGAACATTTTATTGGGAGGTTTTTTAAACCTCCCAAAAAACTTGCCCTCTTAAGATGTCTTTAAAAGAGAAACTTGCTTGTTTTTTAATTCAAAAATTACTAATCTTTACTATCCTATCCAAGGTTAATATTTTATGATTCTGTGAAATTTATTTAAATAGTAAGTTACAGTGTTGGTTTGTAGAGCTCTTCTGTACTGTTTATAGATGCAGTTGAAACCAAGGATTAATATTGATTGCCATCTAAGTACATCTTTTATCCTTTTAAAATTGCAATAAAAATAATATTTCCCCTCCCAGGTTGACTGCTATATTGACTCAGTAGTCTTTCTGGCATTAACCTGTGATATAACGAGTAGAATTGTGACTGACTCCAGCAACTCTAGTTGTTCAAGAGTAGTTCCCATCAGCATTTCTTACATAATCCTCTACTTAGGAAGTAGTATTTTCCAAAAAATCACATCTTTTAAAATTTGAAGATGTAGTTGGAAAGCCTTTTTTTAACACTAAAGTTTCATTTTTGACATTGTATATTGTAAATATCTACCAAAATTTAAACACTTAAAATTTAGTATGAGAAAAATCATTTAAGAATTAGGTCTTTTCACCTGCCTTCATGTGTTTATCACAGCATTATTCACAATAGCAAAGAGATGGAATCTGCCTAGGTGCCCACTAATGGTGAATTGGATAAAGAAAATATGGTGTGTATATATATATGCCATGGAATGCTACACAGCCATAAAAAAGAACAAAATCATTTCCCTTGCAGCAACATGGATGCAGATGGAAGCCATTATCTTAAATTAATGCAGAAACAGCCAAATACCACAAGTTCTCACTTATAAGTGGGAGCTAAACATCAAGTACACACAGACATAAAGATGGGAACAGTAAACACTGGGAACTCCAAAAGAGGGGAGGGAGAGAGAGGAGCAAGGGTTAAAAAAACTACCTGTTCTCCCTCTCCCTCTCTCTCTCCGTCTCCCCACGGTCTCCCTCTCCTACGGTCTGCCTCTGGTGCCAAGCCGAAGCTGGACTGTACTGCTGCCATCTCGGCTCACTGCAACCTCCCTGCCTGATTCTCCTGCCTCAGCCTGCCGAGTGCCTGCGATTGCAGGCACGCGCCGCCACGCCTGACTGGTTTTCGTATTTTTTTGGTGGAGACGGGGTTTCGCTGTGTTGGCCGGGCCGGTCTCCAGCTCCTAACCACGAGTGATCCTCCAGCCTCGGCCTCCCGAGGTGCCGGGATTGCAGGCGGAGTCTCGTTCACTCAGTGCTCAATGGTGCCCAGGCTGGAGTGCAGTGGCGTGATCTCGGCTCGCTACAACCTCCACCTCCCAGCCGCCTGCCTTGGCCTCCCAAAGTGCCGAGATTGCAGCCTCTGCCCGGCCGCCACCCCGTCTGGGAAGTGAGGAGCGTCTCTGCCTGGCCGCCCATCGTCTGGGATGTGAGGAGCCCCTCTGCCCGGCTGCCCAGTCTGGAAAGTGAGGAGCTTCTCTGCCCGGCCGCCATCCCATCTAGGAAGTGAGGAGCGCCTCTTCCCGGCTGCCATCACATCTAGGAAGTGAGGAGCGTCTCTGCCCGGCCGCCCATCGTCTGAGATGTGGGGACCGCCTCTGCCCCGCCGCCCCGTCTGGGATGTGAGGAGTGCCTCTGCCCGGCCGCGACCCCGTCTGGGAGGTGAGGAGCGTCTCTGCCCGGCCGCCCCGTCTGAGAAGTGAGGAGACCCTCTGCCTGGCAACCGCCCCGTCTGAGAAGTGAGGAGCCCCTCCGCCCGGCAGCCGCCCCGTCTGAGAAGTGAGGAGCCCCTCCGCCCGGCAGCCACCCCGTCTGGGAAGTGAGGAGCCTCTCCGCCCGGCAGCCACCCCGTCCGGGAGGGAGGTGGGGGGGTCAGCCCCCCGCCTGGCCAGCCGCCCTGTCCGGGAGGGATGTGGGGGGGTCAGCCCCCCGCCCGGCCAGCCGCCCCGTCCGGGAGTGAGTTGGGGGTTCAGCCCCCCGTCCGGCCAGCCGCCCCGTCCGGGAGGGAGGTGGGGGGGTCAGCCCCCGCCCGGCCAGCTGCCCCGTCCGGGAGGTGAGGGGCGCCTCTGCCCGGCCGCCCCTACTGGGAAGTGAGGAGCCCCTCTGCCCGGCCAGCCGCCCCGTCCAGGAGGGAGGTGGGGGGTCAGCCCCCCGCCCGGTCAGCCGCCCCGTCCGGGAGGGAGGTGGGGGGGTCAGCCCCCCGCCCGGCCAGCCGCCCCGTCCGGGAGGGAGGTGGGGGGGTCAGCCCCCCGCCCGGCCAGCCGCCCCGTCCGGGAGGGAGGTGGGGGGGTCAGCCCCCCGCCCGGCCAGCCGCCCCGTCCGGGAGGGAGGTGGGGGGGTCAGCCCCCCGCCCGGCCAGCCGCCCCGTCCAGGAGGGAGGTGGGGGGGTCAGCTCCCCGCCCGGCCAGCCGCCCCGTCCGGGAGGTGAGGGGCGCCTCTGCCCGGCCGCCCCTACTGGGAAGTGAGGAGCCCCTCTGCCCGGCTGCCACCCCATCTGGGAGGTGTACCCAGCAGCTCATTGAGAACGGGCCATGATGACAATGGCGGTTTTGTGGAATGGAAAGGGGGGAAAGGTGGGGAAAAGATTGAGAAATCGGATGGTTGCCGTGTCTGTGTAGAAAGAAGTATACATGGGAGACTTTTCATTTTGTTCTGTACTAAGAAAAATTCTTCTGCCTTGGTATCCTGTTGATCTGTGACCTTACCCCCAACCCTGTGCTCTCTGAAACATGTGCTGTGTCCACTCAGGGTTAAATGGATTAAGGGCGGTGCAAGATGTGCTTTGTTAAACAGATGCTTGAAGGCAGCATGCTCGTTAAGAGTCATCACCAATCCCTAATCTCAAGTAATCAGGGACACAAACACTGCGGAAGGCCGCAGGGTCCTCTGCCTAGGAAAACCAGAGACCTTTGTTCACTTGTTTATCTGCTGACCTTCCCTCCACTATTGTCCTATGACCCTGCCAGATCCCCCTCTGCGAGAAACACCCAAGAATGATCAATAAAAAATAAATAAATAAATAAATAAATAAATAAAAGAAAACATATTCAAGAGTTTAACGGGCAGAGAAAGAACATGCAACTCGCTGGATCTAAATTGAGAGAAATGGAGTCAAATTGGGTATCCCTGGTCAGTAAGAATTATGAGATTGAACAGACTATTGTTCAACTAGAAAATGAAATCTATGTGGCCGGGTGCGGTGGCTTATGCCTGTAATCCCAGCACTACGGGAGGTCGAGGCAGGTGGATCACGAGGTCAGGAGTTCAAGACCAGCCTGGCCAAGATGGTGAAAGCCCGTCTCTACTAAAAATACAAAAAATTAACCTGGCGAGGTGGCGGGTGCCTGTAATCCCAGCTACTCGGAAGGCTGAGGCAGAGAATTGCTTGAACCCGGGAGGTGGAGGTTGCAGTGAGCCGAGACTGCGCCACTGCACTCCAGCCTGGGCAACAGAGCGACAGAGCGAGACTCTGTCTCACAAAAAAAAAAGAAAAAGAAAGAAAATGAAATCTATCACATTAAGGATCAATATGGAGAAGCAAACAAAACATCCCATGAGACTTCTGAAAAGACAATTTTATAGGTCGAAGAAAAGTTTGGCTTTCACAGAAGGGATGTGAACTTTCAATGAACTATGAAGGATAACAGCATCTTCCAGAAACCATTGATATTTAAATGTTTAGAAATCATAGACTGTGTGGGCCGGGTGCAGTGGCTCACGTCTGTAATTCCAGCACTTTGGGAGGCCAAGGCAGGTGGATCACGAGGTCAGGAGATCGAGACCATTTTGGCTAATACAGTGAAACCCCGTCTCTACTAAAACTACAAAAAAATTAGCCGGGCGCAGTGGCGGGCGCCTGTAGTCCCTGCTACTTGGGAGGCTGAGGCAGGAGAACGGCGTGAACCTGGGAGGCGGAGCTTGCAGTGAGCCGAGATCGCATCACTGCACTCCAGCACTCTAGCCTGGGCGAGAGAGCGAGACTCCGTCTCAAAAAAAAAAAAAAAATAAAAAAAAAAGAAATACTAGACTGTGGATGGTTGTAGTAATTCTATTTGTATACCCTTGGAAAATAAAAATGTCTAGCTTGACGGTTAAAAAAAAGAAGGAACTGAAATGCAACAGTGGTTGTTTTTGGTTTGTAGTCTATAGGCAACCAATCAATTTGTTCTTTTCAGTATTTTCCAAATTGTATTTAATGTGTGTGTATTAACTTATAATTGGAACTATATATACTTTTTATTGTTAATAAGTTAAATCATAATTTCTAAGTAAGTATTTTGGAAAACACTATACACATTAAAAAAAAAAAACAACAAAAAAAACTACCTGTTGAGTACTGTGCTCACTATTTGGGTGATAGGTTCAATAGAAACCCAAATCTTGGCATTCTACAATATACCCATGTAACAAACCTGCACATATACCCCTGGATCTAAAAAAAGAAAAGAATCAGGTCTTTTGAGGCCACATGTGTATATAAACAGCAGTAAATGACGTATACATTATTGTAATTGTAGAGAATGATTTGCCATGATAAAAACAATATTAGCTATTTTTTCTCCATATTGTATGAAAAAACTTGATAGTTTTCTATCTATTGCTGTATTCATTTCTCTTTCTAGGTGAACATGTCAAACCTTTTAAGCCAGAGAAAGCAAAAGAAATTATCATGTCTTTACAACAACCTGCAATCTTCTGTAACATGGTGTTTGATTGGCCAGCACGACACTGGAATGCTAAATACCTTTCGCAGGTCCTTCATGGCAAGCAGATACGATTCAGAATGGGGATGAAAAGCATGAGCACAGGTATGACTATAGGTAATCACCATCATAATGTCTCTTCAGGAGCATCCCTACATTCTCAGCAGTGGCCTCCTGATCTCTTGAGAATCCTTTCTTTCTAATCCTTTTTTTGACCATTCACTGCACATACAGGAACATTTTATTGGAAGGTTTGGAAAACAGTTTGGCTTAAGTGTTTTTTGTTTTTGTCTGTATAAACTATAGACTGTTTTGTCTATAGTTTATAACCCCATACAAAATGTATTTGTTCATGTATCTTATATGTATATTGCTAGACATTATTGTGGTTCATTAAATGTTAGACACTTAATAAATAAATATTTGTTAATGTGCTCTTATTCATGTTCCTATTAGACCAATACTAATCTAATAGTCCCGTCCACTTTTTACTCAAGTAGAATGTGTCCTTTTATTTGTGGCTTCGGGCACTATTTATAGTTGTATATAATTACTTGGTTGTAATTTTATCCCTCTGCTTTATTGACTGACTGACCTGTTTTGCATTGCACAAACATGAAACATATGTAAAGCTCGCTCTTTTATTCTCTTAAGCAAATAGATTCTGCCTCTTCTTTTCTGAAATCAAAATCATAACATTTTGATTTGTTTGCCCTATTTTCAGATAAAGCAATTACCATTAACTCTAAAATTTAGGTAATTTACCATTAACTCTAAAATTACAGTTTCTAATCTAAGAGAGTCTATAATCATTTTTCTGATGTTTAACTTGTATTTCAATATGGGTAAGTTTGGTAGTCTAGAATTTCAGTTTTTTAAGCATTGAGGTAAAGTGGCTTATTAATATCTATTAATAGCTTAGGAGAACTAGAAAAGTCCCCAGCTTCGCTTCCTGCTGCTCCAAGCTGCTTTCTCTCATTTCGACCTTGTAGTATAGCTGACAGAATTATTTAGTTTTTGGTGTCTGGAACCCCTTTGTACTCCTGTGACAGGTGTAGCATGTTGAATATACCTGGAACTCTTTGTCATCTCATTATAATCAGAGACCAAACTGTTTAAAATTCAATTTAGACCAGCAGCAATAACATAAAAATCAAATTGTGCCTTTTCTTTCTTGATTTTAGTCAAAGAAATCTGCCTCTCACTGAAGTGTCTGTTAGGCACTAATTTGGAGAAAAATAGAAATAGTAATTTTTTCACATTCTAGTTAGACTCCAAGTACACAATACTACCAATAGCTAATATTTATTTAAAGCTATTGTTTCAGGCACTATTGTGAATACTTTGCACATACGGTATTAGCTTTCTTAATCTTCCTAAAACCTTAGGACAGAGCTGCTGTTATCCCATTTTATAGATAAGACACAGTAATTTGACATTTTCAAGTTAATACTTAAGCACAAAAAAAAGGAAAATAACTCTCTGAGGTTGTGAGAAATGACTCTGAGCTTTTAGTAAAGACGATGTTCTTTTTTATTAAATAAAATCCACATAACATAAAATTTAGCATTTTAGCCATTTAAAAGTATGCAATTCATTGGTTGTTAGTATATGCACAATATTGTACAATCATCACTACTATCTAATTCTAGAATATTGCTATTATCCCATAAATAAGCCCAGTACCCCTTAAGCCATCATTTTCCATTCTGCCTTACCCCAGGCCCTGGCAACCACTGATTTACTTTCTGTGTCTATGAATTTGACTACTTAGAATATATCATATAAGTGGAATCATTCACTATTGGCCCTTTTGTGCCTGGCTTCTTTCATTTAGTATGTTTTGAAGGTTCATCCATGTTGTAATACATATCAGTACTTCAATTCTTTCTATTGCCAAATAATATTTTGTTGTACAAATATGTACATTTTATTTATCTATTCAGTTGATGGACGTTTGAGTCATTCCATTTTTTGGCTATTACAGATAATGCTACTATGAACATTCATGTACATGTTTTTGTGTGGACATGTATTTTCATTTCTCTTGGAGTAGAATTGCTGGGTCATACAGTAATTCTGTGTTTAACATTTTGAGAAACCGTTTTCCAAAGCAGCTGCATCATTTTATATTCTCACCTTCAATGTATGAGAGTTCCAGTTTTTTCCACATCCTTGCCAACACTCCATTTTAAAAATTATAGCTATTCTAGGCCGGACGCAGTGGCTCACGCCTGTAATCCCAGCACTTTGGGAGGCCAAGGCGGGTGGATCACGAGGTCAGGAGTTTGAGACCAGCCTGGCCAACATGGTGAAACCCCGTCTCTACTAAAAGTACAAAAAAAAAGAAAAAAAAATTATAACTATTCTAGTGTATGGGAAGTATTATTATAGTTTTGATTTGTGTTTCCTTAATGACTAATAATGTTGAGCATCTTTTTATGTGTGTGTTGGCCATTTGTATGTCTTCTTTGGAAAAATGTCTATTCAAATCCTTTGCCCATTTTCTAATTGTTTTTGTCTTTTTATTATTGAGTTATAAGAGTTCTTTATATATTCTGGATACTACCCTTATTAAGTATATGACTTGCAAAGGTCCCACTACCCAGAGATAATCACTAGTTATATTTTGAGGTATGCCCATGTAGGCCTTTTTGTATTTTAAAAATAAAGTTATATTAATTTTCACAGCTTGCTTTTTTTTTTTCTTTTACTCTGAGCAGCTTCTCTTGAGATTGTATGATTTTTCAATGGCTACGTAATATTTCATTGTTTGGTAGTATCATAATTTATTTTAAAGTTTTGATGATTTAGATTGCTTACAAGTTTTAAATTTTAAAAAGACTGTAGTGAACATCTTTGCAAACAGATTTTGTCAGTTTCTGATTACTTCCTTAGGATTGATACCTAGAAGGAGAGTTACTGGATCAAAGGATATGAGCATTATCATCAGTAGCAACACTATCTGTGAAGCTTCTTACACCAGAACTTCTGAATCATTCTGATTGCCTGTCTTGAATGGTGTCTTGTGACTCAGTGACTTACATCCTAAATATCTAGCATCTGCCTGCTTCTGTCTGTCTCCACAGCCATCCTCTAGTGGGCGTTACCCTGCTCGCTGTCTCTCACCTCCATAGTTGCGTGGCCTCATCCTAGTCTCTCTGCACCCCTTGCCCTCCCTTCCCACACCATTCCTCATACTGAAGCCAGAGATGACTTTTAGGAAAACAAATCTAATCTTATTTCTCTGCTTAAAACACTTAAATGGCTTCCAGTTACGCTTAGGCTAAAGACCAAAATGTCCATTGTGGTGTGGAAGGCCCAGCATCATTTCTGTCCCTGAGCTCAGGCCAGACAAGCATTTTTCAGTTTCTGTATTTCCAGGGCTTTGTTTCTTCCTACTTCAGGGCCTTTGCATGTGTATGTAGTTCCCTGTGTCTAGCCTCTCTTTTCTCACTTCCCTTTCCCCCTACTTTACCTAAATAATTCATCTCCTTCTGTCAGATCTTAGCTTAAATGTCATTTTTCCTGACCAAATCTATCCTTCCCCATACCCCAAATCAGGTGTGACTATTCAATTACCTCAGAACACTTTGTATTTCTTAGTAACACTTAGCACAGTTGTAATCACATGGTTGTATAATTACCTGTTTAAAGTCTCTTCCCCTCAAGAAGGTCACTTCTGTGAGGGCAAGGGCCACGTCTCATCATGGGCTGAGCACCTAATGGACATTGAATTTGTGAAGTGAAAGAATGAAAGACTTTGAAACATACAGCTAAGGGCTTTGCACGAAGGCGGTTTCTATTTACATTCTTTTCAGAACATGTGAGGGTTCCTGTTTTGCTACTCTTTGGCCAAAACTGAAATTTATCTTAAAGATCTTTCAGGCTGGCCATGGTAGCTCATGCCTGTAATCCCAGTTCTTTGGGAGGCTGGAGCAGGAGGATTGCTTGAGCCCAGGAGTTCAAGACCAGCCTGGGCAACATAGCAAAACCCTGTCTCTACAAAAAGTATAAAAAAATTATCTTGGCATGATGGTGTGCACCTGTTGTCCCAGCTACCCAGGAGGTTGAGATGGGAGATCACCTGAGCCTGGGAGGTCGAGGCTGCAGTCAGCTGTGATCATGCTACTGCACTCAAGCCTGGGAGACAGAATGAGGCCCTGTTACGTGAAAAATGTTATCTCATTATTTTAATTAACATTTATTTGGCCGGGCACAGTGGCTCATGCCTGTAATCCTAGCACTTTGGGGGGCCAAGGTGGGCGGATTACCTGAGCTCAGGAGTTCGAGACCAGCCTGGGCACGTGGCAAAACCCCGTCTCTGCTAAAAATACAAAAAATTAGCCAATTAGCCAGTGTGGTGGTGCACGCCTGTAATCTCAGCTATTTGGGAGGTGAGGCGTGAGACTCGCTTGAACCCCAGAAGCAGAGGTTGCAGTGAGCCAAGATAGTGCCACTGCACTCCAACCTGGGCCACAGAGTGAGACTCTGTCTCCAAAAAAAAAAAAAAAAAAAAAAACACATTTATTTGATTGCTGGTGATGTTGAACATACGTTCATGTTTATTAGTAATTTGTATTTTTTCCTGATAATTGGTCTTTGACTATTTCCTTATTGGGATTTTAGGGTTTAAAAATTTTTTTGAATTCTTCATATATATTATGAAGATTGTGGCATGGCACAGTGACTCACACCTAAAATCCCAGCACTGTAGGAGGCCTAGACAGAAGCATCACTTGAGACTGGGAGTTCCAGAACAGCCTGGGCAACATAGCAAGATCCTGTCTCTACAAAAAAAAAATTTTAATTAGCCAGGTGTGATGGTGCACACCTGTAGTCTTAGCTACTCAGGAAGCTGAGGCAGGAGGATTGCTTAAGCCCAGCAGTTCAAAGTTCTGACCACGCCACTGCCCTCCAGCCTGGGCAATGGAGTAAGACCCTGCCTCTAGAAATAAAAAAATAAGTAAAAAAAATGAAAAAATAAAGATTGTGTTGTTAACTAATAAGCTTCCTAGTTATTGTTTGCTTTCTCATTTTAGCTTCACAGTTTTATATTTTTATATAATCAAATAATGCTTTATTAACATTTTTATTTTAACTTCAGAAATTCCTTCTTTATCCTGAAAATAGAGAAATATTCTAATAATTTTTTTCTAATTGATTATTTCTTTTTTACATTTAACTATCCATTTCTTATTTATTTTGGTATATGGTAGTCAATGAATTTTTTTTACACAAATAGCTAAATTTGGAAATTTTATTCCTGTACCATTTACTGAATATTTATTTTTTACCCTACTGACTTTGGAAATCACCTTTATTATTTTACTATATTCTTGTATATTCCAGCATCGGTTTTTGGGCCGCATATTAAGCTACCAGTTTGGGGGCCAGTAAAACAGTTTTAAAACATGATTTTAGTTCTGGTATGTATTTTAATATTTGAATATACAATTCATCCTCCCTAATTACTCTTTTTTCTTATATATTATTGAATTTTATACATCTAAATGAACTTTAGAGTTACACAAAGTTCTCACTGTAAAGAAATCCTGTTGGGATTTCAAATGAAAATTCATTAAGCTCTATAATTAATTAATCCCATTGTTATAATACTGTATCTTCCCACACAGGAACATGTTATCTTTACTTATCAAGTCTATTTGGCTCTCAGTAAAATGATTTATAGTTTTTATATAGGTCTACAGATTCCTTAAAATATTGTAAATTTATTATAACTGTTACGAAGGAAATATTTTTGCCTGTTACAGTTTTCTAACTGGTTGTGATTGGTCATAGAGAAAAGCCAGTTGTTTCTGTGTGTTTATATTGTGTGCACCTACTTATTAGCCTAGGTAGTTTTTTGTTGTCTTGTGGGTTTTCTAGTTAGACAGGCATATGATTTTAAAAGTAAGGATAACTTTGTTTCCTCTCTGTTGAGTGTATTTCTTATTTCTGTTTTAGGTCTTAGGTCTTGGTTAGAATTTATCTAGAATACTTGAAATAGAAGTGTTAATAATTGGCATTTTTGAATATCATGTGTTCCTTAGTTTATTTTAGGAAGCAGATAGAGAACATCACATAGCATTTTGGATCAGATTTGTTTCCCAAGATACGTGCTCAGTGGCAGTGTTGTATCTCAGTTGGCAGTAAATTTGGCAAGCAGTTGTAGAAATAACCCTGAACATCTGAAAGCAGGGGGATAGAGTGATCGAAAGACCTGTTTAGAGTTTATGCATCATGTAGTATTTCTTATTTGTAAAATGATGAAAGTTTAACAAAATGGAGAAATAGTTGTTATCCTGTTGTGCAGAAACTATTTTAGGACCCCTTTTTATAATAATTAAAAGCAAGCTCAGCTTGTACAACACTGCCAAATCCTGACCTCAGTTGAGCTTCTTACCTAGCACTTTACAGTAAGTAGGATGAACATTATAGTTGCCTAGACTACTTCAACGTTAAATGAAAGAATCATGGTAAAATTAGAAAGGAATAATTTCATTGCATAAGACAAACTAAGAATAACAACTGTACTACCCAGAAAGAAATTGTCATTATAACAAAATCAGAGCAGTACCTTTAATGATGCTACTACCAGGAAAGAGTGAAAAAATTATATCATTATGGAAATGAAAAGATCTGTCATTTCCATTCATTCCATTCATGATAATTTTCCCCTGACAGTAACAGTTCTCGTATGTAATTTTTACATTTTTAGTTTTAACATTTTTTAATGTGCAGAGCTTGCTGTAACAGAAAATGAAGTCTTCTAATGAGGCCAGTTTCTGGGGGCTGCAAATCAGGCTTGCCTGAGATAGCTGGCCTCAGCAGAAAAGTCCTGCTTAGTCCGCCCCAGGGGCAAGTAGCTCATTTAATGGCTTTAGTATTCAGTTGGACTGAATTCTAGGAAGTGAAAACTCCTAAGACAGTATAATATGTTTAGGCTTATAGTGGAGTTACTTAAATCTTTTAGAAATGACTCCTATTTCCCAGAGTCATACAGCTTTCTTGCCACATGCACTTTTGTTTGTCAAAATTAAACTTTATGTAATTCTGTGCTTTTATGGTAAATTTTTGATGAAGTTGATAATTTTTTGGTTGTTTTTTGTTTTTTGTTTTTTTGAGACAGGATCTCACTGTGTCACCCAGGCTGGAGTGCGGTGACACAATCTCTACTCACTGCAGCCTCAACCTCCAGGGCTCAAGTGATCCTCCTGCCTCAGCTGCCCGAGTAGCTGCAACTACAGGCACGTGCTACCACATCTGGCTAATTTTTTTGTATTTTTTGTAGAGACAGGGTTTCACCGTATTGCCCAGGATGATCTCAAACTCCTGGGCTCAAGTAGTCCTCCCACCTCGGCCTCCCAAAGTGCTGGGATTATAGGCATGTTCCACTACGCCTGGCCAATGTTGGTATGTTAAGAGTTTATGTATATTGATTGTTTACTATGTGCCAGGCACTAAGTGCTTTACAAAAATTGTTAAAATTTAAATAGTTCTTGAATATGTACATTTTAATCTTTTAGATAAATGTGCCCTAGTTAAGTTCTTCTGCTTCTCAAAGTGAGGTGACAAGTTAAAGTGGATGAATTAGGATGATTCGTTGACATACACCCTGCCTCTATTACCTCTCTGCCATTCTGTGGCTTAGGAAAAAGAAGGTAAAGGAAAAAGATTATTGGATAATTCTAAGCAGTTACAGGCAGAAACGTAAGAAAAGATAAAAGCTGTTGAAAGAAGAATGTGAATATTCTTCTCTTCCTGCTACTGATTCAGCTAACTTTTAAAGGGTTCCAAGTAAATATATGAATGGATAAGAAGTACTAATAATAGTGCCTAACATTGACTGGGCACGGTGGCCCACACCTGTAATCCCAGCACTTTGAGGCCCAGGTGGGCAGATCACTTGAGGGCAGGAGTTCAAGATCAGCCTGGCCAACATGGCCAAACCCCATCTCTACTAAAAAATACAAAAATTAGCCAGACGTGGTGGCACATGCCTCTAGTCCTAGCTACTTGAGAGGCTGAGACGCGAGGATTGCTTGAACTCGGGAGGCAGAAGTTGCAGTGAGCCGAGATTGCACCACTGCACTCCAGCCTGTATGATGAGCAAGACCCTGTCTCAAAACAAAAACAAAAAATAAAAAAATAGTGGCGAACATTTATTGAAATCTGCTGTGTCAAGCACTGTGCTAACTGATCTACATCACATCCTGAAAGGATTTCATGTTTTGTAAAGGAAGTCATAATCAGATTTCTTAAATATTAACTTCCTCTGTTCATTTAAGTTGCAAAAATAAAATTAATTTCATCATTCTTTTAGAATAGTTTTTGTGTCAATCCACTGACTCCAATCTTGACTCATTGGAGTCATACCCATAATAACAAGCCACTGTGGACAGATAATACATCTTTTATTGAAGCTTTCCTGATCAACCCTCATCTCTAGTGGTCTTTGCCTTTTCCAGGTGTCAGCAGCATAAAATTTTGCATTTAACTGTATGGTGCCTCAAGTTTTTATTTACTAAATCCTCAAGTTTGGATTATTAAATCTACTCATAGGGTAGTCTTTAATCTTAAGGTTAAAACTGCTTTATACTTTTATGTTTAATCCTGAGTATTGTGAATTTTGTAAATGGCACTCATTATATAACAAGTACAAATTAATTTTTAAATTTTTTAATTAATTTTTTTTTGGAGATGGGGTTTTGCTCTGTTGCACAGACTGGTCTCAAATTCCTGGGCTCAAGCCATCTTCCTGCCTCAACCTCCAGAGAAACTAGGATTACAGGCATGCACCACCACACCTGGCTCAACACGAATTTTTAATTAGTCTTCAAAGTTAATTTTTTGGTTGAAATTATCTTTATTTTAAAAAAAAAACAATAATTAGGAAATGTGTTCATTATACATTTAAGGTTGCATTCTCTTACATTGCAGTTCCTCAGTTTGAAACTACATGTAATTACGTAGAAGCTACACTCGAAGAGTTTCTGACCTGGAACTGTGACCAGTCTAGTATTTCTGGACCATTTAGAGATTATGACCATTCCAAGTTCTGGGCTTATGCTGACTATAAATATTTTGTCAGTCTATTTGAAGACAAGACAGATCTTTTCCAGGTAAGTCAGAACCTTCCTTCTAATCTTGGTAGGAATTTGTTTTTGAGAAAAGAACACAAATTAGAATCTCCCTGGCACCTTCTCTGCCTTTTTCTCTCATAAGTAATCGCCATGAATCTTGGATATTTCACCCACTCAAACCAAAAGATTTGCTGAAGAGAAGTGTACCATTTGGCTCACACAGATGAGCAGGCTTCCTTGTTTTCCTACTCCCAAACTTCCTACACACCCTCCTTTGCTTTTAAACAGTGCTTGAGTCGGTTTGGAGTATGTTAGAAGCATAGATTGTGTATAAAACTTCATTGCCTCCTGACCTCCATATAAGTTCTTGTCCTGTCAGTGAGGCAGATGAAAGCATAAAGCTGATTCTGTGAAGGAGCATTCCTTGGGCTGTGACCAGGCTGCTGCTGCAATTTCTACCTGCTCTAGGGGTTTTGGACAGCTGTTTTCTCTGGCAGTTCATGGCCTGAGGCAGAGAACACTTGGCTCCCAGTATTTGGTAGTGGAAGCCCTGTAGAAGTGTGGGAGTGACTTGCAGAAGTAAAATTATGGAAGTTCTTTGCCGTATGTTGACATAACTGACAACAGAGTTTCCAGACTACCATATCCTCTTTTAAGTGTTTTCTACCTTAAACTGGCAGTTTATTTTGTGAGATAATTTTGCAAACTCCCTGCTCTTGTTGCCATGTGTCTTAGGTGTGGGGCAGGAATGGGAGCCATCCTGGAGGCTGTTTGGAGGACTCTGCCTTGCCCTGACTCAGGCCAAGGCTCCAGAGTCCTTCTTCCTGCCCCTTCTTTGTGGAGAGAAGTATTTCACCATCCCTGCAGGCTGTTCACCCCTTCTCCTCTCTGCCACCACCCACTCTCTGGACTTGGCTTTCATATAGGCTGATAGTTCTTTGGCTCCTCAGTAATTTTCCATTCAGTGTATATTTTTCTTTTTTATGTTGAGTCAAGATGTAAATGCTGATGTTAACATAGTTATTATAATAGATCCTCCCATCTCAGTCTCCCGAGTTGCTGGGAGTATAGGAATGTGCCACTGCGCCTGGCTTAATTTTGCTTTTTTATTTTATAAAAAAGGAAAAATGTGTCACCTTGCCCCATAGTTGTTTTTTTTGTTGTTGTTGTCATTGTTGTTTTGAGATGGAGTCTCACTCTGTCACCCAGGCTGGAATGCAGTGGCGCAATTACGACTCCCTGCAACCTCTGCCTCCTCCCAGGTTCAAGCAATTCTCCTGCCACAGCCATCACCCACCCCCTGACCCCAGTAGCTGGGATTACAGGTGACTGCCGCCATGCCCAGCTAATTTTTGTATTGTTTTGTAGAGACAGGGTTTTACCATGTTGGCCAGGGTGGTCTCAAATTCCCGACTTTAAGTGATCCACCAGCCTCGGCCGCCCAAAGTGCTGGGATTACAGGCGTGAGCCACTGTGCCCGTCCTGTCATAGTTGTTAGTTGAGAATGTATTTTCATTCTCATACCCATGAAAGAAATGCATAGGTTTTAAAAACATTCAGTAAATGACTCTGAATTCAAAGTCAATACCAAATCTACTATTTACTCATTTTTAAATGATAATTTTAAGGTAGATGTTTTTTCTTACAACCTTAATTGTGATCACTTTATGGTTCTTTAATTATGGAACTTACAGGTTTCATAGTTAACTTTAAAAGTGTTTTGTTATGTTTCTCATACCCACGCCCCACCATTCCGTAAATTAGACTAGTACTTTACTCCATATTTCAGGTAAAATATTGCTTAATAGTAACATTGATCATGTACTTACTTTTTGGGGGAATTTTTCTAATGTTTTACACTTATAATCCTCAAAGTAACTCTATGATTTAATAATTGTCCCCATTTTAAGAAAAATGAGACCCAAAGAGGTTAAGTAAACCTTTTCTAAGATTATACAACAAGGAAGGGGTAACCCAAATAGTCTGCCTTCAGAGCTTTAACTACTACAGAGCTTTAATTACTGCTGTGCCTACAGAGCGTGTGCATACATTCGGTCCTGTTGGGACTCTCTGTCCTGAGTGTAGGCTCACTCTGCCTTGGATGAGTGTTTGATCTGACCCCATTAGTAGTTCTGTCCCACCCCAGGCAAGGCAGTACTGTGCAGTATGTGACCTGTCCATTAAGTGCGGATATAAAGGGCAGCCTTTTGGCAATGTGCTGGAATTCTGACTGAGCCCTTATAAAATCTGATATTTTGAGTTGAATGAGTTTTCTGTCAGCTCATATTATGGCAATTAATTCTGCTATGAATAACCAAGTCCATTAAGATTATATCATCTTTTGTCTCAAAATTTTCTGGGCACCAAGTCTTCTTACATCACAGGTACCTGTGTTGGTTTAATTCATTCAGCCACCAAGTCTTATTACTTGCTGTTTCAAGCTTTCTTATATCTGTCATAAAATGGTGGGTAGTTAAACATTAAAATGGGTACATTTTAAAAATGTTTATTGATTTATTTAAAATGACACAACCCACTATACGTTAACATAATAATATTTTTGAGAAAATAACTATATTCAAAAAATGTTTAATGTCATTAGAGGGATAGATTGTTGTACATTTTGGCATGTCTTCTTGATGTCTGGCTGTAAGAAGACAGCTGGATTCTCTGCTTCTCCATTCAAGCTGTTGCAATTTGTTGGTTTGTTTAAAGTATATGAAGAAAATTTTGCCTCACACACATATGAAACTGAAAAAGGGAGGAGTATTTATTAATAACAGCCTTTTCAGATAATTGTGGATTTTTTTATACCACACACACCAAACTTGATGAGGGGTAGTTTCTTAAAGGTTCATTAGTTGCAGTATAAAAATCTGAACCTATAATGAATGAACTCTCTACTCTTATAAAATCCATTGGTCTGTCTTGCACAGAATGGATCTTATGTAATGTTATTCATGGACCATTTGGAAAATATTGACTTACTGAATTAGTAGATCTTCCAAATGTTGACACATTTTCAGTATACTTGATACATTTCATTATTCAAAAAGTCACATTTGTTAATACCACTGTTCTTATCAGAAAAATAGTGTTAGGAAGCTTTCAGGCTCATGTATTTCTTTTTTTTTTTCTTTTTCTCTTTTTTTTTTTTTTGAGACAGAGTCTGACTCTGTCACCCAGGCTGGAGTGCAGTCACATGATCTCAGCTCACTGCAACCTCTGCCTCCTAGGTTCAAGCAATTCTCCTGCCTCAGCCTCCTGAGTAGCTGGGATTACAGGCGTGCACCACCACACCTGGCTAAATTTTGGATTTTTAGTAGAAACGGGGTTTCACCATGTTGGCCAGGCTGGCCTCGAACTCCTGAACTCAAGTGATCCGCCTGCCTCAGCCTCCCAAAGTGCTGGGATTGCAGGCATGAGCCATCATGCCCAGCCAAAAATGCAACTTTTAAAATAATATAATTAACTATAATTACTATCCAAAACTTACGAAGGATAAATATTTCAATC
Organism: Homo sapiens; assembly: GCF_000001405.40. Taxonomy (NCBI): domain Eukaryota; kingdom Metazoa; phylum Chordata; class Mammalia; order Primates; family Hominidae; genus Homo; species Homo sapiens. The sequence goes on along the minus strand of NC_000003.12, from coordinate 122,765,223 downwards.
CAAATTTCAAACAGCCCCTTAAATGGACATTATACATTAGCAATTGTCTGAGTCTTTTTTTCCTTAGAAAAATTACCTTAGGTACATAAACAGAAAAGGCTTGATAAACACCTTAATTCTTACATTCCAACTTGTCTCATCAGAAAGCATCACTGGCCATCAGACGCCATTATTCATTACCAAATCACCTGCCTCAATTTCAACATGCTCTCATAGCTATGTTTTAAAGTCCAAGACATGTTACAACTAATCTTCCATCTACTGTATTTTGGGATTCTGTGTCCTGGTGACTTAACGAGGCTCCTGACCTTCAGTAGCCAATTCAAATCACAATATCAAATGGAATCTACCTGAGAAGCATCCTTGGGGCAAAATCCCTTTTGTTACATGTTGATTCTTAATAACTTCAATTATGATGATACTTACGATAATTGCAAAAGGTAAAACTTGTCATTCTTACCTAATGAGTCTGAGAGCAAGAAATTTTGTTTTGTACTGTCACAAATTCCCTACCTTTCTAGGAAAGTAGAGAACAAAATGTTCAAAACAAATGCTTTATTTAGTCAATGATATGATGTATAACTAAAAAATAATAAGATTAATTTTATTTGCTATACACAAAAGTCAGTTAAGTGTCAAAATCATACTTTTAGGCCATCTCAAGGCTACAGGATATTTTCCAATCATATTAGTATGTTTATCAATGTACATATTTTTCATGGATGAATTTAATTTGTGGAAGAAAAGAGTTAATAAGAGGAAACTTCAAGTAGAGGCTATAAGTAAAAACTTAAAAAACTAGTAGAGGGCCAGAGAGATTAAGAATTTCTTACCAAGGCTGACAAATGCTACACTGATTAACTAGAAGCCACAGAAAATTTGACAAAGGTGAAGCTAGGGGTTTAAGTCAAAACATTCTCTGAGGGGTCCTAAAGACCAGAGAAATATCAAAACAAGAAATAGAGTAGGAAAAAATCCACTTATATAATCATTCAAATACCTATTATGTATTCAGCACTATGTTAGCAGTTTGCAGGAATAAAAAATTATAAAACATTGCCCAAAGAGCTTACAATATTGTTAAAGGAACAGAACACAAACGTTCTGTGTTGCTTACCATTTAAATAGTAATCCAAATAAAACATATAGGAAGGAAGGCAAGGGACAGATGGATATGGGGACAAGCGGTTGAGAAGGCTTCATAGCCAAGGCTGAACCTGAGCCAGGCCCTAAAACATAGAACTTTAACAGGCAGAAATTGAAGGGGGCATGAGCAGAGGCCAGGAGGGAAGAGAGAACATAGGTCAGTGGGGAGATTGGACAGGGCCTTGCGTGGAGCAGACAGGCGGCATCAGCCATACTTGGGAGGGTCTTAAATGCTATCCTTATATAATTTTAACTTATAAAATGTTTGTGAACATGATTAAAGTATTTTAATTTTAATCTGGAGTATGATTTAAAATGTATTTTCATAAGAAACTGTTTTAGAATTACTTAGAGGAGGAGTCAGAACAGAAAAAAATAGAGTAATTACAGTTGTGATGTTGTAAACCAGAGTGGCCCATAGACCCCTGGGGGTCCCTGACACCCTTTCAGAGGATCTTTGAGATCAAAATTATTTTCATAATACTTCTAAGATGATACTTGCTTATTTCACAGTGTTGACATTTGCACTGATAATACAAATGCAATGGTGAACAAAACTGCTAGTGTCGAGACAGTGGGACCAAAGTGTACTAATAGTATTGTATTAAAAAAAAACACACACAGCTTTATTGGGGTATAACTGATATGTAATAAACAGCATATATTTAACGTGAACAGTTTGATTAAGTTTTACATATACCTACACCCAAGAAACCATCACCACATTCAAGATGACAGACATTTTGATCATGTCCAGAAGGTTCCCAGTGTCCCTTCCTAACCTGTCTCTCCCTACACCCTCATTCTCAGACACCACTGATCTACTTTCTGTCACTGCAGGTTAGTTTGGCAGTTCTAGAATTTCATAAAAATGGAATCATATAGTAAGTACTCCTTTTTCATGCTAACACTAATCAAAGGAGGAGACAGACATAGTTAACATCAGAACAAGTAAACCCAAGGTAGAGAGGGTATTTCATCACAATAAAAGGTCACTTCACCAAGCTGATATAATAATCCCAGATGTGTATGAACCCAATAACAGTTTCAAAATACATGAACAAAACTGACCAACCTAAAATGAGAAAAACACAAATACACAATTATAGTAGGGGGATTTCAATACCTCTGTCTCTATAATGGGTAAAACAAATATACAGAAAATCAGTAAGGATACAGGAGACTTGAACAATCAACTTGATTTAATTGACATTTATAAAACACTCCACCCAACAACAGAAAACACTATTTCCAAGTGCATATGGAATCTTTATCAAGATTGATTATATTCTGGGCCATAAAACAAGTTTCAATAATTTAAAAGGATTTAACTCATACAAATTATGTTCTCTCACCACAACAGAATTAAATTAAAAATTCATGACAAAAAGATAGCTGAAAAATCCCCAAAAATTTGAAATTAAACATTACACTTCCAAATAATCCATAAGTCAAATAGTAAATCACAAGGAAAATTAGGAAATATTAGGCTAGTCCTTGACTATAAGTCAAGGCTGAAGAGATATGCTAAGCAACAGTCTGCAAGTAAGAGACAGGGAGGCCCAATATTAGCCTTGGTATAATTTAGTTGCTTAAAAAGAAAAGTGCCGTCTGACAGTGCATTAATGGTATGATGTGCGGGTCATGGAATGTTACAATTCCATGGATACAGGTTCTGTGTAGACTGTATCTGGGGTTCAGTTTGGGAGCCAGGCTTTAGGGCTGTTGACAAAGTAAAGGAAATTGAGAGAAGAGCAATTGGAAGGAAAAGTTAATGCTGCTGTGTCTAGGTTAAAAAAAAAAAAAGATAAAGGAGAAGTTGGACAGTTTTCTGATAAAAATAGCAATTTTTGGCAGGAAATAAACTTGTTCTCTTTAGTTATAGAAAGCAGATCTAGGACCCTCCTCTGTAAGCTACCAGGAAGTAGATACTGATTTTGTAGTAAGTGGTCAACTAGCTAGCTACTTGTCGCTCTTTTCAGGGATGGTGTAGAATAGAACTTGCTGAGAATAGATGATTTTTAAAGATTTTTCCAACTCTTGAGGTATGTATGAGTAGACTCCAGAACAGATCACCCCACTGATCACCCTTTTTGGTTTTACAGATGCAGCACTCAAACAGGGCCTCCTGTTTCTAGCAAGACTCAAGACAGATTCCTGGGCCCACATTGACTTCAGACATTTGACTACCCATAAGTGGCTGAACTTAATTGGGAAGAGAATCCCAACTCTCAATGCTGTCTATTTTTACACTGACAATTTTGCTTTTTTTTTTTTTTTTTTGAGACAAGGTCTTGCTCTGTCACTCAGGCACTCAGGCTGGAGTGCTGTGGTGCAAACATAGCTCCCTGAAGCCTTGACCTCCCAAGCTCAAGTGATCCTCCCTTCTCAGCCTCCCAAGTAGCTGGGACCACAGGTGCATGCCACCACGCCCAGCCAATTTGTTAAAAAAAAAAAAAAAACCTTTTTGTAGAGACAGAGCCTCACCAAACATTGCCCACGCTGGTCTTGAACTCCTGGACCCAGGCAGTCCTCCCACCTCAGCCTCCCAGAGTGCTGGGATTACAGGCATGAGCCACTGCACCTGGCTGACAGTTTTGCTTTTTAAGTCATTATTACTGTTAGACAGGAGGCCAGGGAAGTCTCTCCTCAGTTTCTCATACAGTAACCTCACCCTGTAGAAAAACCTTCAGTGATTCTTTCCAAAGCAGGGCTCTAGAACAGGGTTTTTCATGTGGGGTTGGTCTGTCACCTCTTTGAAAGTATATATAAAGTTTCGTGTGTGCTTTTTTCTGAGGAGAAGGGGCTTTGGTATTCATTAGATTCCTGAAGGGATGTATCTATAAGATTAAGAATCACATGACCTATCTCTTCTTAGCTAAGGCAAGTCTCTCTTTTTTCCTTTTTATACTGAATGGCTTTCAGCTACCTTTAGTTAAATTCCTCAGACTGAGGTGTGGTAAATTGTTCAACAAGGACCAGGTTAATTGGAAGCCTCCCCTAAGCTCCCTGGCTGGGTGCAGGGCCCTCCTGCTGTGATCTTAAAGCATTCCCTGCATACTTGTGTCAGAGCGCTTGTTACATCATATTGAAAGGCTCTGTTTATGGGATTATCACTCATTATTAGACTTGAAGGGTTGGCCTGTGTTATATTAATTTTTGTATCCCCAGCACCCAGCATCATACCACGTATATGGTAGGTACTCAAAAATGTCATTGGCCTGAACTATTTTAACCATCATAAGTCAACAGATTCTTCTTTCCCTCCCAAGCAGCCAGTGTGTTCCAAGCTGTAACCCTGAGCCAGGTACTAAATTAGGCATTGAGAAAACAGGGGTAAGCTCCCAGTATGGAGCTTATAGGCTACATGCAGAGAGAACAGGATTTTTGCCACCCACTGGAACTGCCACATGTGAGCCATGTGCATTTACAGTGGTGCTGACCTTGCAAAAATTCCCCCTTCTATGACAGACATTAATTATGTGCACGTATTCAGCCATTTTCATCACTCAAAGCAAAAATGAAAAAAAAAAATGCTCTTTCTAGTCTTCCTCAAAACCATCCATTAAATTTCTCTTTAAAATCCTTTCTCTTTGAATACAGCTGTTAATGTTTTCCCTCTAAAAATAGAAAATTTAGACTGTAGTTACTGATAAAAGGAGTGTCAGCATTGAGAACGATGTTCTGCACATAGAAGTGGGGTGTTTTTTTTTTTGCTTTTATTTTTTAAAACTGAAAGGAAAACCTCATGATTAAAATAAAAATAAGGCAGAGCCATCATGCCTGGTTCACTAGTATGTTTTTTTTCTTTTCTAGCTTATAAATCTGTTTAATCACATGGATTTGGGTTTATGTGTGACCCTATTTTTCTGTGCTGCAAATGCGCCATCGGCTTCTAAAAGTATAGGCTTTTCCCAGTAGTTGACTTGGGCAGGATTTGCTCACAGAACCAGGCATATGGAGAGTCTTAAGTCCAGAGCACTATGCTGTCTCTGTTCTAAAGATCATTGCACTTAAGAAGTTCATGACTTTGGGGAGTATATTGAAAGCCATCCATGGATGTATATTTCAAAAGATGTATTTTGACACCCTCATCTGAAGACTGATCTAGTAGGTATGAGCTAAGGCTCCAGCATTGATAGTTTTAAGTAACCCCACTAATGTAGGAGAAGTCTTCATTTATGTGGTCATTGAAGTACACAAAGTTAGTAAGTTGCGTATGTACACAAATATCTGCACTGCTTAGAGGAAATACGGCTTTCTGACTTCTTCGGTTGTGTCTCAGAGATATTTGAAATAATGCCATTTCCGCTGCATTCACTGTTCTAACTGCCCAAAACACGCTTTCCCTAAATATCAGCATAATCCTGTCTGTTTATTGTCTGTTTCCAACTCTGAAATGTAAGCTTCATCCGAGTAGGCATTTTGTCTCTTTTGTTCATTGATTCATTACAAGCTTCCAGAACAGTGCCTGGCATGTTGTAAGTAGTCAGTAAATATTTGTTGAATGATTACTATTAGTGTGGTTATTCAAATATGTTATTGGCTAAAAAGATTTCTTGAACTGCCCTGGAAACCTAACCTCTTCCATCTGTAGCATTTTCCATAATAGAATATTCCAACTGCTAAATAACAGATGTGCAAGTGAAAATGGGCAGCATTACCATACAGAGAAGTTGGTTAGTTCTTGATGGATTGCAACTTTATTTCAAAACAGGATGTGAAATGGTCTGACTTCGGGTTTCCTGGAAGAAATGGACAGGAAAGTACATTGTGGATTGGCTCCTTGGGAGCCCACACACCCTGTCATCTGGACTCCTATGGTTGTAACTTGGTATTCCAGGTACAAGGAAGGTAATGTGTGTGTGTGTGTGTGTGTGTGTGTGTGTGTGGAACGCACATGTGCATGCATGCAATAGGGGTGGCAGAGAGAATAGGGCAATACCCCAAGGTGTAGTCCCAGCCCCATCCTGTCAGCCTGCCTCATGATTAGGGCAGACCTCTTAACCTCTGGTTTTGGTTTCTCCTCTGTGAAATGAGGACAGTTAAAATGGTGGTTTACAGGTGCGTGCCTTGTCATGATCAGGATTGTCTTCAGAGAGTTTATTCTAGAACTCTGAGATTCCACTCCCAGGTCAGCTAGACAGCTCTCTGCTTGGTCTTTTTTTTTTTTTTTTTTTTGGTAAATTAGAGACATTTGAGACAGTCTTGCTCTGTTGCCCAGGCTGGAGTGCAATGGCATGATCATAGCTCCTGGACCTCAAGCCATCCTCCTGCCGCAGCCTCTCAAGTATCTAGGACTACAGGTGTGTGCCAGTATGCCCAGCTAATTTAAAAAACTTTTTATTTAGAGATGGAGTCTTTCTGTGTTGCCCAAGTATGGCCTCAAACCATACTCCTGCCTTGGCCTCTCAAAGTTCTGGTGTGAGCCACTATGCCCAGCCTATGCTTAGCTTTTCTTTTTTACATAAGAGTTTGTAGTTTTCAAACTTTTATTTAAAAATGGGAACACCCTTTCTTCAAATCTAAATAAATAAGAGCAGAGCAGTTTGTTGAAAGGAAGAGGCTTCACTGTTGCCCTCAAGCTCCTCTCCAAGGGATGCCAGCGATCCTGGTTTGAAAAATACTGGACGCTTTCAACTCTAAATTTTAGTTTGTGCCTACTTGACACAATACAGTGTATTGTTACCTTAGGTCAGTTTTTGTCTCCATCTATCTGTGGACTCTAGAAGATACGAGGGATAGGCAGTGCTTTTGATATACCTGGTTTCTGGAGTTCTATGAGAGTCTAAGTGTTTGTGCCACTTGGAGGATGTACTCAGATGTATGTGCAGCCTTATTTTCCCCTAATTAATGATGCCCCAGTCTTTTCTCCTGGTCATGTGGGACATTTACAGGGCAGCACAGAGAGTAAAACAGAAAAGGTCATGTGCAAGTTCTCAGACCTATTAGATGTGAAAAGGATTATGAGCAGATTCAGGAGAAATAGTCAGTATGTCTGTGGATACATTTCACATGTGAAGAACTCTGAGAATTACAGAATGGTAGAAGTTAGTCCACTCTCTGATGCATTCCGTCTTTATTAAAGGGCATAGAATGTGTCAGGTACATAGCTACACGCTGTGGATGCAAGAGTCAATCAGATGAGTGTGGTCTCTATCCTTGTGGAGTTAACAGGCTGAAACCTTAAACTTGGTAAGAGAGACAACATTTTAAGTAGCTGCTGTCCATGTGTTCTGAATTGGAAACAAGCCAAAGAAATTCAAGTTGGAAAAACATCAAAAAATACCTGAATTCTCTCTATGATATAAAGTTAATATCACTTTATTTTAACTTTGTAATAAGACATTTTCTGGCCTTATATAACTCTGGAATAATAAAATAGCTTTAGTAAATATCCATTGAGTATCCTTCTGTACAGGGACCATGTGTTACAGTAGGTACAGAGGTGAGGGAGTAAGACACCCTCTCTATGATGGGAGTTTACAGCCAGAGTGCAAGGCAAGCCGACAGACATCCATGATACAAGGCAGAATACCCATGCTCTAGAGGAAGGTTTCACAGAGCTGTGGGACTAAAAAGTAGAAGAGATCATGTTCCTGTTGTAAAGATCAGGGAAGATTTCACAGAGGAGCTGCCATTTGTGGTGGGCCTTGAAGGATGGATAAGTGCTCAAAAGACCCAGATGGGAAGGGCAGAGGGACCCTGAGAAAGCATGGGGTGTAGAGAGGACCCCTTGAGTTGTCCAGTATATGTTGTGCATTGGAGACAGAGGGAGTAGACCAGAAAGGCAGGTAGGTTGAGTCCCCAGGGTCTTGACTTCCAGGCAGACACTGTTATTCTCTGTTCTTTCAGCATCCAGAACCATGAGAAGTTTTTAAAGCAGGAGATCACATGATGATTGAATACCTTTTCTAATAGAAGGATTCATGCATTTTACATTTTTTAACCCAAACAAAGCAGATTGGATGGGATGGTTATCATTATGGCTGTTCCTTTGGGAAATATTGCTGTGGTGCAGGGGAAGGAACTGGGATCTGGAGAAGCCAGGAGATCTGTGACCTAGCTCTGAATCCACCACTACCCCAGTGAGTGACACTGGGCAAGCTCTGAGTCTTTCTGCCACTACTTTGGAAATGAAATTAGACTGATGATCTCTTCAGAGCCCTTCCAACTCTAACATTCGAAGCATATCAATACTGAAAACTGCTTTCAAACTAATCATACAGTGGAATGGAGCAGCTCTTAAAGCTTAAATTAAGTTAAAGCTTTAAGATTAGGCAAACAGCTTTTGAACCTCAATGGTTTTTAAGCTGATGGCCGTGTAAATTGATAGGCTGCCTTATAGCTCCGAAATGAATTTTTTTTTTTTTTTTTTTAGATACAAGGTTTTGCTTTGTCACCCAGGCTGGAGTGCAGTGGCACAATCATAGCTCACTGCTTCCTCGAACTCCTGGGCTCAAACAATCCTCCCACCTCAGCCTCCTGAGTAGCTGGGACTACAGGCACACACCATCACACCTGGCTAATTTTTTAAGAAAATTTTTTATGGGGATGAGGTATTGCTATGTTTCCCAGGCTCCGAGGTTGTTCTCTATCCTGGCCTCAAGCATTCCTTCTGCCTCGGCCTCCCAAAGTGCTGAGGTTACAGGCAGTGAGCCACCATACATGGCTTGAATGTAAATGTTTACTGAAGAGTAAAGAATTTCACTATTTCTATAAAACCTTCAAATTTCCAAAGCAAAATAAGACTTCAGCATATACTTCTTAGTTCGAAAACAGCAGCCGCTGTTTCTTGGTTCTGAAAGGACTTGATAGCCCCATTCTAACAACTGCAAGGGGTCACTAGAGGGCTTTGGGCTTCTTTTCTCAGAACTAGGTTTTTCCCTCTTTTCTCTTTGCCTCCCCATCTAGACATCTAGATGTCTGGGTCTCATTTTTTTCTCATACTTCTCTCGCTTTTGCCTCAGATGTCTTCCCTCTATTGGCATAAAGCATAGGAGTGTCTAGTGTTTTGTGAGTTAGAATTTATTACCTCCATTTTCAAAACTGTTTTAAATGACAAACATTTTAACAGTTTTCTTTGAAAATTCCTATATTATACTGCTTTATTTATGTGGCATTATTTGTGCATGTCCACTCCCTAATGGATCAACTTAACAAATGTTTAACTTAAGGAATTTATAACCCAAACAGGGAGAAGTCTGGAAACTATTTGGTGGATAGAACTATGAGTGTTTGCTCTGAATAAGATAAGAATACAGATATTTGAAAGGGTGGGGGTTATTGTGAATAGCTCTAGAGTCAGGGATGAAAACTATTTATGAGAAGGCAGACTTTGATTTGAGATAAGAAAGAATGATCTTATGAACTAGATTCTATCCCAGCAATGTAAGAGGCTGCCTCATGGATGTCCTGAGACATCCATGAGGCAGCCCCTTAGTTGCTACACAACCTTCCACCCGGTATCTGCAGAGGGATTCTAGCGCTGAGTCAGAGATGGACAGGTGACCACTGATGGTGCCTATATTCCCTTAGGGATTGAATTTAAACAAGTAAAAATGAACACTTAGCTTTTGTCTTCTTCCATGTTTTGTCTTAAGGTCAGAGTACTAACTTGTATCTTTTTTTTTTTTTTTTAATTAGGAAACGATGGCATCTCTTTCCTCCTGAAGATACTCCTTTCCTTTATCCAACTAGAATCCCTTATGAAGAATCTAGTGTGTTCAGTAAAATCAATGTTGTCAATCCTGATTTAAAGCGTTTTCCTCAGTTCCGGAAAGCTCAAAGACATGCGGTTACACTGAGCCCAGGACAGGTAATAGGGCTTTAAAACATTAATGACCTGCCAGGGGACACCACAGCTGTAACTCTCTCAAGTCCTTATGCTGTGTGCTTCCCCTCCCTGCGCAGTGCAAATGAGAATGGCTTCCTTCCCTCTGCTCTGCTGTTGGAAGGTAGCTTCCCCAGTTGTAGGCTTCAGACACATACACCTCTGCTTCACAGGTCCTGGAAAGGAAATGGCAAGAGGGAACACAGCTCCTCCTATTGGTAAAGAGGAGAATGGACTTTGGAGGAAGACAGTCTACAAGAGTCATTTTCATTTAGGTCAGGAGAAAATGTTCAAGGCATGGGTACTCGAGCATCTCTGGAACATTTAATCACAGTTAGTATCTGTTCAATTATGATAGCACTGAACCCAGACACATAAACACAGGTCGGAATGCCTCCAGGTGTGGGCCAACGGGCAGAAGGAACCGAGAATGTTTGCTTTTAAGCAAAAATGGATGTTGTTTTCATAAATTACTAACTCTGAAACATTTCCAAAGGTACTGTACATAGTGCTGCTTCCCAGTGAGGAAAATTTCCTTTTCAACATTGGCACTTGCTGTCTGATATTTCATTAATAATTTGAAAGGTTTTCTTAGTCACTTAAGAAGATTTTATTCTCTCGATTATCCCTCTCCCTTGCCTGTCTTCCATCCATTGTACCGGTCTCACTGGCTCTTTTCCTGCTTCCTTCACTCAAGTACTATCAACTCAAACAATTTCACTTGACTGAGTTGCCTCGACCTGTTAGTCACTCTGCATTCCCCTCTCCCCACAGCCCCTGACAACAACTAATCTTTTTCTATCTCTAGATTTGCCCATTCTGGACATTTCACACAGTGCAATATTATAATACAGGGCCTTCTGTGTCTGACTTCTTTCACATAGCATAATGTATTCAAGGGTCATCCACGTCATAGAATGTTACTAGCACTTCATTTCTTTTTTATGGCTGAATAATATTCCATTGTATGGATATACAACATTTTGTTTATCTGTTCATCAGTTGATGGACATTTGGGTTGTTTCTGCTTTGTTGGCTATTATAAGTAATGCTACTTTGAACATTCATGTACAAGTTTTGTGTGTACATATGTTTTCAATACTCTTGGGTATACCTAGGAGTAGAATTGCTGGGTTATATGGTAACCCTGTGTTTAACTTTTTGAGGAGTTGTCAAACTATTTTCCATAGCAGCTGTACTATTTTGCATTCCCACCAGCATTGTATGAGGGTTCCAATTTCTTTTTATCTTTCCCAACACTTGTTTTGCTTTTTTATCATTATTTTTACAGCCATTCCAGAGAGTGTGAAGTGGTTGCCAATTCATTTTCTCTTCTGTGTTTAATAGCCAAATTTGAGTGATTGGTTTTGCCTATTGTATCAGTTTTCCTTACATCCTATCCATTCTTTAATCCACTCAAACCCAGCTCTTTCTGTCACCACTTTACTGAAACTTTACTCTGATAGGACATGCATAACCTACTAATGACTATCAAGTGGCCTTTTATAGTTTCCAGTTTTCCTGAAAGGATCTCTCTTTCTATTTCCCAGTCCTGCCTTGTTCACAGCAAATACCAGTAGTTTCCTAATGTGAAGCCCAAAAGCTTCACATCATTTCCATCTACTCTGCTCTTAATAGGAAATCTCATACTGAGTCTGGATAGATGCCATCCTTCTTGACTCTGCCCATTGCTTTTGTTTATTATACCTTCCTATTTATATCTTAACGTTTAATAAGTGGACCTTTGCAAGTATCTCCTGTCCTTCTCAGACTCTCTCGATACCACTATTTTAACCATCCCCCTACTTAGAATTTCTCAACAACTCCTAGTGCCTACCAGATAAAATCTAGATTCTGAAGTCCGCTGTCCCTAAACTAATTCCCCTACCTTATCTCCCATTATTCCCTCTGTGATAGTAAGACTGACCTACTTGCTATCTTCTGTAGTCCTACCTCCCTCACCTGTACCTCTTATCCTTCCTGGCATGTCCTCATTCTTTCTGTGTCTAAATTCTCTCCTAGCCCGGGTTCAAATCACACTTCTTCCATCCATGTTGCCCCTGACCTCCCTAGTTCATGCCTGTTTCACCCACCTCTGAAATTCTGAAACACCATTGTCCCCTGATTTACCACTTCTATAATGCCACCTTTCTATACTTTATCTTCTCATTGGCTAGATTTTGAGCTGTGAGAAAACAGAAGCCACGTCCTATGTGTTTTACCTATGCCCTTTCTCAGAATGCACGCAACTATTTTGTGACGGAAAGGAGGAAAAATTAGAATCTCAGAATCATGTACTAAGATTTAGGTGCAGACAAAGAAGGCCCAGGATTAAAGAGAATAGAGATGCTGGCAGTATCCTTTGTAGAACATGTGAACTTGTCAATAAAAAAGGAATAAAAGGAAAAAAGGTTTGCGGGGTTTTTTTTCTTACTTTACTTTTCTCCAGCAATATTATTGTGAATTCATTTGTATTCCTTTTTTTCCTAGCAGCCTCAATTAGGGTCTGATTCTGACATAAAAATGAAACGTCCTGTTCTTGTGCTAACCATTCTTTGTTTGGTTTTCAGGTTCTCTTTGTTCCCAGACACTGGTGGCATTACGTAGAATCCATTGATCCTGTCACTGTCAGTATAAACTCATGGATTGAACTGGTACTTTTTCGTTGTTTTTTTTTTTTTTTTAAGTAAGTGCAAATCATGCTTTTAAAAGATATATAAGGTCTGGCTGTACAACTGGGTAATTAATTTTTTTTAACCAATGCTTCAGTATTTTTTTGTTGCAGTGCACTATAACGTATGCATTCTGTCTTCTGTTAATGGATGTTTAGGTTGGAAATTGGAATTTTAGTGGTGTGCCACTCTCTTTCTTTTAAGGACACAGAATGCGCCTGATGCTGGCATGCAGGGTCCTTTCCCTTGACCAGTGTTGTTAGGAAAATTGTATTGGGCCTGGCCAGATTTGCCGATATGTGTCCCTTGTTGCCGCTCCTCTTTCACACCATCTGGGCTGGAAATACCTGCTTCTTGGTTCAGGGTCATTACTAATTGCAGAATTCTGTCTTGGCTTCTACATATTCTCAAAGCGGAGTCTTTCTTTCAGTGCTAGGTTTTTATCATTTCATTTCTGCCAGAAGCCTTTCCCTCTGATGTGTTAAGCTTAATCCTGGTTGCCTGCTCTATTTGACAATTAGAATAGCTGCTTGTTATGCTCAAGTCTGTCTCTTCAACTGGGGCCTTAATTGCAGCTGCCTCTCTTTAACCAGAGGCCCTGACTGCATCTCTGCTCTCCTTGACCTGAAGCCTGGATTGCATCTTTCTGCTCTGTTTGACAGCCGTATCCTCTCCCTAGTCTAGTTTTTCCTATCCTTTGCTAATAGGAATGGCTTTGGAATCAGTGGAACAGAAGGAATATTGTTACAGAAAGCTATGTTGTGTGGGCTTAGTGAAGAGTTGTAGCCCTTGAGGCTTAAGTGAGAGGTATGGCAGGAGATCAGTAGCGTCACAGAAATTTCGCCTATAGCATGCTGAACTGGAGTTGCAGCAGATGTCAAGGTAGAATCCATGGAGAACTTCCACTCCCAATGCCAAAGTCATATCTACAATAGCCCTGACAGGTGCTTCACCTCCCAAGGAAGTTCGCTTGTTGTTAAAGAGTAGAGCTGTCATCTTTTTAAAATATTTGAAAATACCTCCAAGTTTTTCCATAATCTTTTCTTCTTCCATGCTCAAAACCTCTTACTTTCTTTAATGGGGTGTTTTTATGGGTGATTTTTTCCTTTTTCCAGACTTTTTACCATTCTGGCCATAGACTTTGGAATCAGGCAACTTTAAGATACAGGTTACCTTTGTTAGCTGTCTAACATAGATAATTACTTAATCTCTTCAAGCCTCCATTTTCTTGTAAAATGAGGATTATAATTGAACCCACCTCAGTAGAGTAATTGGACAACACATTGTAAAAGCATCTAATATAGTGCGTGGCATATGGGAAGTGTTTAAAAAGTAGAAATTGCTATGAGGAGGAGGGAGAGCTATTATGTCAAGAATAGTTCTCTTAATATATAGTGCCTAAAACTGAATATCAGTAGGCCTTATTTGGTAGAGTATAAGATTTCTACCCCACATGATCTCGATCCTAAATATCTCCAGTGCTGCTTGTAATATTGGGTTAGTTTTTTAAGTAATCTCATCTCACTTTAGTTTCATATTCAACTTTAAAATATCTGTGATTTTTTTTCACATGATCTGCTGTCAGGCAGGTTGAATCCTATCCTGTACCTATAAAGCTGATTTTAATTCTAAATCCAGTATTTCACAGTCATCCCTGTTAATTTTCATCATATTGGTTTGGTTGAGCATTCCAGCTTGACAAGATAATTTTAAATTTGGGTCTTATCTGTCATTTTAGTGAAACTTCAAGCTGGCCTGTGCCCTTTTGATATGTCCCCGTTAATTAGACTTTGAGTGTATCCTGGCTTTCTGGCACAGGAAGATATCCCAGGATACCCTTTCTCCTTTAGTGCCCCACACTTGGAAGTCAATCATTTCTCCAGGTAGCCACAGTTCTTTTTGTAGGAAATGGCATTTAGAAACTGAGATCTCAGCTCTAAATCTGTTCATTGCTCCTGGGTGTCAGTGTTTCTAGGCTCTTTCAGTGATGTAGCTAGAATGTGAGATAGATAGATAGATTAGATAGATAGATAGATAGATAGATAGATAGATAGATATTGATGTATTTATATTTCTAATTCATGTGTTTAAAAAATATATCTAGACAGGTAATATGCTGACGTCATAACAAGGCTTAAGGGAGGCATGTCTCACACATGAGCATGACACCCAATCATCAGACTTATGAACTATAAAAGTATCTAATTCAAGTTTAACATGATAGAATTTTTTATTTGTTTCTGTATTTTTATCTCTTCTCTTAACACTGAAAATCTGGGTCCTTAAAAACAGTAACATAAGGCCGGGCACGGTGGCTTACGCCTGTAATCCCAGCACTTTGGGAGGCCGAGGTGGGTGGATCATGAGGTCAAAAGATCGAGACCATCCTGGCCAACATGGTGAAACCCTATCTCTACTAAAAATGCAAAAATTAGCTGGGCATAGTGGCACGCACCTGTAATCCCGGCTATTCGGGAGGCTGAGGCAGGAGAATCGCTTGAACCAGGGAGACAGAAGTTGCAGTGAGCCGAGATCAAGTCACTGCACTCTGGCCTGGCAACAGAGCGAGTCTCTGTCTCAAAAAAAAAAAAAAAGAAAGAAAACCAGTAACATATTTACTTGTTTGCTGTATCCAGCAATATATTTTTTAAGATATCAAATTTGGCCGGGTGCAGTGGCTCACACCTATAATCCCGGCACTTTGGGAGGCCGAGGCGGGCAGATCACATGGTCAGGAGATTGAGACCATCCTGGCCAACATGGTGAAACCCCTTCTCTACTAAAAAAATACAAAAAATTAGCCGGGCATGGTGGCGCATGCCTGTAGTTCCAGCTACTCAGGAGGCTGAGGCAGGGGAGTCACTTGAACCCAGGAGGTGGAGGTTGCAGTGAGCTGAGATCGCGCCATTGCACTCTAGCCTGGTGACAGAACAAGACTCCATCTCAAAAAAAGAAAAAGATGTCAAATTTATGTTTCCAAAATTCAAATAGTAATATTACTACTAACCATAAAGCTTGCAAGTAAAAATTAAGATTTCTTTGCAATTCTTTTTATTATTAGACTGTATCTATCACTAAGAGGGATAGATACAAAGTCCTTTATTCAGGAGTCATTGTGAAGGAATTCTTTTCATTTATGGTTATTTTACTAATTGGATATTTAGTTAAGTTCATTTGTTTCAGTTTGTTTTCAATTTTAGGATTTACCTTTTTAAAATTTTGATCTAATTTAATATTTTAAATATGTAGAACATTTAACTTGTCAAAACTATGTTAAAAGTTATACTCAGGGAAGTCTGCCTTTCATCCCTGTTCCATCCACTCCATTTTTCCCAACCTTTATAGAGATCCATTTTTATTCATTTCTGGTTTATCATTTCCAGTGTTTCTTGTAAACATATATATCTATATCTATATATAAAAGTAAGTAAATGAATAGATATATTTATATATGTAAATAAGTATATAAACAGTCTTATATGTACAAAGTGCATAAGCATATAAATATGTCTTTACTTATTTATATACTTATTCAAATATATTTTAAATTTTCTATCCTTTATTCCATAGAAAGTAATAAACTATAGTGTTCCATACCTTGCTTTTTTCAACAATAATATCTTGAATTTCACTACATAATAGTACAGAGAAATATTCATATTTTTCTTCAACCACTGTCTAGTACTTCACTGTATGGGTGCTCTACTGTTCATTAGTTCCTTTAAGGATAGATGTTTGGGTTGTTTCCAGTCTTTTGTAATTACAAATAATGCCACTGAATAACCTTGTGCATATGTTGTTTTATATTTGTTGAAGTGTGTCTTTGGGGGAGATCTTAACAATGGATTTGCCATGTCATAGGGTAAATGTATCTTTAATTTTGTTAGGTTTTGCCAAATTCAGCTTCATTGTGATTGTGCCATTTTGCATTTCCATTAGTAGTATGTGAAAGTGCTTGTTTCCTCCACAGCCTCACCAACAAAATCTGTTGTTGAACTTTATTGTTTTTGAGTCATAATTAGAAACCAAGGTCATATGACCCTTTCCAGGTCATAAAGGAATTCACCAATGTTTTGTGTTAGAATTTAGATTGTTTCATGTTTTTTGCATTTCGATCTCTTATCCATTTGGAAGTTTTTCACTAGGATATAGTATAAGTTTGAGATCTAATTTTTTTTTCTTTTTTTTTTTTTAATTGATCATTCTTGGGTGTTTCTCACAGAGGGGGATTTGGCAGGGTCATAGGACAATAGTGGAGGGAAGGTCAGCAGATAAACAAGTGAACAAAGGTCTCTGGTTTTCCTAGGCAGAGGACCCTGCGGCCTTCCGCAGTGTTTGTGTCCCTGGGTACTTGAGATTAGGGAGTGGTGATGACTCTCAACGAGCACGCTGCCTTCAAGCGTCTGTTTAACAAAGCACATCTTGCACCACCCTTAATCCATTTAACCCTGAGTGGACACAGCACATGTTTCAGAGAGCACAGGGTTGGGGGTAAAGTCACAGATCAACAGGATCCCAAGGCCGAAGAATTTTTCTTAGTACAGAACAAAATGAAAAGTTTCCCATGTCTACTTCTTTCTACACAGACACGGCAACCATCCGATTTCTCAATCTTTTCCCCACCGTTCCCCCCTTTCTATTCCACAAAACCGCCATTGTCATCATGGCCCGTTCTCAATGAGCTGTTGGGTACACCTCCCAGACGGGGTGGCGGCCGGGCACAGGGGCTCCTCACTTCCCAGTAGGGGCGGCTGGGCAGAGGCGCCCCTCACCTCCCGGACGGGGCGGCTGGCCGGGCGGGGGGCTGACCCCCCCACCTCCCTCCGGGACGGGGCGGCTGGCCGGGCAGAGGGGCTCCTCACTTCCCAGTAGGGGCGGCTGGGCAGAGGCGCCCCTCACCTCCCGGACGGGGCGGCTGGCCGGGCGGGGGGCTGACCCCCCCACCTCCCTCCCAGATGGGGCGGCTGGCCGGGCGGGGCGCTGACCCCCCACCTCCCTCCCGGACGGGGCGGCTGGCCGGGCAGGGGGCTGACCCCCACCTCCCTCCGAGACGGGGCGGCTGGCCGGGAGGGGGGCTGACCCCCCCGACCTCCCTCCCAGACAGGGCGGCTGGCCGGGCGGAGACGCTCCTCACTTCCCAGACGGTGTGGTTGCCGGGCGGAGGGGCTCCTCATTTCTCAGATGGGGCGGTTGCCAGGCGGAGGGTCTCCTCACTTCTCAGACGGGGCGGCCGGGCAGAGACGCTCCTCACTTCCTAGATGGGGTCGCGGCCGGGCAGAGGCGCTCCCCACATCTCAGACGATGGGCGGCCGGGCAGAGACGCTCCTCACTTCCTAGATGGGATGGCAGCCGGGAAGAGGCACTCCTCACTTCCTAGATGGGATGGCGGCCGGGCAGAGATGCTCCTCACTTTCCAGACTGGGCAGCCGGGCAGAGGGGCTCCTCACATCCCAGACGATAGGCGGCCAGGCAGAGATGCTCCTCACTTCCCAGATGGGGTGGCGGCCGGGCAGAGGCTGCAATCTCGGCACTTTGGGAGGCCAAGGCAGGCGGCTGGGAGGTGGAGGTTGTAGCGAGCCGAGATCACGCCACTGCACTCCAGCCTGGGCACCATTGAGCACTGAGTGAACGAGACTCCGTCTGCAATCCCAGCACCTCGGGAGGCCGAGGCTGGCAGATCACTCGCGGTTAGGAGCTGGAGACCAGCACGGCCAACACAGTGAAACCCCATCTCCACCAAAAAAATACGAAAACCAGCCAGGCGTGGCGGCGCGCGCCTGCAATCGCAGGCACTCGGCAGGCCGAGGCAGGAGAATCAGGCAGGGAGGTTGCAGTGAGCCGAGATGGCAGCAGTACAGTCCAGCTTCGGCTCGGCATCAGAGGGAGACCGTGGAAAGAGAGGGAGAGGGAGACCGTGGGGAGAGGGGAGAGGGGAGAGGAGAGAGAGAGGAGAGAGGAGAGAGGAGAGAGCTGAGATCTAATTTTATCTTTTCCAAAATGGTAATAGGATTGTCAGGACCATCATTTATTTTACAGTTTGTTTTCCCTTCATGATTTGAAATGTCTGTTTAATCATATACTAGATACCTGAACATATCTGGGTCTATTTTGTCCATTGGTCTTTCTGCCTATTTATTTAGTGAGGTCTTATGTTTTAACATCAGTAGGACTGACCATTGCTTTGTTTTGCAGGGTTTTTCTGGCTATTCTTGCCTCTGTTTTTTTAATGTGTTCTTTAAAATCAGCTTGTCTAGCTTTAGGAAAAAAAAAAAAAACCTTTTGATTTTTTTTTTGATCCATATTAAATTTTATCTGAGCTTTATGATGTTGAATTGTTCTGTCCACAAATTAGGTGCCTTTCCATGTATCCAAGTTCAGTTTTGTTTGTTTTTGTTTTTACAGCTGTGTTTTAAAGTTTTCCTCACATAAGCTTTGCACATTTCTTTTAAATGTTTATTCCTAAATACAGTAGTATCTCCTTATCCTCGGGGGATATATTCCAAGATCCCCAGTGGATTACTGAAACCCCGAGTATTACCAAACCCGATTGTAATCAGTCAACACTTTTCTGTTCATGCCTTCCACCTACAAATGTAATGTCTTAGCTAAGATGCAAACTTAATCCATTTTAACTAAGCACTTATGCACTGTGGCTGCAGCTTTTGCAGTTTGAGGTGTGATAGCAAAACTACCATAATTTTTTCTCTTGACAGTTTTGTAGATAGAAGATTTCTTCTTACCATAGACCTTAGTAACCTCAGCATGCTGGTTTTCCTTCTCCTTATTAAGTCGAGAACTTTCACCTTTTCACTTAAAGGAAGCACTTTATGCCTTGTCTTTGGCATATCCAAATTGCCAGCATCACAACTCTTGTACTTTGGGGCTATTATTAAGTAAAATAAGGGTTCCTTGAATATAGGCACTGCAAATACCATGACAGTGATCTGATCACTGAGCTAACTACTGAGTGACTCAGAGGCAGGTGATGTATACTGTGTGGAGTGGAATGGTGAGAGATTTCATCACACTACTCAGAATTGCATGAAACTTAAAGCTTATAAATTGTTTAATTCTGGAATTTTTCACTTAATATTTTCTGACTGAGATTGCCCACGGGTAACTGAAACTGTGGAAAGCGAAACTGCAGATAAGGGCGGACTGCCATATTTCATCTTTTTTTGCTGCTAGGGTAAGGTCTTCTCTTCCATTCTGTCTTCTAACTGGATATTATTAGTGTATATGATAGCTATTGATTTTTGTGTTAATTTGAATTATTTTATTTTGTGGTAGTTTTATATTGACTTTCTGGGGTTTTCAGGTATCTCTCAGATTACCTGAAAATTAAGATAGTTTTTCTTCTTCCTTTCTAATTTGTTTGCCTATAATTGTGGGGTGGGGGTGGAGATTTGGTCTGATTACATTGGCTAATCCATCCAATTCATTAATAATAGGGGAGATAGTGGGCATCCTTGTCTTGTTCCTGACTATGAAATGCTAGATTTGCGGCTGAGTTGTATGTGTTTTATCATATTAAGTATCCATCAATTTCTATTTCATTACTTTTTGTTTTTTTCAAAATCAGGAAAAGGTATTGAATTTTGTTGAATTGATAAAGATGATTACATAATATTCTTCTTTAGTAAACACCTGATATTGCAATAAATTATATCAATTGATTGCCTAATATTGATTCATCCTTAATTTCTGGAGTAAATACCACTTGGTTTTGATATACTGTTTTTAATACTGTTTGTTCATATTTTATTTAGATATGCATTTACATGGCCTCAATAACATGAAAGACTTCACCACAGTGTTTTAAAAGGCTTATTATATACTATTTAGTCATCTTTTGTATAATTTTCCAAAGGATTAGTATCGTTGACTATAAACAGACTCCAAGGTAGTACTTAGAAGTATGGTAGCTAAGAACTTCATGCTGATTTCAAGTGGATGATTTCTGTCCTTCACCAAACCAGACCTCCAGTTCCTTCTTCAACATCTTTCTGTATAATTCTGTTTGAAGGCCATTCAATGTTTATTGAAAAACTGGAATGCACAACTGGAGTTAAATAATCATATCTTTCTCTGTCATATGTTGCTTTTATCATTGTCTCTTCAACATTGGACAATAATTCCTTCTTTTTGCCAAATTTAGCTCCAAAAAGCTCATAGGTTTTAGAGCCTACCATACTTATATAACTCAAGTTAACCCCAGGTTCTGATATTGCTTTCATGAATCACATACTTGGAAAAGAGTAGAGATTTTAGCTCTGTTCAAGTGGTGCAGGATCCATTTCTTCTTGGCTGGTGCCTTTTCATCTTTTTCACCTCCTTATTCGAGTATTGAAATGTATTTATCAGTATTTTTTCTAAACATTTTTAGAAAATATTTTGTTAATTTTAAAGCTTTTTCTCATTCTCAGCATTTTTCCTTTGTTATATCTTTTGTTATATTTATACATATAAAAGAATATGTAACATAATATATAATACAACGAGCACCAGTAAACTCATTACCTAACCCGAAAACTAGAATTTTTTATTTTTTTATTTTTTAGAGATGGAATCTCATTCTGTTGCCCAGGCTGGAGTGCAGTGGTGCAGTCATAGCTCACTGCAGCGTCAAACTCTTGGCCTCAAGCAGTACTTCCACTTTGGCCTCCAAAAGTGCTGGGATTACAGGCATGAGCCACCATGCCCAGCCTAGAATTTTATCAGTAACTTGCATTTGTGCTGTGTTCTTCCCAATCCCTTTCCTGTCTGTTCCGTTCACTCTCCTCATTCTCTTGTTTAAACAAAAAAGTTTTGTCACATTATCTGTCCATCTATCCATCTGTCTTATCTCTGTACACATATGCACACATATATATTTTTTTCTATTGGTTCTCTTTCTTTGGAGAACCTTGACTGATATACCATATGACCCAGCAATTCCATTCCTAGGTGTATACCCAAGAAAAATGAAAATATATGTCCACACAAAAACTTTTTTTTTTGTTGTTTGAGACAAAGTTTCGCTCTTGTTGCCCAGGCTGGAGTGCAATGGCTCGATCTCGGCCCACCGCAACCTCCGCCTCCCAGGTTCAGGCAATTCTCCTGCTTCAGCCTCCTGAGTAGCTGGGATTAAAGGCATGCACCACCAGGCCCAGCTAATTTTGTATTTTTAGTAGAGACGGGGTTTCTCCAAGTTGAAGCTGGTCTCGAACTCCTGACCTCAGGTGATCCACCCGCCTTGGCCTCCCAAAATGCCAGGATTACAGGTGTGAGCCACCGTGCCTGGCCCACACAAAAACTTCTACACGAATGTTTACAGTAGTAGTATTCATAATAGCCCAAAGTGACACAACTCAAATATCAATCATCTGATGAGTGGATAAACAAAATGTGGTATATGTGTACAATGGAATGTTTTTCAACTATCACAAGGAATGAAATACTGATGCATGCTATAGCCTGGCTAAATCTTATGGTATATAATGAATCTAATGTTATGTGTTATGTCTGTATCTGGTTATCTGACTGTATCTTCTGTTGGTTCTGTTTCTCTGAGGAACTCCGATACACCATATGATCCAGTAATCCCATTCGTATGAGTATATACGTAGATAGATATCTTTACATGATGTCTACATGTACGTAAATGTAGATATCTATAAATACATAGATAGAAATGTCTGTATTTATATAGAGAACAAGAGATTGAGATTTACTTTAAGGAATGGGCTTACTTGATTGTAGTGGCTGGCATGTCTGAAATTTGTAGGGCAGGCTGGCAGGCTGGAAACTCACATAGGACTTCTATTACAGTCTTGAGGCAGAATTTTTTTCTCTAAGACATCTCAGTTTTTGCTCTTAAGGACTTCAACTAATTGGGTAAGGACCACATACATTATTGAGTATAATCTCCTTTACATAAAGTCAGTTGATTGTAAATGCTAATAATATCTTCAAGTTATCTTCACAGCAACATCCAGATTATTGTTTGACCAAACAACTGGGTGCTATTGTCTAGCCACCTTGACTCAAAATTAATCATTACATATGGTAACTCTGTGTTTAACCTTTTGAGGAACTCCCAGGTTTCTGAAGCACCATTTTACATTCCCACCAGCAATGTATGAAGATTCTGATTTCTCTGCATCCTCACCAACACTTGTTAATATCTGTCTTTTTTTTATTAGCACTATCCTGGTGTGAAGTCATATCTCATCATGGAGATTTGCTTTTTTAAGTTCAATATTGTGTTTCTAAGATTCATTTGTGTTGTCACATGTAAGCTGTTCATTCCTTTTCACTGTGATATAATACTGTGTTAAGGTAGCCCATAATTTATTCATTATTAATATTTATTCATTGTTACTATTTTAGTTACTATTCATATATTAATATATGTATATATATCAATAATTTATTATATTTATAATAATTTATATATTATTCATTGTTCTATTGATGGATGATTCAGTGTTCAATTTTTTGCTTCTATGAACAGAATATTCTTGTACATGTTTCCTGGCACACATGTGCAAAAGTTTATCTAGACTGTGTATAAATCTCAGAGTGGTATTGCTGGTCCATAGGGTATACAATACTCAAGTTTACGAGATAATGCCACCCATGTTTTCCAAATGTCTCTATCAGTTTGCTTTCCCATTAGTGTATAAGACTTTTGTCTCTCAATGTCCCACTTGGAACTATCAGGCCCCTTTTTGCCAATTTCATGGATTTCTCAATTTGCACTTCCCTGGAGGCTAAACATATCTTCATATGTTTATTAGTCCTCTGATTGCTCCTTTTTAAAATGCTTATCATTGTGTCTTTTGCCCATTTTTTAAAATTTGCTCATTTCTCTTATTGATATGTGTAGATTATTCTACACATTAATATTTTATCAGTTATATATGTTACAGGCATCTAGTTTGTTTTTTTCCTTTGTGGTGTTTTTTCGTAAACAGAAGTTGTTGATTTTAATGCAGTTCCTCATTAATGCTATACCTTATATTTACTCTGTCTTAAAGCCACGTTTAGATGGATAGCCATCTCATTCTTGTAGCCAAGCATGTTTATTGTAATTTTTCTTCCATCTCTGAAATAATTTGCTTGTCAGACTCTATAGGGATTATTCCTCTGTATGTGGTACTTTAAAAAAAAAACTTTAAACATGTCAAATAATGGAAAAGATTGGAGAAAATATCATAAGGTGATTCATACTTAAGGCCATGACTTATAGATAGAATACATACTTAAATTTGATTGGTGAAATATTCTGCAGCTCTTCTAGATGGCAGGTGATAGTAAATACACAAAAATTGTGGTTCTACCAATAGCATATTCATTCCTTCTATAACAAAGCTTATATTAATGAGAGAACAGAAGATGAAATTAAAACAGACTTTATTATCTCTTAAAAAGCCATGAGACTTAACAGAAGTTAAAAGCGTGTTTTTTTAATTCAGGAAGAGGATCACCTAGCCCGGGTAGAAGAGGCAATCACCCGTATGCTTGTGTGTGCCCTGAAAACTGCAGAGAATCCACAAAATACCAGAGCCTGGTTAAACCCCACTGAGGTAGGCGGCTTCTGGTCTTCATCATGGCAGTTAGTTTCCTGTGGTAAACCAGCCCTGACTAGAACATATGTTTTCCAGTGTAACTAAATGTATGTAACCATTTTAAAAGGTTTTTCTCTTCCCTTAGGTTGAGGAAACGTCCCATGCAGTCAACTGTTGCTACTTAAATGCAGCTGTTTCTGCATTTTTTGATCGCTGCAGAACATCTGAGGTAGTAGAAATCCAAGCACTGAGAACAGATGGAGAGCACATGAAAAAGGAAGAATTAAATGTGTGCAACCACATGGAGGTGGGCCAAACAGGTAGCCAGAACTTGACCACAGGAACAGACAAACCGGAGGCAGCAAGTCCCTTTGGCCCTGATCTGGTCCCTGTAGCACAGAGGTCCGAAGAACCGCCTTCAGAAAGAGGAGGCATATTTGGAAGTGATGGGAAAGACTTTGTGGACAAGGATGGAGAACACTTTGGAAAATTGCATTGTGCCAAGAGACAACAAATAATGAGCAACAGTGAAAATGCAATTGAGGAACAGATTGCCTCAAATACTACTACGACTCCTCAAACATTCATTTCTACGGATGACTTGCTGGACTGCTTGGTGAATCCACAAGTAACCAGGATAGTGGCACAACTTTTGATACAAGGAAGAAGTTTATGATTCAAGTGGAAGATGACTTTTAAAATAATATTTTTTAAATATATATTTTTAAGTAGTATGACTAAAATAAAGATGAACCAGCAAAAGGTCAGTTTGCACATTTGTAAATGTATTTATCCTTACCGAATTACATGTCAGTCTGTTGCCACCTTCTTTCATGCACATTCCTCTTTGGCCAAACTGGCTGCTCTTTGTTTGTAAGCTTTTGTTCCTCTCTCATCCCATACTTTTAGCCTGTGTCAAATGTAAGTCCCAAGTATTTCCAGCAGGAAGTAATGTCTTCCTCAGCCTCAACCAGGGACCAACCGGCTGCTTACTTTTGCAAATAAAATTTTACTAGAACACGGCCATGCCATTCATTTACATATTGTCTATGATGTCTTCAGGATTACGACGGCAGTGTTGAGTAGTGACAGAGAGTGTATGGCCCAGAAAAAATATTCAGTATCTGTTCCTTTACAGAAAAGCTTTGTCAGCCTCTGGTCTAATGGATCCAGTGGGTCTGGAGTCTAGCCTCGCTCTGAAGTGATCTCACTTGTAACAGCTGCAGAATTCTCACTGGTTATCCCCTGTCATTCAGAGTAGGATACCAATCAGGAGAAAAGTAGTTGTGGGTTCAGTATGAGGCCTCTTTAGGCAAGGAACTTGGACATCTAGGGACACCAATCCTAGGGCTAAAAAGGACTCAAACTCCCCAAACAGTGACTAAAGGCTTAGCTCAGTGAAATTGATCCCACTCTCATTACATTTGCAAGATCCAGGGATAATTAATTACCATTACTGTCTAAGAAGGAATTTAGAAATTAGAAAAGCATATTGATCTCTGAGTAACCATGCATGAAACAAATACACAACAGAAAAGATATGCAAAGTCACCTTTGAGATGAACTGATTGCTGGCTATCCTACTGTCCTCGAGGTAATGAGTATCAGTAAATCCAAAGAAAGTATGTGTTGTCACAGAGGGAAGGAGGGTATTGTTATGTAAGCATGCCAGGGAAAGAAGGGCCTGAAAAGAGCCCTTCTGTGGCTTTTATCTCCATCGGACCACTATGTATTTACCTATGAATTTCATTACTATCTCTCTCAACCAAAATGTAACTCCTTAAGGGTAGGGACTGTGATTATTGCTGTTATTTGTAGAGCCGCAATGAGTACCCAGCATGTAGTAGGTGCTTATTAAATATTTGAATGAATGAATAATAAAAATGAGACCTCATTGACAATACCTCATCAAGTACATTGGGACAGAGAATGTGGCCAAAGTAAGGTAGCTGTGATTCTTGGTATAGTCCTTTATTTATTTATTTATTTATTCATTCATTTTATTATTATTGTACTTTAAGTTTTACAGTGCATGTGCACAATGTACAGGTTTGTTACATGTGTATACATGTGCCATGTTGGTGTACTGCACCCATTAACTCATCATTTAGCATTAGGTGTATCTCCTAATGCTATCCCTCCCCCTCCCCCCACCCCACAACAGGCCCCGGTGTGTGATGTTCCCCTTCCTATGTCCATGTGTTCTCATTGTTCAATTCCCACCTATGAGTGAGAACGTGCAGTGTTTGGTTTTTTGTCCTTGCGATAGTTTGCTGAGAATGATGATTTCCAGTTTCATCCATGTCCCTACAAAGGACATGAACTCATCCTTTTTTATGGCTGCATAGTTTTCCATGGTGTATATGTGCCACATTTTCTTAATCCAGTCTATCGTTGTTGGACATTTGGGTTGGTTCCAAGTCTTTGCTATTGTGAATAGTGCCGCTATAAACATACGTGTGCATGTGTCTTTATAGCAGCATGATTTATAGTCCTTTGGGTATATACCCAGTAATAGGATGGCTGGGTCAAATGGTATTTCTAGTTCTAGATCCTTGAGGAATCGCCACACTGACTTCCACAATGGTTGAACTAATTTACAGTCCCACCAACAGTGTAAAAGTGTTCCTATTTCTCCATATCCTCTCCAGCACCTGTTGTTTCCTGATGTTTTAATGATCACCATTCTAACTGGTGTGAGATGGTATCTCATTGTTTTGATTTGCATTTCTCTGATGGCCAGTGATGATGAGCATTTTTTCATGTGTTTTTTGGCTGCATAAATGTCTTCTTTTGAGAAGTGTCTGTTCATGTCCTTTGCTCACTTTTTGATGGGGTTGTTTGTTTTTTTCTTGTAAATTTGTTTGAGTTCATTGTAGATTCCGGATATTAGCCGTTTGTCAGATGAGTAGGTTGTGAAAATTTTCTCCCATTCTGTAGGTTGCCTGTTCACTCTGATGGTAGTTTCTTTTGCTGTGCAGAAGCTCTTTAGTTTAATTAGATCCCATTTGTCAATTTTGGCTTTTGTTGCCATTGCTTTTGGTGTTTTAGACATGAAGTCCTTGCCCATGCCTACGTCCTGAATGGTATTGCCTAGGTTTTCTTCTAGGGTTTTTATGGTTTTAGGTCTAACATGTAAGTCTTTAATCCATCTTGAATTAATTTTTGTATAAGGTGTAAAGAAGGTATCCAGTTTCAGCTTTCTACATATGGCTAGCCAGTTTTCCCAGCACCATTTATTAAATAGGGAATCCTTTCCCCATTTCTTGTTTTTGTCAAGTTTGTCAAAGATCAGATAGTTGTAGATATGTGGCATTATTTCTGAGGGCTCTGTTCTGTTCCATTGATCTATATCTCTGTTTTGGTACCAGTACTATGCTGTTTTGGTTACTGTAGCCTTGTATAGTTTGAAGTCAGGTAGCGTGATGCCTCCAGCTTTGTTCTTTTGGCTTAGGATTGACTTGGCGATGCGGGCTCTTTTTTGCTTCCATATGAACTTTAAAGTAGTTTTTTCCAATTCTGTGAAGAAAGTCATTGGTAGCTTGATGGGGATGGCATTGAATCTATAAATTACCTTGGGCTGTATGGCCATTTTCATGATATTGATTCTTCCAACCGATGAGCATGGAATGTTCTTCCATTTGTTTATATCCTCTTTTATTTCATCGAGCAGTGGTTTGTAGTTCTCCTTGAAGAGGTCCTTCACATCCCTTGTAAGTTGGATTCCTAGGTATTTTATTCTCTTCGAAGCAATTGTGAATGGGAGTTCACTCATGATTTGGCTCTCTGTCTGTTATTGGTGTATAAGAATGCTTGTGATTTTTGCACATTGATTTTGTATCCTGAGACTTTGCTGAAGTTGCTTATCAGCTTAAGGAGATTTTGGGCTGAGACAGTGGGGTTTTCTAGATATACAATCATGTCATCTGCAAACAGGGACAATTTGACTTCCTCTTTTCCTAATTGAATACCCTTTATTTCCTTCTCCTGCCTAATTGCCCTGGCCAGAACTTCCAACACTATGTTGAATAGAAGTGGTGAGAGAGGGCATCCCTGTCTTGTGCCAGTTTTCAAAGGGAATGCTTCCAGTTCTTGCCCATTCAGTATGATATTGGCTGTGGGTTTGTCATAGATAGCTCTTATTATTTTGAGATACATCCCATCAATACCTAATTTATTGAGAGTTTTTAGCATGAAAGGTTGTTGAATTTTGTCAAAGGCCTTTTCTGCATCTATTGAGATAATCATGTGGTTTTTGTCTTTGGTTCTGTTTATATGCTGGATTACATTTATTGATTTTCGTATATTGAACCAGCCTTGCATCCCAGGGATGAAGCCCACTTGATCATGGTGGATAAGCTTTTTGATGTGCTGCTGGATTCGGTTTGCCAGTATTTTATTGAGGATTTTTGCATCAATGCTCATCAAGGATATTGTTCTAAAATTCTCTTTTTTTGTTGTGTCTCTGCCAGGCTTTGGTATCAGGATGATGCTGGCCTCATGAAATGAGTTAGGGAGGATTCCCTCTTTTTCTATTGGTTGGAATAGTTTCAGAAGGAATGGTACCAGCTCCTCCTTGTACCTCTGGTAGAATTCGGCTGTGAATCCATCTGGTCCTGGACTCTTTTTGTTGGTAAACTATTGATTATTGCCACAATTTCAGAGCCTGTTATTTGTCTATTCAGAGATTCAACTTCTTCCTGGTTTAGTCTTGGGAGGATGTATGTGTCGAGGAATTTATCCATTTCTTCTAGATTTTCTAGTTTATTTGTGTAGAGGTGTTTGTAGTATTCTCTGATGGTAGTTTGTATTTCTGTGGGATCGGTGGTGATATCCCCTTTATCATTTTTTATTGCGTCTATTTGATTCTTCCCTCTTTTCTTCTTTATTAGTCTTGCTAGCGGTCTATCAATTTTGTTGATCTTTTCAAAAAACCAGCTCCTGGATTCATTAATTTTTTGAAGGGTTTTTTGTGTCTCTATTTCCTTCAGTTCTGCTCTGATTTTAGTTATTTCTTGCCTTCTGCTAGCTTTTGAATGTGTTTGCTCTTGCTTTTCTAGTTCTTTTAATTGTGATGTTAGGGTGTCGATTTTGGATCTTTCCTGCTTTCTCTTGTGGGCATTTAGTGCTATAAATTTCCCTCTACACACTGCTTTGAATGTGTCCCAGAGATTCTGGTATGTTGTGTCTTTGTTCTCGTTGGTTTCAAAGAACATCTTTATTTCTGCCTTCATTTCGTTATGTACTCAGTAGTCATTCAGGAGCAGGTTGTTCAGTTTCCATGTAGTTGAGCAGTTTTGAGTGAGTTTCTTAATCCTGAGTTCTAGTTTGATTGCACTGTGGTCTGAGAGACAGTTTGTTGTAATTTCTGTTCTTTTACATTTGCTGAGGAGTGCTTTACTTCCAACTATGTGGTCAATTTTGGAATAGGTGTGGTGTGGTGCTGAAAAAAATGTATATTCTGTTGATTTGGGGTGGAGAGTTCTGTAGATGTCTGTTAGGTCCGCCTGGTGCAGAGCTGAGTTCAATTCCTGGGTATCCTTGTTAACTTTCTGTCTCGTTGATCTGTCTAATGTTGACAGTGGGGTGTTATACTCTCCCAGTATTATTGTGTGGGAGTCTAAGTCTCTTTGTAGGTCACTCAGGACTTGCTTTATGAATCTGGGTGCTCCTGTATTGGGTGCATATATATTTAGGATAGCTCTTCTTGTTGAATTGATCCCTTTACCATTATGTAATGGCCTTCTTTGTCTCCTTTGATCTTTGTTGGTTTAAAGTCTGTTTTATCAGAGACTAGGATTGCAACCCCTGCCTTTTTTTGTTTTCCATTTGCTTGGTAGATCTTCCTCCATCCCTTGATTTTGAGCCCATGTGTGTCTCTGCACATGAGATGGGTTTCCTGAATACAGCACACTAATGGGTCTTGACTCTTTATCCAATTTGCCAGTCTGTGTCTTTTAATTGGAGCACTTAGCCCATTTACATTTAAAGTTAATATTGTTATGTGTGAATTTGATCCTGTCATTATGATATTAGCTGGTTATTTTGCTCGTTAGTTGATGCAGTTTCTTCCTAGCCTTGACGGTCTTTACAATTTGGCATGTTTTTGCAGTGGCTGGTACCGGTTGTTCCTTTCCATGTTTAGTGCTTCCTTCAGGAGCTCTTTTAGGGCAGGCCCGGTGGTGACAAAATCTCTCAGCATTTGCTTGTCTGTAAAGTATTCTATTTCTACTTCACTTGTGAAGCTTAGTTTGGCTGGATATGAAATTCTGGGTTGAAAATTCTTTTCTTTAAGAATGTTGAATATTGGCCCCCACCCTCTTCTGGCTTGTAGAGTTTCTGCCGAGAGATCCGCTGTTAGTCTGATGGGCTTCTCTTTGTGGGTAACCCGACCTTTCTCTCTGGTTGCCCTTAACATTTTTTCCTTCATTTCAACTTTGGTGAATCTGACAATTATGTGTCTTGGAGTTGCTCTTCTCGAGGAGTATCTTTGTGGCGTTCTCTGTATTTCCTGAATCTGAATGTTGGCCTGCCTTGCTAGACTGGGGAAGTTCTTCTGGATAATATCCTGCAGAGTGTTTTCCAACTTGGTTCCATTCTCCCCATCACTTTCAGGTACACCAATCAGACGTAGATTTGGTCTTTTCACATAGTCCCATATTTCTTGGAGACTTTGTTCTTTTCTTTTTATTCTTTTTTCTCTAAACTTCCCTTCTCACTTCATTTCATTCATTTCATCTTCCATCACTGATACCCTTTCTTCCAGTTGATCACATTGGCTCCTGAGGCTTCTGCATTCTTCACGTAGTTCTTGAGCCTTGGCTTTCAGCTCCATCAGCTCCTTTAAGCACTTCTCTGCATTGGTTATTCTAGTTATACATTCATCTAATTTTTTTTCAGAGTTCTTAACTTCTTTGCCATTGGTTTGATTGAATTTCCTCCTGTAGCTCAGAGTAGTTTGAGCATCTGAAGACTTCTTCTCTCAGCTCGTCAAAGTCATTCTCCGTCCAGCTTTGTTCCATTGCTGGTGAGGAGCTGCGTTCCTTTGGAGGAGGAGAGGCGCTCTGCTTTTTAGAGTTTCCAGTTTTTCTGCTTTGTTTTCTCCCCATCTTTGTGGTTTTATCTACTTTTGGTCTTTGATGATGGTGACGTACAGATGGGTTTTTGGTGTGCATGTCCTTTGTTAGTTTTCCTTCTAACAGACAGGACCCTCAGCTGCAGGTCTGTTGAAGTTTGTTAGAGGTCCACTCCAGATGCTGTTTGCCTGGGTATCAGCAGCGGTGGCTGCAGAACAGCGGTGGGTGTAGAACAGCGGATTTTCGTGAACCACAAATGCTGCTGCCTGATCGGTCCTCTGGAAGTTTTGTCTCAGAGGAGTACCCGGCCGTGTGAGGTGTCAGTCTGCCCCTACTGGGGGGTGCCTCCCAGTTAGGCTGCTCGAGGGTCAGGGACCCACTTGAGGAGGCAGTCTGCCCGTTCTCAGATCTCCAGCTGCGTGCTGGGAGAACCACTACTCTCTTCAAAGCTGTCAGACAGGGACGTTTAAGTCTGCAGAGGTTACTGCTGTCTTTTTGTTTGTCTGTGCCCTGCCCGCAGAGGTGGAGCCTACAGAGGCAGGCAGGCCTCCTTGAGCTGTGGTGGGCTCCACCCAGTTCGAGCTTCCAGGCTGCTTTGTTTACATAAGCAAGCCTGGGCAATGGCAGGCGCCCCTCCCCCAGCCTCACTGCCACCTTGCAGTTTGATCTCAGACTGCTGTGCTAGCAATCAGCGAGACTCGGTGGGTGTAGGACCCTCCGAGCCATGTGTGGGATATAATCTCCTGGTGTGCTGTTTTTTAAGCCCATTGGAAAAGCGCAGTATTCGGGTGGGAGTGACCCGATTTTCCAGGTGCTGTCTGTCACCCCTTTCTTGGACTGGGAAAGGGAAATCCCTGACCCCTTGCACTTCCTGAGTGAGGCAATGCCTCGCCCTGCTTTGGCTTGCGCACGGTGTGCTGCACCCACTGTCCTGCACCCACTGTCTGGCACTCCCTAGTGAGATGAACCCAGTACCTCAGATGGAAATGCAGAAATCACCCGTCTTCTGCGTCGCTCATGCTGGGAGCTGTAGACCGGAGCTGTTCCTATTCGGCCATCTTGGCACCACCCCCACCTTGGTATATTCCTATTGCAGAAATAGACATCGTTTACTGCAGATATTTTACTTTTTATGCTTGCTACTCCTTTGACCACTTTTTCAAACTGCAGATAGTGACCTATTATAAAATCAGTGTAGTGGGTGAGACCAGCGTGTTTTTTTTGCTCTGTTTTGGTTTTTTGTTTCGAGATGGAGTCTCGCTCTGTTGCTCAGGCCGGAGTGCAGTGGCCCGATCTCAGCTCACTGCAGCCTCTGCCACCCGGGTTCAAGCGATTCTCTCAGCCTCCTGAGTAGCTGGGATTATAGGTGCACACCACCATGCCCAGCTAATTTTTGTATTTTTTTTTAGTAGAGACAGGGTTTCACCATATTGGCCATGCTGGTCTCGAACTCCTGACCGTGTTATCTGCCCACATCAGCCTCCCAAAGTGCTGGGATTACAGAGACTAGCTTTTTTTTTTTTTAATGGAATAAAATAATGTCACTGAATTGGAATACTCTATTATTTCAGGACACCTTTATGAAAAATATTTCAGGGTAAGTATATCTCATAAAACTTTTCAGTTACATCTGTGTATGTATTGGGCTTGATATAAAATGTATTTTTTAGTGTAGGTTGGGGTCAGGAAAGTTTACAAGGTGTTTTGAGACAAAACATTTAATTCAATTAGAGTTAAGTCTTTGACATGCTGAGACCTGGGAGAAGAGTTAACACATTGTTATGTATGGATTTCTATGGTATGAAATGGATTATGGGGGGTAATTTCCTGATTTCGTAGAGACTACAAGGCAGCAAGAGATTCTGGTTATCCGCAAAGAGTGATGTGAGAAAAGAGAGTGAAAGGGGGGCTGTCAGCCACTACAGTAGCTGGGTCCCTTTTCATCCTGCATTTCACAGGTAAGCTGCCTGAGTGAGTGATACCATTGATTAAAGAGACCCTCAGCTGGGCGCGGTGGCTCATGCCTGTAATCCCAGCACTTTGGGAGGCCAAGGCGGGCAGATCACCTGAGGTCAGGAGTGTGGGACCAGCCTGGCAAACATGGTGAAACCCCATCTCTACTAAAAATAAAAAATTAGCCGAGTGTGGTGGCGCACACCTGCAGTCCCAGCTACTCGGGAGGCTGAGGCAAGAGAATTGCTTGAACCCAGTAGGCAGAGGTTGCCATGAGCCAAGATCACACCACTGCACTCCAGCCTGGGCGCCAAAGTAGTTAAAGAATACAAACCCGGCCGAATGTGCCTATAATCCCAGCTAAGCCAGGGAGATTGCTTGAGCCCACCTTGGGCAACATAGTAAAACCTCTATCCTTAAAAAAATTAAAAAATAAATAAAAGCTCAGCCTTCTGCCTAACATCACAGAATCAAGGGAGCAGCAGCAGCTGCCTTATCCATTAGGTGCAGTAGACAATGGCTAGGGCCCATGAATCTTTTAGGAGGCCACAAAAATGTTTTAGTTTCTTTTAAAACCAGGAACAAAATATATAATCCAGCCTCAACTTCATTTGTGTTCATGTCAATGCAGTTGCAAATTATATTTAATTTTTTTATGCAATAAAGGGCCCACAATGGCAAAAGTGCCTGAGGCCCATGA
Organism: Homo sapiens; assembly: GCF_000001405.40. Classification (NCBI taxonomy): domain Eukaryota; kingdom Metazoa; phylum Chordata; class Mammalia; order Primates; family Hominidae; genus Homo; species Homo sapiens. The sequence continues at coordinate 122,731,291 of NC_000003.12, read as the reverse complement.
ACATTTTAAGGTGGCTCTGGGTGTTAGAGATATCAGAATTATTTGAGGTGCTTGCCCAAAATGCAGATTCTTGGGAACCACTTTAGTGCTATAGAATCTGACTCCTTTGGGATGAGGCCAGAGCTTGGAGTTTCAGCAAACACCTCAGGTGATCCAAATACCAAAAAAGAGAATTTCTGACCCTAGAGTAAACGATCAAGACCTATCACAGGTGCAAAGTGGACTTGTTTCAGCCGGGGCTACTTGCTGGGGTCAATAAGCCCTTCAGATTCACTGAACTATGGCTGTATCGTGCCCCTTCCTGTAATTTTCAACCAAATATTAATACACTGAGCATCCCTTCATGCTGTCATACTTAGTTGTTTTTTAATTATTATTATCAGCAGTGGTCTGTGTTTATCATTAAGCCCCCCTGTATTTGCCCTTTAGGATAAAAATGTTTACCATTAAATGACAGTTTTCAAGTATTTTATTTGAAAAGTAGCAAAATGACAGTTGACATATTTAGATTGAGGATAACTATAACATTACTGAATGGATTATTATTCTTCAGTGCGATACACTCTGATATTCAGCCTTGCCCTGAGTTAATCAAATCACTGGAGAACAAAAGCGAATAACAGCAGGTCTCTCTTTTTTATTCCAATTTCTTACATTTATTGTCAATGATGAATTCAGATGCCAGTGGCCTGCCTAGAAAGCCACTCTTAAGCAACAAGGAGTCTGCCAATCCACTTAAAAAACAAACCACAAGAGAAAAAAATCCAAAACCTCTATGTTAATGAAGCAGCAACTGTGGCCCCCTAGCCTCCTCCACTTCAAGTACAGGTGTTCCTAGCAGATTAAGTCCCTTAATCCTCCCAGCGACCCCTAGCATCTGATGTGCTATCTGCATTGGCTCCGTGTCAGTATCAGCTCTGGCCTTGGCCTACAGAGCTTCCAATGAAGAGACTGTAATAGAAGAAGCCAGAAGGAAAAAACAAACAAGGCAACATGGGGGTATTTCAAGACTGTCGGAGGTGTTCCTGAATCGGTGGCATTAATCTAGAGGCCATGTTCTGCAGTGGGAGAGCAATGGGCTTGACATCACAGGGACCAAGATTCAGTTGCCGGCTCTGAGGGTTCCTTTCTAGGTGATCTCAGGCAAGGAAGCTTCTTGCACTCTGAGCATGTTTCCTCAAGTTTCAAATGCAGAGATAATTCTGACCTCACAGGAATTGAGACAATGTGTATGAAAGCACCTATTTTACTACCTGGCACACAATGTAGGTGCTCAATAGATGGTGTTTGAATCTTAAACTTACCTGGGGAAATTTTTAAAACTTCACCATTCAATAGATAGGAGTTAGCAAATTAGCAATATGACTGCTTACTTCCTTTGGTTTATTTATACATAAGGCTTTAAAATCATCAAACGCTAGGCTGTCAAGGAAAATATACTATTTAATAATCTTAGAGTTCATTTAATCTCAGCACAGGGGAAGGGTTTCACAATGAAGATGTGTAGCAGGCGTTATCCCATTGTTATCACTGGGCAGAACAAAGACCAATGAGTAGACACTATAAGAAGGCACATTGGCTGGTCACGGTGGCTCACACCTGTAATCCCAGCAGTTTGGGAGGCTGAGGTGGGAGTTCGAGACCAGCCTGTCGAACATGGAGAAACCTCGTCTCTACTAAAAATACAAAATTAGCTGGGTGTGTTAGCGCATGCCTGTAATCCCAGCTACTCGGGAGGCTGAGGCAGGAGAATCACTTGAACCTGGGAGGCAGTGGCTGCAGTGAGCTGAGATCGCGCCATTGCACTCCAGCCTGGGCAACAAGAGTGAAACTCCATCTCAAAAAAAAAAAAAAAAAGGCACATTTTGGTTCAGCATTAAAAAGAGCCTTCTGGCAATTGGAGCCAGGGTTGTGCTGCGCAACTCCATGGGGCAGGCAGGATTCCCCTAGACCACAGCCACATCACAGCTCCTGGACCGTGCAGAGCGCAAGTACACTGCAGTCCCAGAGCCCTGGCCAGAGCTGTCCCACATGTCACTGGCTAGTTTGTGAAGAATGAAGTTCCGTCATGGAATCTGTTCAATTTGAGGTAAAGTGATAGTGAGTCAAGAATGTTAAAGAGATAGTTCCTACTTTGGATGGGAGTCTGACTAGGCTTTTTTTCATTCTTCGTTGGTTTGTCAAACATTTATGGAGTATCCGTTGTACATCAGGCACAGACCTCATCTCAAGGGAAAAAAATTGACTAAGATACCATCCCTGCTCCCAGGGAAGACAGAAGCCCTACCCACTGGGTAATACTGTGCTCCCCACAGCACTATGGCATCCTGACATGGGGCCTGTCTCCTGCAGTGGCAGCTGTGCTTAGCTGTGCCCTCTGTCTATAAGACTGTTATTCTCTCCTTCCTGAAAATACAAACCTGTTCTTTTCCCACAGATTTGATGTCCATACTTGTGGACACACAGTTGCAACTGCATTATCTCATTTAAATTTTCCAAGTTATTTGCTCTCAAGATAATAAGTTCATTTCCATTATGAAAGGGAAGCTGAAGAAAGACTGACTTCAGCGACAAAGAATGATCCTTGGATATTAGAAAAATCTGTTAAGAGGAATTAAAAAAAAAAGCTAAAACTTGTTTTACAACTAGATATGTACAAATGGAGAATAATTTTGTGGGAAGGATACCAAAGTGTTATTTTCTAAACGTAATAAGGTACTCTGGGTATGCTTGGTAGTCATAAAATGCCACAAATAAACTTGGATGGTGCACATTATCTGTGACAGTGTCATACAGGTCAGTAGGATTTTGAGGGTTCTTTGAAGGAGGCACAATTAATGAATGATTTCCATGTGTATAGATTCCAGTAAGTACTCGCACATAATACACATGCTTTCTCCCATTTGCATCTGGTCTGGAGTACGTATCATTGGCAGAATAATTGGCATTGACAGCAAAATAGGTTCCCTTTCCATATGCCACAGCTGTGAAAAGAAAAACCATTTTTAAGCATTTCAAGTTAATGTAAAATTTGATATGTTGGCCCAATCTGTTAAATAATGTTCTTTCTAAAGCCTCTCTTAAAATTTTTTGTGTGTGCTTTTCACTTTTAATCATCAATTTTTCTACCTAGAAGGGCCAGTCAATCCCCTTTGGGATGAAATACAGTGAGTCCTACCCTGAAACTCGGGCTGCAACATGGCCACCAATGATGGGGGACCACAATGAATCCACACTGTCCCAGCCAACTCGGGCTCTCATGGCTGATGCCTCATTCCAAGCAGCCAGATTACTCGCTTCCTTACCATTCTTTCCGGCATAGCTGCGGTTAAAGCCATTTCGATTGACGTGTGGCACGGAGCCGGCATCTGTCCCATGGAAGAGTTGCTTCTCATTCATTGTCTGGCCATTCTTGGCATCCATAGTTTTTTTCTTTGCCTGGTAGCTATTCCAGAGATCTGGATTCTGGATCCTCTCAATCTGCAAATTAATAAAGGATAATATTCTGCCAGTTCCAAGAGCACTTGCCAATATACAGCAAATGAAACATGATCACTATGTTTCATAAATAAAAGCACACTAAACAGCAAATCCAATGCCAGACGGCAGCTTTCTGCATTCAGAAACCTTTTTAGATCCAGTGTTTCATAAAAACAGGCAATGGGAAGAATGTTGGTTTAATTTTTAACATCTTTTATGTACCGCATGAGATCAAACAAGGTTTAGGATTTTAAGTACTCATGACATGAATTCTGCTGACCCAGCCTCTGCAACTTCTGCTTTTTACACATACTCTAATGACTGCTCCTGTTGCTGTCCACCTCACTTTGCACTTTGCCTCTCACCACCTCAGTCCTTCTGGGATACTGGTTGACCTAGTTGTGTACTAACAGTAAGAGAAGCAACAGAATATCTAGGCAAGAATGAAATTAACTAATGAAAATTAATCTCTGGTCCAGTTGGAAGACCGGTGCATGAATCTTGAATGTTGTAGACCAAAGTGGCCATGCTTTGACCATACTCTTTAGGCAGTGGCCTCCAGGGCGGTGGTGGAAACTGCTTGGGTCCTGGGTTGCAGTTCTACTTCTAAACTCCCCTAGTCCCCAAGTAGTAGCAGTTTCATAAGGCTGTCCTGGGAAGACCGAGGGGTGGGTAAAGGTGACCAAAGTCCCTCATGGAAATGCACAAGGTAAAGGTTCCCTGTTGTCCATGTTGTCAGAATGTTTTCCGTTTTGGAGAACTCTCAGGCTTAACACCATTACCTGCCATCATCTGGTTCTTTTTTTTTTTTTTTCCAGTTTTGGGTTTTCTCTTTTTAATTAAGATACAATTCGCACTCTAATTCAAAGTCTCGGCATTAACATATATTTTGTTGATCTGGTTGATGATTTTAAAATTATTTTTCCTTTGTATTCTTTACCTACGGCTAAATTTCTAATCTTCAAAATGCCTACATTCATTTCATTTACCTTACATTTTATCTTACTCATTTTTAAAGCCTTCAACATTTTTTGAGTTTTGAAATAATTCTCAATTTCTTAGTCTCTTAATTCTTAAATTTAAAAAGGTTGTTTCTTACCTTTTAAAATTTTTAAAAATAATTATGTCAAGTAATTTTTGAATATAGTAACCTGATTCTACATTTCTCATGGGATAAATTCTAAGGTAAAAAAAATTGCAAATAAATCTTAAACTTTATTTAGTAGGTTTATTATTAGCAGCAGATGTCTAGCCAGGGTAGATTACTTTTATCAGACCAACCTCTCACCAACAACTACTAGAAGAGCTAGAGAGGGAGAAAAGTCTATTTGAAGACATCAAGGATTTGATGAGCTAAGATTGCAGAGAGAAGGGAAGTATGGTGAAACAGTAAAATCAGAAGACAATAATTTCTTCAAAGTGCTGAAAGAAAATAATTGCCATCCAAACTTCTATGCCCAGCAAAAATATCCTTCAAAGAATGAAAGAGAAAGAGACGTTTTCAGATAAATAAAAACTGAGAGAATTCATCACTACCAGATCTGCATTGGAAGAAATACTAAATCTAGATGAAAAATTATCCCACATGGAAGCATGGAAATATAGGAAGAATTGAAGGACACTGGAAATAAATGGTAAATATGTTGGTACATATAAATAAATATAAACAAATTAAAAATGTTTCATCGGGTTTCAAATATAAATAGAATTAAAATGTGTGTTAAAAGCAACACAAAAAGCAGAAGAGAGATAAATAAGGCTTAAAGTATTCAAAGGTCTTTGCATTGTCTGGGGAATGATGAATATACTAATTTACATTACAGTTCAATAAGTCAAGGATGCATGTTATAATCTCTAGGGTAAGCAATGAAAGAATTAGAATGTATAACTAACAACATAATAGGGGTGAAAATGAAATAGAAATAATGCAAAAGAAACCAGGAAAAGATAAAAAAGAACAAAGAATAGATATGATAAATAGAAAACAGAGATTAATATGGTACATTTAAACCCAAACATATCAGTAAGTACAGTAAGTAAGATTAAGTACTCTAGTTAAAAGATAAAAGATTGTCAGGCTGGATGATGAAAAGCAAAACTCAAGTATATGTTGCTATCAAGAGACACATCTTAAATATACACTTATTATAAGATTAAAAGAAAAAGAGTGGGAAAAGATATACCATAACATGCTAACAATAACCAAAAGAAAGCTAGCATAGCTATTTTAATATTGCTAATAATAATTTTGGTATGATAATTTTGAAACAGTTGTATGTATTCTATAGGATGAAACAAGTAAGAATGTACTATTATTAAAAGCCAGAATTTCATTTTGTACACAAAATGACATAAAATATTAAGATATTAAGAAAAAATTCGCCTCTGCCCGGCCGCCCTGTCTGGGAGGTGGGGAGCACCTTTGCCCGGCCGCTGCCCCGTCTGGGAGGTGGGGAGCACCTCTGCCCGGCCGCCACCCCATCTGGGAACTGAGGAGTACCTCTGCCCAGCTGCCCCATCTGGGAGGTGAGGAGTGCCTCTGCCCGGCCGCCCTGTCTAGGAAGTGAGCGCCTCTGCCCAACCGCCCCGTATGGGAAGTGAGCGCCTTTGCCCAGCCACCCCGTCTGGGAGGTGTACCCAACAGCTCCGAAGAGACAGCGACCATTGAGAACGGGCCATGATGACGATGGCAGTTTTGTCGAAAAGAAAAGGAGGAAATGTGGGGAAAAGAGAGAACAGATTGTTACTGTGTCTGTGTAGAAAGAAGTAGACATAGGAGACTCCATTTTGTTCTGTACTAAGAAAAATTCTTCTGCCTTGGGATGCTGTTAATCTACAACCTTACCCCCAACCCCGTGCTCTCTGAAACATGTGCTGTGTCAACTCAGGGTTAAATGGATTAAGGGCGGTGCAAGATGTGCTTTGTTAAACAGATGCTTGAAGGCAGCATGCTCCTTAAGAGTCATCACCACTCCCTAATCTCAAGTACCCAGGGACACAAACACTGCGGAAGGCCGCAGGGATCTCTGCCTAGGAAAACCAGAGTCCTTTATTCACGTGTTTATCTGCTGACCTTCTCTCCACTATTATCCTATGACCCTGCCACATCCCCCTCTCCAAGAAACACCCAAGAATGATCAATAAATACTAAAAAAAAAAAAAAAAATTTTTTTTTCAACATTAAATTTTAATTGAAAACATGAATATGGCTGGGTGCTGTGGCTCACACTTGTAATCCCAGCACTCTGAGAGACAGAGGTGGGTGGATCCCAGCACTTTTGAAGTCAAAAGTTTGAAACCAGCCTGGATAACACGGACTCCATCTCTACAAAAAAAAAAAAAAAAAAAAAATAGGCGTGGTGGCATGTGCCTGTAGCCCCAGCTACTCTAGAGTCTGAGTGGGGAGGATTGCTTGAGCCCAGGAGTTGGAAGCTGCAGTAAGCTATGATCACGCTGATGCACTCCAGCTGGAATGACAGAGCAAAACTTTGCCTCAAAAAAAAAAAAAAGAAAACATAAATACAAGTTCATGATTTTCTTAGCTCTAGCCACAAAAGACCCTGGAAACAGCAACACCTCAATAGCAGTGAACACACGCAACACACGACTTTTGGTTTCTCACTACCATTCCCCACTAAAAGGTAACATGGCTTCTTAGAAAAATGTCTGATTCCAGGCACGAGACAAGGAAAGTACAGGATAAGCAAGACAAATCTCATGGCAAAAAGTAAAGAAATGCTCAAAGATTAATGGGGTCATTAAAAGACATGGGACCCAACTTCCTGCCAGCCAAATGGAGGATAATGTGTACATCTAACAGAATAATCACTGTAATTAAATATAACATACTGATTTTTTTCAAAATCAGGAAAAAAGAACATTTATTCTTCAAAAAAATGCCAAATAACATATACAGAAGGAATGACAGAATTAGAAAATCAACATCCTGCAACCTCCAGTGTAATGATGGATTCAGGCAAGGATCATCAATGGAAGTGAAAGTCAATCAGTACAAAATTGTTGGGGAACAGGATACTCATATGCTGACGAAGTATCATCCCACAGATAATCTACTGATTCCAGTGGAGAGAAATGGTGGTCACCCACTTAACTAGTGATCAAACTTAGCATCATTAATAGTGGGATGGCCTTACCATCTGAGGTTCCTGATGTGATGTATCACCTATGAAGTATTCTTGCAAAAAATATTTATCTGAATTTACTCAAACCTTTCAACCTAACTCAGCTTACCAGAAATAAAGAGGATAGAGAAATAAATGATATTATCAAGAATCAGATAAGTCTAGAATCTATAAAACTGGCATGGATTCTTCCACAAAAATCAAGGCATGACAGATCCAGAATGTGATACATTCTACAATACAATTGGCTTAAACTCTAAAAAAATTCATGTCATGAAAAATAATTTTTTAAATGCAAGAGTACTACTCTATATTAGAAGACACAAAGGAGACATAATGTCCAAACCGTGTGTGAACTCAGACTGGGGTTGGGGAGGGGGAGTTATAAGAGATTTTTTTGAACAACTGGAAAAATTAGAATATGGACTGTGGCCAGATGTGGTGGCTCACACCTGTAATCCCAACACTTTGGGAGGCCCAGGCGGGGGGATCACTTGAGGTCAGGAGTTCGAGACCAGCCTGGCCAACATGGTGAAACCCCATCTTTACTAAAAATACAAAAAAAAATTAGCCGGGTGTGGTGGTGGGCACCTGCAATTTCAGCTACTTGGGACGCTGAGGCAGGAGAATCGCTTGCAACCGGTAGGCGGAGGTTGCAGTGAGCCAAGATCGCGCCACTGCACTCCAGCCTGGGTGAAAGAGCAAGACTCCGTCTCGGGGAAAAAAAAAAAAAATATGAAATGCATATTGGATATTACTGAATTAATGTTAAGTTTTTAATTGGGATAATGGCATTGCCATAATTTAGGAGAATGTCTTTAATTGGGAGATACTTGCTAAAATAGGAGTATCATGATGTCTGCAACTTACCTTCAAATGCTTCAGCAAAAACAGACAGGGAGAGAAAGCAAAAGTGGCACAATTGTTGAATCTAAGTGGAAGGCTTATGGATATTAAAAACCTTAATCATAAGACATAATAGTCATAGAGGATGACAGACCACCCATTTTTTATGTTATTTTCACAATTCTAGGGACCTCCATGGAGGCACCTTAAGTACTACCCACACCTCTGCTTTTATCTGGTTCATACACTGGGATTTCACATAAGATTTTATTGAAAAAAAAGGTTTCACTGCAAAAAAGTGTTGAAATCAATTCTCTGGCCAGGGTCTGCCAATACACAGCAGGCATCCACAGGGCCCACTGTAGATATTGCTGGTCAAGCAGAACATTCATTCCTGCTCAATCTAAACTTAGCATCTCATCACAATGTGCCAATCAGCCACTACCAGTTAGTAGTAATTGGTACTTGGAGTGAGACTTACTTGTTATCTCAGAAATAGACCATCATAGAGCTGCATACTTGAATCATATTGTCTTGGTGCCTCATAGAATTGTTTTCATTCAATCAGGCATCGGTTTTGTTCAACCAGTTTTACATTAAAAAAAAACAGTGATATAAAAGTTGATATTTAATTTATTGTGAGGATGACGTTGAGGATATTCTCTAGTACTTGATCCACAAGAGAAATCTCTCAGGAGTCAGTCTCAGTATTGTGAGGAGCTGTGAGCCTCCTTATCAAATGGTTTGCTTTTTGATTTACGGACATTATGAGTCTTGTACCTGAATGTTTACTTCTTGCTTTGTCTACTAGGAAGCTCAGGGACAAATTGGTAACCTCATGTTATATATTTTTGAGAACTAGCAGTTCGTCTGTATTATCTTATTTTCCCTGCCATTCTTTTCTCTTTAACCATTTTTCTTTGTATATTTATTTTATCTGAAGGTATAGTTTATATCTTTGTAGGGCACTTTGAATCTTTTTAAATTATGATGTACTTAACAACATGAATAAACAGTGTTGGCAGTTCAAATAGAGAGTAAGAAAAATTTGCAAAGAAAATGTAGGTCTTACTGGCAGACTTATGGTGGATCAAAGATCTCCGGCTTTACTCAGAAAGTGGTAGAACCAAAAACAGAAATGAGGAAGGAAAGGGAAAGAGAATTACTTACGTATGATGCATTAGATTTTAGAGAAGTTGATTTTGCAGTTAGATATTCAAGTGGAGATTTTTTTTTTGAGACGGAGTCTCACTCTGTCGACCAGGCTGGAGTGCAGTGGCGTGATCTTGGCTCACTGCAATCTCTGCCACCCATGTTCAAGCAATTATCCTGCCTCAGCCTCCCAAGTAGGTGGGATTATAGGCACCTGCCAACATGCCCGGCTAATTTTTGTAGTTTTAGTAGAGACGTGGTTTCACCATCTTCACCAGGATGGTCTTGAACCCCTGACCTCGTGATCCACCCACCTCGGCCTCCCAAAGTGCTGGGATTACAGGCGTGAGCCACTGTGCCCAGCCTCAAGTGGAGATTTTTTTAGGCCACTGGGAGTATGTTCTAGAGCTTGAGTCAAAGACCCAGGTTGGTAATGTTGATTTGGGAGCTATTGACATTGAACTAATAGTTGAATCCAAGAAGGGTAAATATATTCCCTGGTGAGGTACAGAGACAAAAGACCGTTTAAGCATAAATGGCGTGAATAAAGCTAGAATTAGGGGTTTGGAAGAGAAACAGCGTGCCTGCAAAAATGAAAAGAAAATTAGTCAAGGAAAAAAAAATCATAATAATTTTGCTAGAGAAGTCAAGGAAAATATAATTTCAAACAGCAATATCAAAAATGTTTAAAAATGGAAGAAGATGCCAAAATAATTGGTTGTTTTTATTTGAGAGCAGGATCTCACTATGTTACCCAGACTGGCGTCAAACTCCTGGGCTCATGCAATCCTTCCACCTCAGCCTCCCAATAGCTGGGACTACAGGCACGAATCATCACATTCACCTGCCCAAAATAATTATGATAAACGAGAAAAGGCCTGCTGGCTTTATCAAGGAAGCACTGTTGATCTGTGAATAATGGGGCAGAGTAACATGGTCCTGATCTAAGGAGCCTCTGCATGGCTCTCTGTGGAATTTGCTAGCTATCAAATCCAATTTTAAAGCCATATCTTTGAATTTGTATTAGCTTGCTTCACAAAGTAAATATATGTCTTTAGTGTTCTATCATATTACAATCAAATATTGTAATCACTGACACAAGAATCTTAATGCCTCAGTAATTATGGTCACATGAGTAGAATCTAGAACTACTAATTACCATACAAATTCTAATTCTGGGTTTAAAAAAATGTGATAGGAAGTGAATGAAAATGGATTTTATATAGGACCATGACAGAACTTATTTCCACCATCCAGAAACTGCATTCTAGCAGAAGGCTTACCTTCTCTATTCTGAAGTGTGAGCAGGTCTGATTAAACTTGCTTGCCACCGTGTTGTACTCAGGATCACTAGGCAGCAGCTCCACCACACAGAAATTCTGCTGCTTCATATCACTCCAGTGTGCAGGGATGTCAACTGCAAAGGAGACATTTGAGGATGCCCTCATACATCCCCGGTACACTCTGGAACATTTAGTATCTGTGTTCTTGTTTTACTATCTCCCAATTCTAAGCATTCAAAGAGTTCCTTATCTTTCTAGGAGAACGCTTTTCAAAGCATGAACAACAGACAACCTACATCAGAACCAACTGGAATGCTTGTTAAACAAAAAAAAGGAAAGCCACAGATCAACTGAATCAGCATCTGTGAGGGGCAGAGCCTGTATGTCTGCCTCCTAAGTTTGGATCATACTACGATTTGAGAACTGTTGGTGCAGTATAACTCATCTGTGTTTTCTGTTCAATCTCTAGTAGTCACAATTTCACAATAAATTATTTCCCTACAGTGTTCTAAGTAGTTGCTGTTTTGTTTGTGCATGGATTTTTGCCAGAACTCCTCACCATCACCACCACAGGCACTCTACATCTATTTTTTCATTATTCTTCATAGCATCTTTAAGAGGCAGTTAGGTGGCAGATTTTGCTATGTGACAAGCTGTGGTGACAGCTCTGTCTTCTCCTCTGCTAAGCAGAATACTATATGTGATTTATCATTTCCCCAGGGTTGCTCAGAGTCTCGGGAATCTGTTCACACTGATCTCACAGGAGATAAATATAGTGTAATGGAAGCCAATTTACTCATTTTCAAAGGGGACTTAATCTGGTTCGAAGGTAGGAAGGGCTGCCTACACAAGACAGGGCTTCCCTTCTTGGAGAGTAGGTCTGGTCAGAGAATCTGAAGCCTGCTTCCTGCCATGTGTGTCAAGGAACCTTTTGCTCTTGGCAGAGGTGACTACTGGGAGAAGTTCCTACAGGCTCCCGATCCTCCCTGGATTATCAGTCAGACACAGAGAGGGCACACCCTCTGACCAGGCTTTCCTTTCTGTTTTTCCCTTGGCCTTTTTTGTTCTAGAAAACCTTGGGCCATCACTTTTCCTTTAAGCCTATGGTTTTCCTTCCCCTAATTGATGCTGCTATTACCTTCTCAGCACAACTGGCTCTGGGAAGCTTATAAACTGTAGAGATGAGAACAAAGGTGAGATTTGACTATTGTTACCAAGAAGATAGTCATCTTCAGGCTTTTGGGTACATCCATTCTGGGTTTTCCTGGCCATAACGTAAGCTCTTTAAGCGCAGAGGCCACATTTTCTAGTTTATTTCATTAGTGTCACATGAATTTTTTCCAATTTGAAATTCTGATGTACGTACCAAATAGTGTTATGCCCAAAGTAGATGTGAAATAGTGGATGACAAGTATGAATGTTTAACTCACCTTTGGATTTCGTGAGGCGCTGAACAGATAAACTGTGGCCCTTTGTGTCTGTGGCAGTGTATGTGTTCAAGTTCACTGTGTAGTGCCGATGATTAATTTTGACATCAACTGTTTTTTTCTTTTCTCTCCTTGCATCCTCTAATTTCAGATTGGTCATTTTGTTAAAACAATGAGAAGTGTTATTGTCATTATACTGCCATTCTATAAACTCACTGATACAATCTGCCCGGGATTCCTGTTCTTTGGCCAATCGAACTCTCTTGATCATCGCCTCAATTTCATCTCTAGCCTGCATCACATCTCTGCTAATTCCCAAAACCTTAATCAAAGGTCTCTTATGGTCCAGGGAAATGTTAATATTTAACTTCTTCTGCAGCTCATTCAACTCCTGATACTCCTTTTCATCAAAGTCTTTGATGCACTCATCTTCACTGGTGTAAGGACACTGTTCTTTTTCAATCAGGTCTTGTAGCCAGGAGATAGCATATTCCACACACGTGACATTTTCACCACACACCCGAAAAGTTGCTGATTCTGTTTTCTTTTCCAAAACCAAATGATTCTTTTTTTGGGGAGATTGCTTTGAAAAGCCCAAAAATGCTAAAAAGAAAAGGAAGATTAGGTATTTCACATGTGACATCAACGTTATGAACATGCATTTCATAAAAACAAAGAACTCACATGCAAGTTTAGACATCACAGACTGTTGGGAAGAAAGCTGAGTCCCTTCTCTTTTCTTCATGTTGGCATAAAACACATCCAGTACTTGAGGCAGAAAGATAACAACTTTAACTTTTTTCACAGACTGGGCTGATCCTTTCTGGACAAAGTCTTCAATGGCATCAATTATGGCTTCAGCAACCTTATCTGGGTGTTGTTTGGCATTTCCTGGAAAAGCAAATAATAAAATTGCTGAAGGACAAAAAAGCCCCAAGTGGAAGGCTGAGGAATAAATTAGGGTTTCCAATGCTCAGAGAATAAATGCCCACTCCTCAATTCTTTCATCATTGTGGAATTTTCTAACAAAGCATCAGCAAACACTTTTGAAGTCCTAGATGCAATGAAGTGTTTTTGTTCCAGGATGTCAGGAAGCCCACAGCCTAGCAGTGAACAAAGGACCCAGAAATCTGACTTTTGGTGTCTGACAATCATATCTACTCTATTCAACTGATCCCAGCTCATTGTGTTCCTCCTCTCCTATTACAGAGCACAAGTAGCTTTTCTACTTAGCTCGCTAGTGTCCTTGAAATTTCATAAAAAGCAGATGCTAATATATGTTGACATAAAATACTTTTTAAAGATGAAAATCTTTTTTAGGATCAGTCATCACTTGATTTTATGTATGTATCCTTATTCTCCCAGATATCTCTGGGAACCTAATTTGAACTAAGCAAAATTTAGTAAGACACCCAGTGCTACAGGCTATTTGTTATAATCTATAATTTTTCAGACACAAGTTATCTATAAGCCTCCAAGAAGCCTTTCCCTCCACACTCAGTGAGATTTTAGCTGACCAGCAGGATTCAAGGTAGCCACCTGAAGCAGAGCGTTTCCTGTTTTCAGCATACTCCATATCCTCCTTCTCAAGCCATGAAAGCAACAGCCTAGGTAAGATCATGAAAAGTCCCTTTCCAGCTGGGGGAACAGTCCCATGTGAATAACAGCTGGCAAAGTCACATGATGGGCAATGTAAAAGTTCCTTGGCCAAGCTGATGTGACAGACTAAGAGCCCACCTGGCTAATTGTTGTTGATGGTACCCACCACTATTGCAGAAGAAGAGTAGGCTTCTTTGACTTGGCTATGCTGACAATTGTGGGAATGTAGACAACCCCACATAAAATTAACCAAGGGGGGTTGTTCAAATCTTTTTAAATCAGATGATCAGAGAACGAGGGAAATTCTCTTTTGCAAAGCTGTAATTTTCCCATGGTATTTTGAAGAGTTTATATGGACACATTCAGTTACATTCATTCACTTTCAAGAAACATCTGCTATGTCCTATCACTGGCTAGGTACTCACTAGGCACTTGCTAGAACACAGATGATGTGATATGCGGGGATGAACAGGTGATCAACAGGTGAAATATGGAAAATTGAGGGAAAGGCTATGCCAGATGGAACTATGTAATGGGTATATGTTCAGCCTGGCACGTATGCAGAACAGACCTAGTTTTGAGGAAGTTAAGTCTGGAGGGGTATGGAGGAAGCATGGAGCGGGGAGCCCAGGTCTAGTTAGGACGCTGTAATAAAAGCTTAGTCAAAAGACAAGAGCTGAACAAAAAGAGGAGGCCAGAATGAAGAATAGGGATTGAGGAGCTATTTTGGAAGTAAAGTCAGGAGTACCTAGGGACCAGCTGGGTTTGTCCTTCACCTTTCCCTCTCTGTCTTTTGCCATACACATACCTTCACTATATCATGGTTCACGTTGCATTGCAGTTGTTTGTTTGCATGCCTGTCTCTCACACTGGGCTCAGTGCTCCTTGTGAACTGGATCCTTTTCTTAGTTATCTTTCTATCTCCAGAGCCTAAACATGGTGCCTTGCAGATGCAGGCACTCAGTAAATATTCAATCAAATAATTCCTAAGCTAATGAAGATCGGAGTGACGAAGAGGGTAGAGTCAAGGACTCTAGATGGAAAGTGATGTTTTTCACGTGATTGGGGATATAAGAGGAAGGGCAGGTTTGGGGAGATGACAAGGAATGAGAGTTTGGAGTCTGCGTTGAGCTTGAGGTGATCACAGGTATTGCTAACCACCTAATCTCTCCTCTTATGCAGGTGTCTTTAAGGAACAGAGAGGAGGCTCCTTTAACTGCCAGAGGCTGTCTTGATCACAGTCTTAATTCAACTCATATACACCACTAAAAGAGAAAGCTTCTACATCTATCAGTCTCAGAACCAGCTCAGGTGGTGATAAAGATAGGTAAAGAGGACATGCAAGGATAACCCACTAACCCTGATTTATTTGTGCTGACCAGCAATGCAACCAGGTCAGTGGAAGAAACAACAGGATTTGTTGTTGAGTCCAGAATTGAGTCCAGAAATGCTCAAATGTGTACATATTTATACAAAACGAAACCTACCTTCTTTCTTTGTTTCTTCTTTTGACTCTACCAGGGACTCCTTTGGGAAGGTCTGTGGCACCCCTAAGCTGCTTGCTTTCTTGGCCCAAATCAACTGAAGGTGGAAACCCAAGACTAGAGCTCAGAGAAAAAAACAGATGGAGACAGAGACTGAGGAGTCATTGGTGGGTGTCCATAAAAGATAAGTCAGTAGAGAGATGATAGAGATAGATAGACAGATCGATAGATAGATAGATAGATAGATAGATAGATAGATAGATAGATAGATAGATAGATAGATGACTGGTAGAGAGAGATAGGAGAAATGTTGGCTAATCTGCTAGGAATAGATGATACTCTAAGGGGAATGAAAACAAAGGGATCAAAAATTATACTTTTAGAAATAGAAAAGTTGTAAAATAGACATAGAATTCCATCTCGGAACATTATAAGAAATGGTACAGAATTACAGATATGGGTCAGAGGGTTAGAAGAAGGCCCAGAAATTGACAAGGATGGTTAAGTTTATTGAGGATAACCTTTTGGAAAGCCTAGAATGCCAGCATAAGAGATTCAAACTTAGATTCCCGAGCAACAGAATGACAGATCCGATGCTGACTATTCTCGCACTGGAACAAGGCAGCTCCGTTGACTTCAAGCCTAAGAATGCATGCCTCCCCTGACCAGCTCTCTGAAGGAGACCAAGCAGGGATTCCTAAAGAGCTCAAAGAACACCTGTGCAACAAAACTGCACATTCTGCCCATGTACCCCAGTATAATTAAAAAAAAAAAACCACCTAATTAATGATAAATCCAGAGCGCCATCCTTATATATGAAAAATCACGCTATCATTACCTAGTTTTAGGAAAAGAAGAAAATCAAAGAAGCAAGTAGGCTGAAAAGAGGAAAGTGGAGAGTTGAGTTTCTGACCCACTAGGTTCTGGTGACTGAGAAGCTTCTACACAGAAATGCCCTGAGGCCAAGTGACACAGCTGACTGTTGAGCTGAAGCCTGGTAATATTCCTCTGGGAATCAGCTAGAGTGAGGTGGAAGTTGTTGTACTAATATTCTCCATGGAGAGGGGAAAGAGGAGGAAGCTAAGGACTGCATAATGGAGAATATGTAGGGAATGGAAAAAGGGAAAGTAACTGAGGAAAGAGAATGAGGGATGGCCTTTCCACTCTCTCCCTTCTCTTCTCCTCCTTATTTTCCCTTCCCTTCTTTCTGCCTCTCTAACATTCTAACACTCTCTTCAGTCTCCTGCATTTTGTCCCTCTTTTACTCAAACAATCCACAGGCTTTGTCATTCCCTTGGGAGTTGTCTTATGGGGAGGAAGCTGTCCACTCCTAGCTTAATGGTTGCTGCCCTGGGTCAGACTCAGCACTGACCGCATTCACACTCAGCTCCAAATGAAAGGGAAAGTAGATGGCTTGGGATTTAGCCTTGACAGCCAGAGGCTACGAACCTGTCCCAATGGCTGGGAGGCAAATGGATGAGTAATTTTTTTTTTCACACTCCTGCAAAACAGAGGAAACTGAACTCTTGACATCATTTCCACCAATTACATGAATGATATTCTTGCACCTCAAAAATCCACCTCCGGTGATTATATAATCATTTTTGCGCTGCTGAGCTGGGAAACACAGACAAAAAGATGCAAAATTAGTAGAAGTTGAACCCGTCATTTGTTTAGAAAGCAAAATGTATAACTTGGCAAGTAAGCATTTTGTGAAAAAAAAAAAACTCCTGAAATACTATCTTTGATGGAATGCTATGACTTAACTTTACTTTTAACTGTGAGATTACTTTTCACTTCTAAGTGTCTGTGATTGGAATTCTTTAGTAAAATGTATCATTTTAAAATTAGAGTGTTGTCTCCCCAACCCTAAGACTTTTCTCAGCCTCTCCACAGCCTCCCATACAATTACAACTTAGGACCAAAAAATAGAATATGCCTTACCTTGCTGAGAACATTCCCTTTCTACATTTTGTCCAGCACATTCTAAAATTGCTTTGGAGACCCCTACATGAGAAAATCAAGATGATAACAAACATGAGTAAAAAACCACTATGGTATATTTGGATCAGAAGGATTATCTGAATGCATTCTCCATCATCTGAGGAATCCTCTAATTGGGTATTGCTGATGACAAAGAAGAAAACTTCATAAAATAAACATTATTAATTATGGAAAACCCTGTCAGCATAATTTAAAAGTTATTAATTAACAAGCCAAAGTTCTAAAAACCAGTTTGGCTATAGAAACCCTCCTTCATAGCATCTACCATTAACTATTGCACTCATCAAAATTGTACAAGTACCTGCTTTGAGATTGAATGAGTTTGATGTTGAATTTACAATCACATCTGCCTCTTCTTTCGTGATATCTCCAGAAGCCACCTGGAAGATGATGGAGCCAATCTTCATTTCATACACACCTGAATCAGGGCTAGAAACAGTCCCATAAAAACCTGAAAAGAAAAGAAGTAAAGTCAATAACCGAGTCAGCCACAGCAAGAATGACTTGGGTATCCTGCTCACATGGGACCCTCTTGGATGTCTTCCCTCTCCCTCTCTTTCTGTGACCTCTGGTCTTTAACCTGGCCCTGCTCCTCAGCCTCAGTGATGATCTGTTTAAGAAAAAAGAATTAGAACATAGAATCCATATCAAACATGAACTCTGGTGCTGACCAAGGTGAAGTTAGCGTACTATAGCCTATCTCTCCCGTTGATTACAACTAAAAACAGGACAAATACAAAAAGCCACCACCCAAGAGCTCTGAAAAGTTACAATAACAGCAGACAGATTGAAGAAAGGTGCCAAAACTTGCAGAAGCAATCTGCTAAGTGGGGCAGTTTTCCATTTTGTTCTGTTTTAAAATTTTTCCTCTTTTCTCTCCCAGCTTTGACCCAAGGGTGGCCCTAGTCTCACAACATAATATTTAAAATGTCAAGTCTGTATTCCAAAATTGCTTGTTATATAAAGAACCAGGAAAATTTGATCAACCCTTAAGGATAAAGAAAATCAAAAGCTGTCAATCCAGCCAGACACAATGGCTCATGTCTGCAATCCCAGCACTTTGGGAGGCCGAGGTGGGTGGATCACTTGAGTCCAGGAGTTCGAGATCAGCCTGAACAACATGGTGAAACCCCATCTCTACAAATAATACAAATATTAGCTGGGATGGTGGTGCACAACTGTAGTCCCAGCTACTTGGGAGGCTGAGGTAGGAGGATCACCTGAGCCCCCAGAGGTTGAGGCTGCAGTGAGTTGAGATTGTGCCACTGCACTCCAGCTTGAGTGACAGAGTGAGACTCTGTCTCAAAAAAAAAAAGATGTCAATCCTGGCCAGGCATGGTGGCTCATGCCTGTAATTCCAGCACTTTGGGAGGCCGAGGCAGGTGGATCACTTGAGGTCAGGAGTTCAAGACAAGCCTGTCCAACATGGTAAAACCTTCTCTCTGCTAAAAGAAAAATACAAAACTTAGCTGGGCGTGGTGGCACAGGCCTGTAATCCCAGCTATTTGGGAGGCTGAGCAAGGAAATCACTTGAACCCGGGAGGCGGAGGTTGCAGTGAGCCAAGATTGCACCACTGCACTCCAGACTGGGCAACAGAGCAAGACTCCATAGAAAAAAGAAAAAAAAAAAAAAAGATGTGAATCCCAAAAAGATGTGAATTATAGAAGACTTTAAAGCATCTACTATAACTATGATCCATGAGGTCAAAGTAAACACATTTGAATGGATGGAAATGATGTGGAATGAATGGAAAAATAGGATGTCTCTGCAGAGAAATAGAAACTATTTTAAAAAGACCTCAAACAAACAAACAAAAAAAGATAAAAATGAAACAAAAAGCTGGTTCTTTGAAAAGATAAAGAAAATTCATAGACCATTAGTGAGATTAACCAAGAAAAGAAGAGAGAAGATCCAAATAAGCTCAATTAGAAATGAAACTGGAGACATTACAATCAATGCCTCAGAAATACAAAAGATCATTCAAGGCTGCTATGAACACCTTTACATGCACAAACTAGAAACTCTAGAGGAAATGGATAAATTCCTGGAAACATACAACCCTCCTAGGTTAAATCAGAAAGAAACAGAAACCTTGAACAGACCAATAACAAGCAGCAAGACTGAACTAGTAATTAAAAAAAATTGCCAACAACAAAAAAGTCCCAGACCAGGTGGATTCACAGCTGAAT
Source organism: Homo sapiens (assembly GCF_000001405.40). Lineage (NCBI taxonomy): Eukaryota > Metazoa > Chordata > Mammalia > Primates > Hominidae > Homo > Homo sapiens. The sequence goes on along the minus strand of NC_000003.12, from coordinate 122,711,684 downwards.
TCTACCAGACATTCAAAGAATTGGTACCAATCCTACTGAAACTATTCCAAAAGATAGAGAAAGAAGAAATCCTCCCTAAATCAGTCTAAAAGCTAGTATTAAACTAATAATAAATCCAAGAAAGGATACAACAAAAAAAAACTACAGACCAATATCCCTGATGAACACAGATGCAAAAATCTTTGACAAAATATGAGCTAACAAAATCCAACAGCACTTCAAAAAGATAATACATTATGAACAAGCGTACTTTATCCCAGGGATGCAGGGATGGTTTAACATATAAAAGTCAATAAATATGATACATCACATAAACTGAATTAAAAACAAAAATCATATAATCATCTCAATAGATGCAGAAAAAGCATCTGATAAAATCCAGCACCACTTTATTATAAAAACCCTCAACAAAATAGGCATAGAGGGGACATATCTTGAAGTAGTAAAAGCCATATGTGACAAATCCACAGCCAACATCATATTGAATGGGGGAAAGTTGACAGCATACCCCTGGGAACTGGAACAAGACAAGGATGCCCACTTTTACCACTTCTATTCAACATAGTACTGGAAGTCCTTGCCAGAGCAATCAGGCAAGACAAAGAAATAAAGGCCATCCAAACTGGAAAAGAGGAAGTCAAACTGTTGCTGTTTGCAGATAATATGATTGTATACTAGAAAATCCTAACGACTCATCCAAAAAGCTCCTAGTTCTGATAAACAATTTCAGTAAAGTCTCAGGTTAAAAAATCAATGTACACAAATTAGTAGCCCTGCTATACACCAACAACCACCAAGCTGAGAATCAAATCAAAGCTCAATCCCTTATACAATAGCTGCAAAAATAAATAAATAAATAAATAAATAAATAAATAAATAAATAAATAAATAAAATACCTAGGAATATACTTAACCAAGGAGGTGAAAGATCTCTACAAGGAAAACTACAAAACACTGGTCAAAGAAATGACACAAACAAATGGAAACACATTCCATGCTCATGGATGGGAATTATCAATATTGTGAAAATGACCATTCTGCCCAAAGCAATCTACAGATTCAATGCAATTCTCATCCAAATACCAGCATCATTCTTCACAGAACTAGAAAAAAAATCCTAAAATTCACATGGAACCAAAAAAGAGCCCATATAGCCAAGCAAGACTAAGCAAAAAGAACAAATCTGGAGACATCACATTACCCAACTTCAAATTATACTACAAGGCTATAGTTACCAAAACAGCAAGGTACTGGTATAAAAATAGGCACATAGACCAATGAAACAGAATAGAGGGTCAAGAAATAAAGTCAAATACTTAAAACCAATTGATCTTCAGCAAAGCATACAAAAACATAAATTGGGGAAAGGATACCTATTCAATAAACGGTGCTGGGAAAACTGGCAAGCCACATGTAGAAGATTAAACTGGATCCCCATCTCTCACCTCATATAAAAATCAACTCAAAATGGAGCAAAGACTTACATTTAAGACCTGAAACCATAAAAATTCTAAAAGATAACATTGGAAAAACTCTTCTGGACATTGACTTAGGCAAAGAATTCATGACTAAGACCCCAAAAGCAAATGCAACAAAAACAAAAATTAAAAATGGGACCTAATTAAACTAAAAAGCTTCTGCACAGCAAAGTAATCAGGAGAGTAAGCAGACAATCCACAGAATGGGAGAAAATATTTGAAGACTATGCATCCGACAAAGGACCAGTATCTAGAATCTACAAGGAACTCAAGCAAATCGCAAGAAAAAACAAACAAACAAACAAAAAAAAAAACAAATAATCCCATCAAAAAGTCAGCAAAGGATCTGAGCAGACATTTCTCAAAAGAAGGTATACAAACAGCCAACAAACATAAGAAAAAATGCTCAACATCATTAATCATCAGGAAAATTCAAATTAAAACCACAATGAGATGCCTCCTTACTCCTGCAAGAATGGCCATAACTTAAGTCAAGAAACAATAGATGTTGGCATGGATGTGGTAAAAAGGGATCACTTTTACATTGCTAGTCGGAATGCAAATTATTACAACCACTACGGAAAACAGTGTGGAGATTCCTGAAAGAACTAAAAGTAAAACTACCATTCAATCCAGCAATCCCACTACTGGGTATCTACCCAAAGCAAAATAAGTCATTATATGAAAAAACATACACACACATGTTTATAGCAGCACAATTTAAGATATGGAACCAACCTAAGTGTCCATCAACCAACAAGTGGATAAAGAAAATGTGCTGTATATACACTATGGAATACTCTTCAGCCATAAAAAGGAATGAAATAATGTCTTTTGAAGCAACTTGGATGGAGCTGGAGGCTATTATTCTAAGTGAAGTAGCTTAGGAATGCAAAACCAAACATCCTATGTTCTCACTTATAAGTGAAAGCTAAGCTATGAGGATGCAAAATCATAAGAGTGATATAATGGAATTTGGGGACTCCAGGGGGAAGGTTGAGAGGGGGATGAGGGATAAAAGACTACATAACGGGTACAGTATATGCTGCTCAGGTGACGGATGCACTAAAATCTCAGAAATCACTACTAAAGAATTTATCCATGTAACCAAAAACCACCTGTACCCCCAAAACTATTGAAATAATCATAATAATAATATATTGCAAATGAAAATAAAGTTCAAACTTTAAAGAATTTAAAAATTTAAAAAAGAACCAAATAGACATTTTAGAACATACACATACGTATCTAAAATAAAACATTCACTGGATGGGCTCAATAGCATAGAGGACAGAGAAAAGACTCAGTGAACTTGAAGGCAGGTCAAGATAAATTATCCAATCTGAAGAACAAGAGAGAAAAAAGATGAGTGGGATTGAGGGGGGTAGGCATGGGGAGAACAGCTCTGCAGAGACCTTGGAACACTGTCAAAAGGCTTAGCACCACAGTATTGGAAAACAGAAGGAGATATGAAATAGATCAGTGCACAAAAAAGCATTTAAAGAGATAACTTAAAATTTTCCAAATTTGATGAAAGACATACATTTTTATATTCAAGAAGCCTCGGTGAAACTCAAACAGGATAAACTCAAATATGGCATCAACAAATTTGACAAAGGTGAAAGATTTGGTGAGTATTGTCTCTCAAATTTGTCTATTTTGGAAAATACATGTCACATTCTCCTCAGGAAATGGTAGTCTTGTCATTACTTAAAACCCATTATACAGATTACATAACTTGGCCTGCCTTCCCTTTTGCTTCAGATTATATAAACATGACCAGTGTCTTACATGCTCAGGTATATGAAACATAACTTAGTATCATTTGTCACTCATTGATTTTTTTTTCATAAAAATTATCACTACTGTCTTTTACCTGCCAATGAACAGTTACTTAGCAACTAGAAATCACTTCTCAATTTAGAAGCTTTACTGAACCTTGTGTATCTTTAGCCTTCGGAATTTTGTCACTGACGAGATTTCCATTAGCCCTTCTGGCAAATTCATCTGAAAATGCCTGAAATATAAACACAGCGTTGATCATTACACTCCTCAGTAAATGAATAAATTGGAATCATCAGGGTGTTTTGTCCTGCATGCACACATACATATTTGGGAGATAACCATTCTCAAACAGTATTATTTAATTTCATTGCAGATCTTGAAAGTTATAAAAACAACACATGATTCTGTTTCTATAAATGTGTCTAATGAAAATATCAACGATGTGGACAACGATGTGGATAAATACAAGGATATTCACTACAGTGCTATTCATAACAGAGAAAAAACAGTTAAAAATTCAACAGGGAAAAAGTTAAATAAATGTTGCTGTATCCATGTGTTGGAGTATTTATTAGCCATTAAAAATCGTATTTTCAAAGAATTTTTTAAATGAGGTCTTGCTGTGTTGCCCAGGCTGGGGTGTCGCCCAGGCTGGAATGCTAGAGGCGTGATCACAGTTCACTGCAGCCTCGACCTCCTGGGCTTAAGCAATTCTCCCACCTCAGCCTCCCAAGTAGCTGGGACTATAAGTATATGGCACCACACCCAGCTACGTTTTTTGTTTTTTGTGTTTTTTTGTTTGTTTGTTTTTTGTAGAAACAGGATCTCCCTATGTTGCTCAAGCTGGTCTTGAACTTCTGGCCTCAAGTGATCCTCCTGCCTTGGCCTCCCAAAGTGCAGGGATTAAAGGTGTGAGCCACTGTGCCCAGCCTCAAAGAAGATTTAGTGAAATAGAAAATAAAAGCGAAGGATATTAAATAAAATAATTTATAATCACAATCCTTTATTTATTTATTTATTTATTTATTTATTTATTTATTTGAGATGGAGTCTCATTCTGTCACCCAGGCTGGAGTGTAGTGGCACAATCTTGGTTCATTGCAAACTCCGCCTCCCAGGTTCAAGTGATTCTCCTGCTTCAGCCTACTTGGGAGGTAATTTTTGTATTTTTAGTAGAGACGGGGTTTCACCATGTTAGCCAGGCTGTTCTCCTGACCTCAGGTGATCTGCCTGCCTTGGCTGCCCAAGGTGCTGGGATTACAGGCATGAGCCACCGCTCCGAGCCAATCCCACTTTTAAAAGTACATATGTAAAAAAAAGCAGGCTGGAATAAAATCCAACTAAAGAATTTATGCATTTTGCATTGTTCAAAGTTTCTACAATGAACATGAATTACCATAATGGTCAGTCAAAGCAAATAACTTGCCAATTGTAAAAACTACAATGTTAAGAGAATGACCATCACAAGGTCCCAAACACTTCCGTTTTTAATTTCCTATTTGTACCAAAAGAGGAGGGGCTGAGGAGTCATGATTTTTGGAGCAAGTAGCTGGTGTATGTATTCTAGTGTTAATAAACCTGTGAATTTCATTTTTTTTTTTTTTGCCTGTTGGTGACCCTCCATAATCATCATTTTCTTCCTCCTTGTAAACAAGCAACAGATAATTTTGTTGGAAAAAAAACAAGTAACATCTTGGCTAAAGATAGATGCAATAATGGGAGAAGGAACCAGAGAGAGGGTAGAGCAAAGATCTCAGACTCACAGGCTTCTAGGAGCCAGGTAGGTAAGGCACATGTGTAAAGGTGGTCTGATTTGACTATGGAGAACTAGAGAACACCTGCCACTCAGCCATGGAAAACTTCCTGTCCCAAGCAGGAAGCCATGTTTAATGTGCCAGAAGTTTTGAAGTTTTAGGTTGTAGTGAATATCTAGAGTTTTATGTAAAATTTTTGATTTTTAAATGTTAGCAACTGATTGAAATTTTTTTTTAATAATCTAAATAAAGCACATCTAGAGGCCATGTTCAAATCACAGGACTGCTGCTTTGCATCCTCTGTGACAGTCTCCATCTATAAACATCTCGATAAGCTTTGCTGATTTTTTTGTGCAAATGTAACCAAAGTTTAACTGTCTTTAAAAGTCTAAAGAGAAAAAGTGTAACAGACACATACAGAGAATTTCAAATGGTACTAAAGGCATCTGTATAGACTAATTCTTTTTACAGAGTATTTGAAAAATACTCAGTCTTCAGGAAAGAAAATGAATGCTGAGGTTGCATGAAAAAGAGTGATATTTGAAGGTTCAGGTCTGTGTCACAGGACTCATGCTGTATTCAATCACCCATGCATTCAAAAACAGCACTTCATGCCTCTCATTTAGTTCATTTTGTGTATATAAATCTTAGCTCCAAAGTAATTGTGATTTATAGGAGGGAAAGTATGTGCTATTCCTATTCGTCCTGTTCCACGATCCACATCACCTTGCACAATGCAAGTCATAGGGAAATTATTTTAAAAGCTTCTGTTGCACAGAAGAGTAACTAATTATACGGGACAAGTAAATGGACCACATATTTTACTCAGGTGGTTTGGCTGCCTGATCAGAATTCAGGTCAGATTTACTTGCTTCCAAAGAACTTATAGGTAGTATCTAGCATCACAGAAAAATGAAGCATTACCTAAAAATTCAGATGGTCCAATGATCCACAGGTATCTCTTGGGTTGCTGATCTTAATCTGTTTGATCAATTTTTGCAGTACCTTGGGAGCTTTTCAAACACTGAATGTCATCTACTTTATTTGATTAAGTAAAGACTCGGAGTGCAGGGATAATGGCTTAAAAGCCTGTTGTGCTGCCATAATGCTGAGTCCAGTGGCTCTCCCACAGCTGATGTGAGCTGAATCATGAACTCATGATTGATGATAGTTCTGGTGTTTCTGGTCCCAACTCTCCTATTTACATGGGAATGTGCTAATCCATTCTAACCACACCTTCTGACATCTTCCTATTGATAAGGCCAGACTGTGCTTTTATACTATGTATTAAAATTTCTATGTCCATATGGAGGGAAATCCTATAGTCAACTCCATTGCAATATGTGGGCCTTATTTGGATTCTGATTCAAACACAAAGCTGTAAAAACAAAACGTTTATGAGATAGTCAGAAATTTGAGAATTGATTTGATAATTGGTTAAAGGAATTATTGTCCATTTATTTTAGGTGTGATACAATATTGTGGTTATGTTACTTTTTTAAAAAGAATTGTTATTGTTTAAAATAAATGTTGAATTGTTTATGGATAAAATGATATGTCTGAGATTTGCTTCAAAAGAATATAGAAGGAAGGGAAATAGATGAAGATAGAGATGAAACATATTGGCCATAGGTTGATAACTGTTGAAGTTCAGTGATAGGTACAAGGGACTGCATTATACTATTATGTCTACTTTTGGATATGTTCAAAATTTTCCTGAATAGGAAGTTAAATTTTTTCTACATCTGTAACTTTTCTTAAAATTTGTCATGCTACAACTACAACTACAAGTATAAACTACCTTCTTACTTTCCTGAATGGGGAAATGAATGAAAAAAGTATCCTGTTAGACCAAAAAGACATTTGAAAAAACACTAGGTCTCAGTTGCCAAAATAATCAGAAATTAGTGGCACTGTACCTGAATATTTTCATGATCACTCGGGTGCAGCAGAAAGTGAACCTCTTGTAAAGTTTTCAGCTGATTCTTGCTACTAAATTTGAACACCTCTGAAATGATTAATTCAGCGAATATGTTTTTAGGAAATCCCAAGTTTCCTGTTCCTATTGCTGGAAATGCAATTGATTTTAAGGACAAGCTCTCAGTGATCTCCATACATTCTCTGATTATGTCTTCCATTATCTGAAACGCACAAAGCACATCCTTATACATCTTGTCTAGAAATGGGAGTTAGAACAAAAAGGACAAGAATTTAGCAACTTTGTGAACTTGAATACTCCTTTTTGCTGTCAACACTGATTAAGGGCAATCAGAAGAGGAAAGAAAAATACAGGAGAAGGCAAGGAAAAGGAAAAGAGAATGCGAGAGACTTAAACACATTCACAATGAAGGAAAGAAGCAAAGCAACTACTGTTCTTTTCCTTCATTCTCTTCCATTCTTCACACCCTCCTCTGGCTTTCTTCACTAAGCAAGCAATAATATTATCTTCAGTAACCCTTCCCTGAGCTCCAATAATTATTGAGCACAATAATCCATTTATAGTATTAACTAGTCCTCAGGAGAAGTCAGCTACAGCTGAAAGAAATGGCCACATGATGGAATCTGCCAAAAGAGTGATTATTATGGAAGAGAAACAGACAAGGCCCAATCTATGTCCAATTAATATGCTACTAAAAGGAGAACCCAAAGGGCTACCCAACTTCATGGAGAATTCAAAACCAGGCCCAACCTTGAGTGAAGATGTGCTACCATTTCTCCACTCCGGAGCTACCACGTGAAGCACATAGCGACAGTCCAGATTCCAGCTGCTGGTTTTGAGCACTGTGCCCATGCTGACAGCCACCCCTTGTCCAACTGTGTCCAATTCCTCCTGGAGCTCTGGTCCAGCTTTTTCCAAGAGGGACTTAGAAAGAGGCCCTCTACTAAGCACGAGATCCAAGGGAACGGAGTTGACAACAACATCGGTCTTAAAGACAAAACCAAAAATTTGTTTCAAATTTTAACAAAAAGCATTCATCAATGATTACTATATTTGAGGCACTGGGCTTGGCACAATTGGAGACAACTAAGATGACTACGGTTTCAGTGATTGAAATATCAACATAAGACAAAGTGTGACTAAATACTTATTGAAGTGACACTTAGGAAAAAAAGAGAGCAGTCAAAAAGTAATCTATGAATGGTATGGCATCACTGAAGGAGTCCAGAGAAAGCTGTTTCAGTAACTAGTGAAGATACCATGGGCAATGTGGGGTTTGAGAAATGGGAAGAATTTCAGCAGGCAGAGCAAGACAGGGAGCAGCATGAACATAGGCATGGTGGGTTGTGAGCTGTGAACAGATTAATTTGATCTGAGAGAGCTTCTGCAGCAAAATGGTATGCTCCAGGCTAGAAATGTTACACTGGGGGTAAACTAGGGGGCCCACCTCGAGTGCCAAGACATCTGGACTCCCTGACAGAAAGGGAGCAGCCCCGGAAGCTTTTTCATCAGTGAATGTGAGCAGATTAATCGGGCTAGATTAGAGAGGTCAAGAGAACAGAGGAGAGGGAATGTAACCAAGTGATTTTCAAAGCTGCCCTGCCTGGGTCACTAAGGAGTAATGCAGAGCAGTTATTACAGCCATGGAAGCTAAGCATCTATGGGAGTGAAAGGAAAGCAAACTATGACTGTTTTTTGTTTTTTGTTTTTTTTTTTTGTTTTTTTTTTTTTTTTTAAGAGAGAGGGTCTTGCTCTGTCCACCCAGGCTGGAGGGCAGTGGCATGATCATAGTTCACTGCAGCCTCAAACTCCTAGGGTTCAAGTGATCCTCCCACCTCAGCATTCCGAGTAGTAAGGACTACAGGTATGAGCCACCATGCCTAGCTGGGAAAGAATGTCTTGATATTTGGTGTCAAAAGAGACAAGGAATGAAATTCATTCCCATAACTGATGCTTGGTCCAAAGAGTTTTTATTTAATTTTTTAAAATGAGACACAACATTATTTTTAACATTTTGAAAGAGTGCAATGGTTAAGAGCCTGAACAAATTCCAATCCTGGCTCTACCATTTGCTAGTTGGGGGATGTGGGCAAATTACCTAACCCCTTTAAGTCTCACTCCCTCATCTGTAAAGTGAGAATAATAATAATCCTAGAATCTGCCGCATGGCAGTGAATGAGAACATGCATGTCAAAAACAGCACAGTGCTGGCTGGACATGATGGCTCACGCCTCTAATCCCAGCACTTTGGGAGGCTGAAGCAGGCGGATCACCCGAGGTCAGGAGTTCAAGACCAGCCTGGCCAACATGGTGAAACCCCATCTCTACCAAAAAAAATACAAAAATTAGCCAGGCGTGGTGGCATGCACCTGTAGTCCCAGCTACTCGGGAGGCTGAGGTGGGAGAATCACTTGAACCCAGGGGGCGGAGGTTGCAGTGAGCCGAGATGGTGCCACTGCACTCCAGCCTGGATGACAGAGAGAGACCCTGCCTCAAAAAAATAAAAAGAAAAAGAAACATATTAGCCTCCCTCCAACCCCTGCCATGCCCCTGCAGCCTACAAGAATTGTCCCCACATATTGCCTGGCACCTGTAACTTCCTCAGGTCCACTTTTCACTTCCTCACTGGTGTTGGGCGCTGATGGCCCCTTAGACTCTGGCCCCAAGCTCACTCTTGCTCAGCATCATTGACAAGATTCCTGTCCTCTGCATACCCTATGCTCTGATTGTTCTGTATCTGCTGTCAGTAAATTAGGAAATTAGTCTTAGATTTACCAAAACACGGCAGGTGTAAGGTATAGAGAACTGTCTAAACGTGTGATATTATGGAGTTTTACATCTACTGGAAATCTAGCAATCTGACCTCTATACCCTTTCAGTTCTCACAAATAATTGGCCGATCTCTATTAGTAAATGATTTGGTAAGAAGCCCAATTATCTAAGGAAAATTGTTTCAAGGCAGGGGTGGAAGGCATGGGATTCTCTCCCTTGATTCTCACCTTGGTCCTTATCTTTCTTCAGCCCTCCATGAGAGAGCCACTGACTAAGTAAAGTCACAGTGCCCTGGTGGTGTTCTGTAAAAGCGACACTCACCTTAGCATTCTGCACACCCTCTTTCACCAACAGCATCTGCAGGCCTCCCGGGGACACCAGGCTTCCTTTTTCCCATGATGTTTTCCCAGGCCCCGCTGCTGCTGGTGGTAAACCTGGCGGGGCAGCTGTATCTGGCAGGGTGGCTTTAAATACAGTTTTCACAGCTTCTGCAAAGGCCTCAACAGTCTTCTCAGATACATCCACAAGGTAGATTTCTTTCAAGCAGTGTCCATCCTTCTTGAATTGGAAGTTTTCCTTGATGGCAGAAACAATGGTCTCCACGCATCGGCCTAAGGGAAAGCCAAAGACTCCAGAACTAATAGCTGGGATGGCTATGGATCGGTACTTGTATTTTTCGGCTAGACAGAGACTGAGTTGCACAGCTCTCCTTAATAGGTACACACACCTCGGGGCCTCATATCCGCTCCAGCGGGGCCCCACTGCATGGATCACGTGGTGGTAGGGCAGCTTTCCTGCCTTGGAGATGGTGGCATTGCCCGGTAGGAGTCTGCCCTCTCTCTTCACTATCTGGTCACAGTCGGCCTGGAGCTCAGGGCCAGCTGCTTTTGAGAGCGCAGCGGCCAGGCCACCATAATGCTTAAGGTCCTCATTAGATGCATTCACCACCACATCGACAGGAAGCCGTGCCAAGTCACCCTGCTGCACAATCAGCACAACGCCAGGGGCCAAGACTGTCCGAGAGAAGCACTTCTGCCCAGCGGGGCTGCCTCCCTCCTTCATTACTTCATTCTCCTGTAGTTCAATGTAACAACCAAACAACCGTTTGATCTCACTTTGATAAAACCGTGCTTTATCCTGGAAGAACTGCTTGGCTCCTGGCTTATCAGTATGGACACTTTTAACACAGACTGAATCCCAGACTTGCTTGACAATGTCCACTGCCTTCAGTACTTCGGTCTTTGAGCCAGTTAGTAAAATGCCTTTTTGTTTGTTCTCAGGATTGAAACTTACCTGCACATTTACCTTCTTTATCTTTGGCCAGAATAGCTTCTTTTCTGTCTTTAAATAGTCAATAACTAAGGAAGGCTTTACTTCAACCAGTCTCTCTATTTTCATGTTTTGTTCAACGAAGTTAAAAAGCAATTTATAGGTTTCATTTACTTCTTTTACACAGCCTGTAATGATGACTTCAGCTGTGGTTTCTGAAGTTAACTCATTGATGATTACAGTGTTTGGGGAGGAATTTTGTTTCTTAAGCAAATTGTGAGTGAGCCCTTTCCATTTCTTGCCATGAAGAACTTCTTTGTTCTCAACTTCAATGCGCTTATAATTTAAGGCACTGAGCATTTGCTTTTCTGCTTCTAACAGGGCTTCAGAAGAACAGCTGGTTAAGAGAACAGTTGTACCCTCTAGCTCATAAAGTGCAAGAATCTTCTGTGCTATGAAAAGACACTTAGAGAATTCTTTCCAGTTTACCTGTTGCAAAAACTGAAAAATCTCAGGAGAAACCTGAATGTTTTTCTGAGCCATGGTGTACACCTTTTCCTGGATTTCACACTTTGCTTTATACACATCTGCACTAGGTCCTTTCAAGCACAAGTGTTGAGTGACTCTATCGTAACAAATCTCTATCTCTGGGCACTCCGTGAGTAAATGGTCCAGTAGACTGCTGTGACACAAAAGAAAATACCTGCCTGGAGAAATGATCATTTTTTCCTTCAAACTTTGCTCTTCCCTTTTAATTTTTTGAGTAGTGCTTTCTATTAACTCCCTGACTTGTACCTCAATGCTTTGGACATCCTCTGATTTCCCTGCTAAGATTACCATCTCCTTAAGTGTATCAAACTCAATCAAAATCCTGTCATCTTTCACATCATTTTTTATGGTGTCCCACATTGTTGGATCCACTTTAATTGGGTTGACTTTATATTTAGACCTGATGCTAGAGAGTGTTGTGGAAGTATCTGCCTGCCAGGTCTTGATTCTCGGTCTTCCTTCATTGACTAAGGTGGCTGCTGGTCTGATGGTAACTTTACCACTGAGTTGGGACCACGTGAGCTCACAGTGACAACGCCTCATTTCATCGTTTATCTCCTCAATGAGGTGATTCTTTTTCTGTAAGAACTTCCATAAGGGAAGATCTAGTGACTCTTCAAATGGTGCTGGAAGCTTGATCAGAGGCTTCTCCTTTCCATACAAGGCTGTGCCCAATGAGGCATAGTATGGGAACACAGAAAGTGGCATTTTATTGAAGTCGAGTTTTGTGGCCATGATGGTGTCTAACACTTAAAAGGAAAGAAGTAAAATAATGTAAGCCCAGGATGATATATGGCAAATAAAAACAAAACAAAATTTTCCTATTTTAGAGAAAAAAAAATCTAATGTTTTTCTAACACTTAAAGGAAAGAAATAAAACAATGTAAGACCAAGATGATATGTGGCAAAGAAAAACAAAACAAAATCTTCCCATTTTAGAGTAAAAAAAACTAATGTTGGTAGAATTTTGATGTTACAGCGTATTAAAAAGCAATATACTCTCAAAGTGCTCAAATATAAACTGATATGTGTTAGCAGTGCACAGGTATCCCTTATTGAATGGAATAATTACTTTCTAGCCAAGATCCATCTATGTTGAAATCTTGTTAATTAAATTCTGTTTACTGTTTTCCTGATATTACTGATATATCACCATCATGTTAAGAAATACATGAGTTTGGTCACAATCGTGAGAATAATGTTTGCCCTAGTATAAAAAATATTTTGGTGCTCAAAGTATAAAAAATATTTTGGTGCTCAAAGTGAAGCTCACCTTAGTATTATGCTATTTGTTCTTCTTGTACAGTCCTATAATTTTAGGCTTCAAAGTTGACTTAGATTAACATTAATACCTCAAAAAGGAGGAGCATAATAATAAATTATTATAGCTTAGCATGTGTCACACACTATTCTGAGTGCTTTACATATATTTAATTCATTTCATCCTCACAACAACCATTTGAGGTAGAGACATTATTATTATCATCCTACTAAAACTGAGGCTAGGAAAGGTTAGATAACTTGGATAGGGTTACATAGACTGCAGATAATTCAGCTGAGATTCAGTGGTTGTCCAACCCCAACGCCCATCCTCTTGCCCCTCTACCAAATCCAAGTTATCATCACTGTCCTCTGAGAGCCCAGCCCCACAGACTATGATTCAGTAAGAACCACACCTCCTCCTGGCCCTGCTGGAATCTCCCTTTTCCACTTCACTGGGTGTGTTTGCATGTGTGTGCATGTGCATGCTCTTCTCTTCCAAGCCCCTCCTCGTTTTGTGTAAGTTATTAAGCAGAGCATCTGCAGAAAGGGAATCAGAATGTGCTCCAATAACAACTTGGGTTAAAAGAGCAACCTTTGTGGAAAGATGTTAAAAATAACTTCACCTTGTGTATGATTGGGTCCTAGAGCTGGTATCAAGCATGAGGGAAAAGCAGTGGCCTTCAGAGGCCCAAACATATAGCTTCAACTTCCCTGTGGCAGCCCTGAGCTTTATAGCTTCAACATGGCTCTGTGGCAGCCCTGAGCCTGGGCAGTATTTATGATTACCAACTTACTGAGCACCATCAGGCACCAGGCTCTTTGCTGGTATTATTTCATTTCAACCTCACAGCATTCCTCTAAGTAACCAGTAATGTGAACCCCATTTTACAGATAAGAACACAGAGGCTTAGGTGGGTTAAAGTAACTCGGCCAAGATTACAAAGCTAGTAAGCACCAAGGCCAGGAATCAAACTCAGGTCTGTCTGACTCAAGAACCATCACAGATGTCACCTTAATATGCCTTAAAGTCTCCATCCTGCTTTTCTTGTCTGTAAGGACAAAGTTTATCTAACTGTGCAGATTATTAATGGGATTGTGAGATACTGTAGCAGAAAAAACAGCAAAAGATCTTACAGACATAGGTGTTCAATGAAAATTCTCTTAAGAAATAAAACAGATTTTGTGAAGTTGAACCAAATAATTTTACAGTAAAATGCCTAATTTTTTCCTTTCAAGAAATCTACATAAAACACAATATTGTACAATAAATTCTCTTTTAAACCAAGCTCTATCTACCATCTGCCTCATTATTGGCAACCCATTGTGAATGGTGAAATATCCTATAAGAAAAATTAACGTTATAGGTGAACAGGAGATTTGGAAAGAGGAGAGAAGTTAGGGTATATGTTATGGGACCAGAATACCCAAGTTCAAATCCTGACTATGTCACTCACTAGCTGTGTAATCTTGGGCAAGTTATTGGACCTTTCTGTGCTTCAGTTTCGTCATGTGCAAAACAGGGATTATAACAATCAAGATGCCCATAAGACTGTCTGAATGCACTTGGTAATAACCTGCGAAGCTATGCAAATGTAAGTTAAAATTAAAAGAAGGAGAAGCTAAGCTGGGTGCAGTGACTCACGCCTATAATCCCAGCACTTTAGGAGGCAAAGGAGGGAGTATTGCTTGAGCCCAGGAGTTCAAGACCAGACTGGGAAACATGGCGAAACTCCATCTCTACTAAAAATACAATATATTAGCTGGGTATGGTGGCATGCACCTGTACTCCCAGCTACTCTGGAGGCTGAGGTGGAAGGATCACCTGAGCCTGGGGAGGCTGATGCTGCAGTGAGCCATGATCATGCCACTGCACTCCAGCCTGAGAGACAGTGAGACCCTGTCTCAAATACATAATAAAATGAAAATAAAAAATAAAAAGGAGAAGCTAGAGAACATAAAAGAAAGTCAGTAAATCACAGATGGTGGAGGACAGAGAATGAGTGAGTTTGGAGGAGGAGGTGTGGTCAAAAAAGTTAGATGGTGCAAAGAGATCAGGGAGAAAGGGAACCTTTGAGAGTGCCTCATAGAGTTTACATGAATAGCTCTGGCAGAAAATAAACCTTAATTAAATAGTACTTAACATTAGTTGTATATGTGCAGAATAGCCCTTCTGAGGACAAACCCAACAGCCCCATGCCCTAAAGATGTTTGAAAGCCCTGAAAATATCAACTCTCACCACAAACTGGGAGGTTAATTTCTAGGGTAGAGGATTTTATGTACCCCTCTCTCTCCCTGGGCCCAAGACCAGGCAGAGGGAGATTTGAATATGTGACAGAAGCTCCTCTTTGTCCCTTTGCCCAAGGAATAGTAGGTCTTTCATTCCATTTTAATTCAAACCATACTTTCATCCAGTTTTCCCAACACATGAAAACTGAGTTGGGAAAAGGGAGGTTCCTTCAAGTACCTTGTTGAAACAACTTCTCTCAAGTGGGTGGCATACCACATTATCCTATGTCATGCCCCACCCTGATTAATCCCAGGCACAGTTTTCCTTCTTTTCCCAAGAAGCCTGGCCCCCTAATTCCTTCTGCTCAGCCTTGACTTCTGAACACAAGTGGAACCTCCAAGCTGACCTTGCATATGCCTCAGAGAACTGGCAGTCTATATCACAAAACACTCAGAAGTGTTTCTCTAAGGTTCAGCTAGACATGGGTTTCACAGGGTCACTCCAAACAATAGTCCAGCAGGCATCCACTGGTCATGTGAAACCACTCCTGTCCATTTTTGAATGATGATACAATAGGTGAAAGGAGTGGTACTTTATAGGAACTCTATGAGTTGCTGAGTATTTCTTTACCTAACCTTGTCATAATTAATTTGAGAGCTTCTATCAAGTGTGTGGCTAAAACACAGATCATCTCCTTTTTAATATATTATTTCAAAGATCCCAAGAATATATTTTTCAGCCCATCATAGGTAGAGACTCATGAAAAAACCTCCTTATATCTTTCAAAAACTTGATTTTGCTTCTCTAAAGTCTGAATCACTGGCCTTATTAAGCATCATATCGCAGATGAACAGGATTATTTATTCAATTCCCAAAGAAATACATAAATAAACAAATAAAACACATCAGAACTAAATTTATAACTATTAAGCTCTGCTAATAATGGCCTAGATTATGCCAGGTATGACAGGTTAATAAATATTACCTTTTCTGTCAAAAAATTCAATCAGAGCTGAACTCTCTTCAGGAAAATATTCAACATTGGCAACTCTTCCCCCTCCATTATAGGGATTTTCAAAGAAAAGTTTTAAACTGTAGTCATCAGCACCAGGTGGCAGGTTTTCAACCCTGATTGTGTTTGTCACTTCCAGAAGTCTTGGAGAAAGCTGAAGTTGTTTAATTGAATGGTGCTTGGTACAATCATCAACAAATCTTATAGTATCTACAAACCAAAAAAAAAAAGAAAGAAAATCAGTAAATTTTTATTGTATCTTTATGTTGTATAGAAGAAAATGTCTGGCTACTAATTGAAATAAAAGGAAGAGCTAAGCACTCCATTTTTAGACACAAGATTTTAATACCTACATGAGAATTTACATACCTAAAACTCCCAGTCGCTGGGCGACACACACACGAATGTCTTACTTGGATTGCTGCCACTGAGCTGTGTCCCCACTTCCTGCCCCAGACCTCACCAACCCTCCTGAGGGTTTTCCCTACAAATCTCATTTCACCCCTTTCTCAAGCCCTTCAATGGCTCCCCATTACCTGCAGGTATGAGCGTTGACACTCCTCAGCCAGGTGTACAATGCCCTTGGTGATGTGACTCGAAACTAATTTCCAAGCATCACCTTCGGTTATTCCCTGCCATTCATTTTATTGTCCGTGTTGCCACAAAAACTAGTCATTATTTTTGTAAAACCCCTTCTCCTTGAAAGGGTCTTTGTGTATACAATTTCCTGCATTTGGAATGCTCTTCTCTAGTTTTTGTCTTGATCCTATTCATCTTTTAGGACTCAACTCAATTGTCTCTTTAATAATAAGTATTGGCCGGGCGTGGTGGTTCATGCCTGTAATCTAAGCACTCTGGGAAGCCAAGGCAGGCGGATCACCTGAGATCAGGAGTTCGAGAAAAGCCTGGCCAACATAGTGAAACTCCGTCTCTACTAAAAATACGAAAATTAGCCAGGCATGGTTGTGCGCGCCTGTAGTCCCAGCTACTCAGGAAGTTGAGGCAGGAGAATCACTTGTAGTGAGCTGAGATCACGCCACTGCATTGCATTCCAGCCTGGGCGACAGAGCAAGACTCTATCTTAAAATAATAATAATAATAAGTATTGATGGTGGGCCCACGATGTGCCAGGCACTGTGCTAGGATCTGAGGATACAGAAATAAATATAACAAATCTTTGCCAGTGCATCATCCATGTGGGAGCAAGTCTTGAGAGCAAATAAATTGCCTATTGTGGGATCAAATGAGGTGGGAAGACTAATACTGGGAATCAGACAATGGTTCCCAGAGTAAGTGGCTCTGATCTGGGTTTTGAACAATGAAGAGGGGTTTACCAGATGGATAGGGAAAGATCTATGTCAAGCAGATGGAATATATTCTGGACATTATGAATATAAACTTCACAGAAGCAAGACCAAGCCACCTTGTTTGGGTCCCTTTCCTCCCATTTCCCACAGCTTTTTGTTCACAGCTTAGAGACAGCTTCTTCTCTTGGACCTTCTTTATTTGTTTACATATGGGCTTCCTCCCTGACCCCAGGCTATGAGTTTCTCAAGGGCAGGAACCTGATTATTCATCTCTGTGCCCACAGCACCTAGACCAGTGCCTGGCACATATTAAGCATTCAAGATTCTGATCGATGAACAAAAGCAAGTCCATTTAGTTTTTCCTTTGTAAGAAACAGTAATAAATTTGAAATAAGAATAGCTCCCTTTCAGTCATTACTACGTCTCAGGTACTACGTTAAGTTGTTAAGCACTTTTCTTTTTCTTTTCTTTTCTTTTTTTTTTTTTCAGACACGGGGTCTCACTCTGTCACCCAGGCTGGAGTGCAGTGGCATGATCTTGGCTCACTGCAATCTCTGCCTCCCAAGCTCAAGTGATCCTTCCACCTCAGCCTCCTGAGTAGCTGGGAGGACGGGTGTGCGCCACCATGCCTGGCTAATTTTTGTATTTTTTTTGTAGAGATGCAGTTTCACTATGTTGCCCAGGCTGCTCTCAAACTCCTGGACTCAGGCAATCCATCTGCCTTGGCCTCCCAAAGTGCTGGAATTACAGGCGTGAGCCACTACACCTGGCCCTATGTTAAGTACTTTTCAAACATTATCTCATTCAATCTTTACAAAAACTATATTAGGTAGGTATTATTGTACCATTTTATAGATGAGGAAAGTGAGGCATAGGGAGGATAATAACTTGGCCAACCTCATATAACTAGTTAAATGGCAGAGCTGGAATTTTGACTCCATGACCTGTGCTCTTAACCGCTCCACTGCCATGGCCATGGAATAGTGAAGGCTTAGAATTGGAAAATGTACTTGTTTTGGGTGGTGACAGCTCTCTTCCCAATCTCAGAGATTGTCTACAGATTCCTGACAATTACCTTAAAGAGCACTCATTGTCTGCATCACACGCACTTACTCATACCTACATATGTGAATGACCATGAAAGTGCTAAGGACATATCAGGTAAAGAGGTAAGAGGACAGGTGTAGAGATAGGCTGCCTGGGTTCAAACCCAGTTCATCCATGCATTCGCACCTTTGTGTTTTGTCTCCCCAACTGTAACATGGGGATCAATAATAATAATCTCATAAGGTTTTGGAAAGGACAAATAAATTAATACACGTAAAGAGGCTGGCATAGCACCTGGCTTATAGTAAGCACTCTATGAGAGTGTGTTATCATTACCTTCCATGAAGTCCAGTTTGGTAATACAAATATTTACTTCACCCAGTGAGATAACACATGTGAAAAAGCCGACTCCTGTACTTGGAATCACTTGGACTTCAGATGTCTATTTGCTGTGTTCACGCACTTTCTTACCCTCTCTGCCTGTCTCTCTCTCTCTCTCAGTCACACACACACACTTGGGCACTCCTGCAATAAAGTTAATTCTACTAAAAATATGGAATTTGGTTTCAATATGAATATGCTTCACTTTCAAAATAAAAAAAACTATATTAACTTGGAAACCTCTCTTAGTAGCTACTAGAAAGAGTCAAACTTTCAGAGATGTCCCCCTAAGAGGTATCTCAAGTCTCATGATGTGGTACAAAGAAGACAGGCAGAGGAAGTGTCACTTCATCTTACCTATGTGCTTTTGAAAGGTAACAACAGCAACATCAAAATCTCTTATTATTTCCACTTGAAAGTCATCATTAGACAGGCCACTTATGTTCTCCACTAACAAGATTAGCATTATGTCAGTCACATTTGCCTTGAGGTTTTCAAATGCCACCAAAGAGGAAATATTTTCACATTCCTCTGGGATATCTTCCATTTTGTCTAATCCACCATCAAGAGGGAGTTTTGTATCCAATTCTTCTGACACATCTGATTTTAGGAAGACAAAAGAGGTACAAGATGTTATACTTATCTACCATGGTCTTAGCAAAGTAAGTTATCACAAGGCACTGCCCTCTCTCCTTGCCAATCTCTTGGCTAACTCACAGAATAACAGACCTTGGATGGCTTTTTGCTTTATTTAAATAAAAACAACATGTAACATGTAATTGCCTATTATTAAAATTCATATTTTTAAATTTTCATTTTGACAAAATAGGTCTGTATTTTCAAGATTATAGGCATTATAGGGATAAAAAGATTTTCATTTATTGCTGGTGGGTACATATATTAACCTCTGTGGAAATGAATTTTAAAAATTTGTCCAAAATTATTAGTGATAAGAAAAAATATTCACATTACTTAGCTAAGTAAATAGTCATTTATAGAACAATTTACATTATAGGACTATTTTTATATGTGAATTTTATATTAAAATTATACATAATTGAAGTTTAATTTTATTATACCCTTTTCTGCCTGGCCTTTTTGAGGAACCTGCCTTATATTTCCTAGCACTTGATATCTATTTCTAGCACAGCACCAGACTAAAATTATTCAACAAAGCTTCTCAAAAGCGAGACACATGTTTATTCATCCTTGTATTGCTAGCATATGGTATATAATTGAGGCTCAGTAAATGTTTGCTGAATTGGAGATTTACTGCTTGGGTCACTGGAGGAAAGCAAGACTATCTGATGATGCCCAAACATGGGTATCACCTAACACATTATACTCCAAAAAATAGTTAAGTTCCCATCACTGAAAAGAAAAAAGGATCCCTATAGCAAATGATTAAGGAATACACACAGAAAGTGAAATGGCCAAGGCCTGCTGTATACGAAGCCCGCTGAATGGCAATCACCCAGCTGACTCATTCCTCTCCACTGTTGACTGTAAAAATGAGTTACACATACACACAAGGTCAGTCTCACTGTATGCTTGTCCACTGAAGCATGGTGGGTACGATCTGATCTTTAGGCATTCTGTGGACAGTTTTTCAATGGGGACTCTTATCGTGTTCAAGACCCTGGATGTAAGGAGAAGTAAGAATATAAAAAAACATTAGTTAAGAAATTTACAGATTTTCTAATGGAGGTATATGAGGAAAATGACATGTGTAAATGTTCGCAGTGGCCACATAAAATGCTCTGTGTGCACCAAATCCATTTTGCTTACTTCCTGGACAATATTTCTCAAGTTTTCTGCAGTTCAGTTTCAACAGTAGTGTCCCTGCAGTTAATGGAATATGGGTGGAAGTGAATTCCACCTTCAGGCCTGGCCAATATAAATATCCTTAATATGAAACCCCATTCTCCCTTGCAGTGACCTTGGAAACCACATTTAAAGATAATGGTGTCAAAGGGTGGAAGGAGCCTGGGTCCCTGAATGACCACATGAAGTGACTGACACTCCCACCACCATCACAGCTGCCAACTACACTGAACTGTGATGCGAAGGAGAAATAAACTTGTGTTGTGGCCAGGCGCAGTGGCTCATGCCTGTAATCCCAGCACTTTGGGAGAACGAGGCAGGCGGATCACTTGACATCAGGAGTTCCAGACTAGCCTGGCCAATGTGATGAAACCCTGTCTCTACCAAAAATACAAAAATTAGCCGAGTGTGGTAACACACGCCTCTAATCCCAGCTACTCAGGAGGCTGAGGCTGGAGAATCGCTTGAAGCTGGGAGGCGGAGGTTGCAGTGAGCCGAGATTGTACCACTGCACTCCAGTCTGGGCGATTCCGTCTCAGAAAAATAAATGAATAAATAAACAAACAAACTTGTGTTGTGTTAGGTTACTGATTTGGGAGGTTGTTTGTTACAACAGTTAGACCACTCTGTTGTGTGCTGGCTATCATGCCATGCACACACACTCATGCTAAATTAAAAAAAAAATAGCTTAAGCATAAAGCAACTACATAAATTAGCACTAAGTGAGACAGGTATGACAAATCACAATGACTGCTGGGCTAGGGAGGAGGCTATATGTGTTTAATCCCTGCTGCCACTCTTTAGCCATGTGACCTTGGGCATGTCTCTTAATCATAAAATGAGGGTATAGGACTAAGTGAACTGGACTGAAAGAATCTTTCCAGCAATATAGTTTTATAATCCCATCAATATTAGACGCTTCACCACAAGAAAGGCTTAATTGACCAAAAAAGAGCATTAACAATCAGGCCAAGAGTCCCAGAAAGAGATAAAAGGGCTGGGCTGGCATGGAAAGACTTGAGAGAAGAGGAGGAAGTTCAGCAGGTCTTGAAGGGTATGTGGAATTGGGTAGAGAAAAGTGGGCTAGAGGGAATGGTGAGCAACAGAAGCACAGGCAGAGTGCTGCAACTGCATCAGACAATTTAGAAAACAGTGATTTGACTGATGTGGCTCAAAAGGCGCACAATTGTGCAGAATGAAGAAAATGAGGCCAGAAAAGCAGACTAGATCCAGAAGGTGGTCTGGACTTTATCTCCCAGCTTGTGGTAAGGGTGAGTCATGGAAGGTTTCCATGAAAAGGATGGCAGGCTATTTAGCAATAGTGCAAAGGGCTGGTCAGGTTTAAGGAGAAGGGTGGCAGACACAGACAGAGCAGGCAGGGAGCTCCTGCCATGTTGAACTTGTGAGGTAAAAAGGAAGGGCCCGTGGTGAGAGAAGGATGGATAAGGAAAACTTTAAAAGAAAATGAGGCTGGGTGCAGTGGCTCATGCCTGTAATCTCAGCACTCTGGGAGGCCAAGGCGGGAGGGTCATTTGGGGCCAGGAGTTCAAGACCAGCCTGGGTAACATAGTGAGACCACGACTCCACAAAAAATGTTAAAAATTGGCTGGGCATGGTAATGCATGTTATAATAGCCCCAGCTACTTAGGAGGCTGCTGTGGGAGGATTGCTTGAGCCAGGGAGGTCGAGGCTGCAGTGAGCCAAGACAGCCTGAGCAACAGAATGAAACCCTCTCTCCAAAAACAATAAAATAAAATAAATAGGTCTCTATGATCAGCAGATGTGAAAGGAGTGATGCGTGAAATGTCTAGTAGGTGACGAGCAGACTGATTGTGTACTTCAAGAGAAATGAGGAAGCCAGAAAGGGCCCTTGCTTGGGGAGGAAGATGACACATGTGGCTTCAGGCATGTTGGCTCTAATATACTTCCCAACAGGAAGGTCAGACAGAAGTTCTGGAATTGAGAGAGGAGTCCAGGCTGGGGATATGGATTTGAAAACACCAGAATTTCCGACCACAGGTAAGCAGTATTTCTCTGCTCTTGCCCTTGTCTCTTCTCCAGGACCTTCCAAGTGCTGGTTTCCACCTTTCAGACCCAGCCCAACTAAGCTTATCCTGGAACAGGACATTAGCTCAGTGCTGACTTCACCTGATCTTGGTGTGTGTGCCTTTCCCTGCCCTGTCAGCTCCTGCAGACGCCTCAGTTTTAAACTTTTTGCATGAGGTTTCGGGCATGCTTAGTGCATTCATGGTGCAATGTCTTCTGCACCAGGGCTGTTGTAATTATTAATTATGAGTATTGGTTGGTGGCGTTGGTTGTGGTTCATTGTCCGGAGAGTACGTTCCCCATCCCTGAGAAACAGAATCCAGTCAGTACCTATTCTCCACCCACACTTTGCTCAGTTCTGAAACTGTCTACCCCATTCCAATTAATTTCAAGAGTCCCAGCCTTAGGGCCATAGTCAGGGATCAGTGTGGGGTAACCATTCAGCAAAGAACCTCTGCTTCCTTTAAAGGAGCCAACTTAAGTATCTGGTGTAGACAACCCAAATTCCTAGCTGGCTACTATCCTTAGAGTCCAGGTCGGGTAAAAACAGGTTAGAAAATGGGCCTAAAATTCCCAGGACAATGAAAAGTCTATTGGTGGAAGGGGACTGGGGCTTTCGCTGGGAATACATTTGGGAGTTTTAAGCAAATTTAAAACAGTACTAACATGTCAGTTAAGACAGAGTTAAGGTAAAAATCTATGAAGTCATAAGAAACACAGATGTGATTAAATTTTAGATCTAGGGCTATAGAGCAAGAATAAATATGCACATATAAAACCACTTCCTAGTCTGAAGTTGAGCTTGACGGTATAGCGCTTTGGCATCTTCCAAGAAGAAGATAAGGATTTAGGAGATCCCAACGACAAACACTGGGAGCTGGGGGAGCCAGTTCGACAAGTGAGGAATGGAAAGCAGGAATTACTCTAAAGAGACAAAAAAAAAAATCCTATTTCATAAAACTCCTGAGCTGCCTAAGAAAGCCATGCATACTAAATTCTACAGTTTTAACAGGACATCGATATTAGACAAAAATAAGCCATATATCTCTATCCAATCTTTTTGCCAAATATAGGCAGCTCTCACTCTAGTGCCATTTTCCAAAAGAGAAAGTTGCAGAAAAC
This sequence comes from Homo sapiens, assembly GCF_000001405.40. Lineage (NCBI taxonomy): Eukaryota > Metazoa > Chordata > Mammalia > Primates > Hominidae > Homo > Homo sapiens. Next base: position 122,687,908 of record NC_000003.12, on the reverse strand, counting down.
TACATGTTCTCAAGATAATTTCAATATTACAGGACAATGATTATACATTGTTCATTTTCCTTAAGGTTTAGGTATATGTACCACTTTATCTCTCTAGCTCGGTTCATTCAGTGTAGTTCACTTCCTACCCTTTATAATAGCATGCTTAGCTATGAAAACTAGTTGCTTCTTTAGTGAATGTCAAGTGGCATGGCAGCTCAATGCCCAGACGCTAGTTGAGCATTGGAGTCCACAACAGCTAATTGGTCGCTGGCTGTTTCCTAGAGCAGATGAGATCAGAAGAGCTGCTGTCTTTGGGAGGACTGCAATCCTCCAATCCAATCCTGCACCAATGCTCAAAAGCCTATGTTCACAGAGAAGTCACAACTTCCTGTTTTGGCTCCAGAGCACAGCACCCTCACACCCAGTGCTCAGGAAGCAGTGCTCATCAACTAAGCCACATGTGACTCCCTTGGACATATCGTGTCCTTGCTTCTCTATGGCTGGCTCAGCACAAGTGGAAAGTAAAGATCAGCTCATCCCCAGCTCTCTGGCACTTCTTTGCCCTCCCCTCTATTGCAAGGTGTCTTCCAGTCCCCAGAGAGAGCAGTTCCAATCATTATGACCTGAGCGCTAAAAGCCACCCTCTGCACAGCTGGCTCAGAATATGAAGATGATGCAGTCCAAGGCAGCTCCCAGCGGAGCACATCCTGCATAGTGGAAGTCAAGAAGAGAGGGCTGACTCCCTCAAGTGCTGCCTTTAATAAATGCAAAACAGCTTGGTGAATGTCAGAGTCATCTCAACTGAGATTTTACCTGGTTCTTTAACATCTTCTTTGGTCTTGGATTCCTGAAACACAAACAATAAAGTAGCATTAATACATGATTAACAATTTATTTACATAAGAAAATGTCCCTGGGACCAGCCTGGAGATGGAGGGTAAATAGAAACAATAATGAAAAGGTCTGATAAGGGTGCTCTTGAATACATCTGGGGCCATATATAGTGGCATATTCACTTGCAAGTCACAAAAATCACCAATGAAGATGAGACACAAATAACAGAAACCTCAATTAACACCAAGCATTTGGGAATATGAGGTACATCCTACATCAGAGAAACATCTTAGCTCATAATTTTTCCCTTGTTTAATATTTATTGAGGCTGGACTTGGTGGCTCACACCTGTAATTTCAGCATTTTGGGAGGCCAGTGTGGGAGGATCGCTTGAGGCCAGGAGTTCAAGGCCAGCCTGGGCAACATAGTGAGACCCCATCTCTACAAAAAAAAATTAGGAAAAAAAATTAGCCAGGCATAGTGATGCATGCCTGTAGTCCCAGCTACTTGGGAGGCTGAGGCAGGAGGATCACTTGAGCCCAGGAGTTCAAGATTACAGTGAGCTATGGTGGTGCCACTGCACTCCAGCCTGGGATACAGATGAAAGCAGTCTCTAAAAAAGATAAAAATTAAATTAAGGACGGGTGTGGTGGCTCACACCTGTAATCCCAGCACTTTGGGAGGCCAAGGCAAGTGGATCACATGAGCCCAGCAGTTCAAGAGCAGCCTAGGCAACATGGTAAAACCCCGACTCTACAAAAAATACAAAAAATTAGCCAGGTGTGGTGGCATGTGCCTACAGTCCCAGCTACTGGGGAGGCTGAGGTAGGAGGATCACCTAAGCCCAGGAGGTCAAGGAGGCAGCAAGCCATGATCATGCCACTGCACTCCAGCCTGGGCAACAGAGTGAGACCCTGCCTCTAAAAAAGAAATAAATAAAACAAATACAAATAAAACATTTACTGAGTGTTTATTATATATAACAAGAACTGTGTCATGTGCTTTATACAGATCATCTTGTTCAACCCTCACAATAATCCTGCAATCTGTTGTTGGATCATTAATGTTACTATTCCATTTTACAATTGGGGTAATACTTAATACAGGTAGTATGGATTGCTGTCTCCTCAAAATGACATAGAAAATAAAACAAATATAACAGGTTACAGGTTATAAAGAACTCTGGAGACACAGACCCCAAATTTTACATCCAAAACCACCATTATTATAATCCCCAAATCTTGGCTTTTCCAAATGTGTCTAAAATCACATAAAAAGTACCCCCAGCAGGGTGCGGTGGCTCATGACTGTAATCCCAGCACTTTGGGAGGCCTAGGTGGGCCGATCATGAGGTCAGGAGTTTGATACCAGCCTGGCCAATATGGTGAAACCCCGTCTCTACTAAAAATATAAAAATTATCTGGGCATAGTGGCATATGCCTGTAGTCACAGCTACTCAGGAGGCTAAGGCAGAAGAATCACTTGAACCCAGGAGGCAGAGGTTGCAGTGAGCCAAGATTATACCACTGTACTCCAGCCTGGTTGACAGAGCGAGACTCCGTCTCAAAAAAAAAAAAAAAAAGTACCCCCTCCTACTTTATCCCATACTACCCTACCCTACCACTGCCCTCACTCCCCCTACATTTGTAATCTGCTTTTCTCGCTGCAGTTTGCTTCATGCTTTTCTTTCCACTATATTTTCTTCATGGTGATTCCCATCTCACACACCTTGGGAGACCTAAATCCCTTTTATTCATGCCTAAAGTTTACTTGCTTTTGTTAGAAGTTCCTCTTCAAAGACATGATCGATTTCATCTGGGGTTGCAGGTAACTGGACAGTTAACTTGAATGTTCCTTTTCCTTGCCATACCAACTCATGATTTTTTCTCTCCAGAACCTTCTGCCGAACTGAAATGTCCAAAGGGGGGAAAAAAGACAAATGACAAGCAATCTTTATTTACAAAATTATTCTATGATTTCCGTGGGCTGCATTACCATCAATCAATGGCTTGGTCGGTTTCTCAAGAGAGGCTATATGTGAAGTAAAAGAGGAAAAGTTTAGCAAGCAAACATGGATTTGAATTTCTTCCTTAAACTGACTTTTTAATATTGAGCATGTTCCCTAATAAGCCATACTTATAAGGCCTCAGTTTTCTTGTCTATTTGTAAGGTTAATGGAGACTGTTTTGTATGAGTGCCACGTGTATTAAATTGAAGAAACATTATAAAGAACTTGGTACAGGACCTGACACTCAGGAGGTACTCAAAAGGTAGCAATATTTATTCTATATTGAAGTGAATTAAATTAAAGCATCCTTCAATGGGAGCCAGTGAAGATTGGGTACTGGGACATGCCATGATGAAAGTCACGTTTTAGGAAGGTGGCTAGGTGGCTGTAAGCAGGAGCCTAGTTAGAAACAGGTCTCACATCTGATAGTAAAAGGAGTATAAAAGAAGGGGGAGATTTTTGCAAAAAAAAAAATGAACAAATTAATAGATTAGCATATCAGGCAGCTTGGCTGTAGTGAAACAACTGAACAGTGGACATAGAGTCCAAAGATCTGGATTTGAATTCCAACTCTACCACAAATAGCTGAGTGAATACCTTAACTTCTCTCAACTCTCAGTTTCCTCACTTAAAGTGGTGTCCATGAATGCACACTGTAACATCCTCAAGAACTACGCAGATGTGAGTTACGATTATAAAAAGGAGCAGCCAGAGAGATATGAAGAAAATCAGCATATCTCAGTCCATGAAGAACGGGAAGAAGTGAGTTTCAAGGAGGAGGCATGATCAACATAGTCAGATAGTACAAAGAGGTCAGGGAAAAAAGGAGTTTTTGAGAGTGCCCTACAGGTCACAGGTGTAGCTCTAGCATGAATGTTGGGTCACTATGCTGTGTTCTGATATGGCTGGCCTGATGAGGCCAAGGATATAGATCAGAATCTTTCATGAATAGGAGCATGATAGCTTTCCCACCTCAACCCTCTGTGAAGAGGGTGGAGGAAGTGGGGTCTTAATTGGATGCCAACTCAGAAATAGGCCTCAGAAACAACCTGAGAAGGAACGCCAGCTTCTAATCTCACTCTTTATGAGGAGGGCAGATGTTTCCACACAAACTCCTGAAGGGCTTTACTAAACCAAGGTGGGGATTGAGGACTGGATAGGACCCCTGCAGCCTGACAACAAGCTAAATTTTGTAAGTCAAGTTATTTAGAGTCATGGACCTCTGTGTTACAGTCCTTTTCTTATTCCCTAGACTTTGATAAAGTCCTGTCTAGGCATCTAAATGTGCCAGTCTGTTCTCAGATTGTGGGCAATATTTATGGGCACAAGTATTTCAGGAGAACAGTTGGTAATAATATGGGTATATGATCTCCAAAAAGGAGAAAGTCAATCTGGGAGGAAAAAGCTGAAACTCTGATGTCCAACCTCCCTTACCCAAGTGGACAGTCTTCCACCTGCACCAACTTTAGATCATCAACATTTAATTTTATTTAAGGAGAAGATGGGTTCTTACCACAAGGAACCCGACAACAACCAGGAACCAAACTATGTTGGTAAAGTATGATAAAATAGACACATCTGAAACAGGGCTTAAAATGTTATGTCAATTTACACCAACTTTTCAGAAATCCAGTGAACTATATAAAAGTGAGATACAGCTTCCCATTTGTTTCTATTTGCTATACATGAATAAATACGGAGAAGTGCTGGTGGGCTCATTCTTGTTATCTGCCTATTACAGTTTATATGAATCAAATCAGGTTATGCTATGGGCCCGCACCTGTTGAGGCCACTTCCTGGCATGGAGGGTGGAGAGTGTCCTCTGCAGAAGAAGAATGCACTTCTGGGACTTCAAGCGTAGGTCATTCATTGTTAGCAAATTCCTGACCCTTGTTACTGAGAAAGTGGTTCCTCAAGTAGGAAACTGAAACTGACTAGGGATTTTCCACCCCCAAGAACTTAGACCATACTAGGTTTCGAGTTTGTTTTTGTTTGTTTGTTTCTTTTTGTTTGTTTGTTTTTGTTTTGTTTTAGATGGAGTCTTGCTCTGTTGCCAGGCTGGAGTGCAGTGGTGCGATCTCACCTCACTGCAACCTCTGCCTCCCTGGTTCAAGCAATTCCCCTGCCTCAGCCTCCTGAGTAGCTGGGACTATAGGCGCACACCACCACGCTCGGCTAATTTTTTTGTGTGTTTTAGTAGAGACAGGGTTTCACCATGTTGCTCAAGGATGGTCTCGATCTCCTCAACTCGTCATCCACCTGCCTCAGCCTCCCAAAGTGCTGGGATTAACAGGCGTGAGCCACCACGCCCGGCCGGTTTTGAGTTTTAATAAGTTTTGGGTCATCTGTGCTGGGGGGTAAGACAAGAGGGGCCACTGGAGCAGCCTGGGGGTGGAGGAAGAGGAGTAGTGGGCTGGGGCCGGTCAAGGATGGAAGCCCAGCAGGAAGACTGAAATCTTTTCTGCTTGGAGGGCTAGAATTGAGTTATTTTATCATCACAAAATTATACTTTGTGCTATTTGTATTTTCATGCTGTTTAAATTTGTATAATTATTTCTTTTTGTTCATTTGGGGTTAACATTAACTACGGAAATTCTGAAACTTGAACACATTAGGGTCACCTGGGCTGCCGGTTAAATACACGCTTCCCACCCACCCCACATTCACTGAACCTGAATCTCTAAAACAGAGCTGGGAAGGTGCCTGGTTAACCTGCTCTCCAGGTGATTCAGATGCAGGTCAGACCTACTTCTAAGGATAATGGAATCTAAAGGAGAAAGAAGCATCCTTAAGGGCCAGATCGATGGTGATGCTGACCTCTGAAGTCAAAGTGGGGAAAACCCTCAAGGAAAAGTGACACCCAAAAGAGAAATGACTAATATCACACAGTTGCCCTTCTGAGCACTCCTTGGTAAAATTAATCCTAGGAAAACATGGTATTTTGTTTTCATAAGGGCCATGAGCCAAGCATATCTCCTGTCCCCCTCCTTCCTTCCTTCTGTGCGCCATTCTTTTTCTGTTTCATTTTTCCTTTTTGGATCCCTGCTTGGGCACTCTAATTGCATGGCCTCAGCCTCAGCCTCCTTGCCTCTCCTCTGGCCCGAATGCTTCTCCAAATCTAGCGACATGAAAGCGGAATTAGGGGTTGACTAGATCCCGATAGGTCATCATCCATAAGATGCCAGTGGAAAAGGTGCCCATTCTGGGAGCTGCAGGTCACTGGCTTCCCATTGCAGACCAGGGAGGCCCTTGAGCCAGCAGATCACCTCTGGGCTCTTGGCCCACCAAGTAGTGGTGGGTCTGTAAGGAGGGAACTTTGCCGACTTTCCCTCCAAAGCTCAAATCTCCCAACCCACAATCACTTCAGAATATCATCCTTGCTCCCAATCTGAGGGCCACTAGAGACTCGGAGAAGAGGCCCCGGCAGGCCCTCGACAATGGGCACCTGTGGTCGATCGACAGCCCCTCCAATGTGGCCGCTGTGACGGCTCTACGTTGACATTCAGGCAGTGTGATTTTAGGTAGCGCCTCTGCCCCTCTCCCAAGTGACCCCGGGACCCCTGGGAATCTCCAAGAACCACAAGGAATCTCTGTGACTTGCCACGTTTCTTAATCAGTTTCCTTCCCCACACAAGAATAATAACAACAGGAAAAGACAGAAAAGGATGATAAGAGGATAGACTCACTTCCACAACAACAACAACAAACAATAACACCACCACAACAGGGAAAGACAGAAAACGATCGAGGGATAAAGAGTTACTTGCGCGGTTCCGCCGCCACCTCCGGGCCGCGCCATTAAGCGCCTGGAAGCGCAGGGCGCCGGGGAACCGCAGCGCCCCGGGTGCGCTCGGAATCCATTCTGCCGCCCCCGCCCCCGCCCCCGCCCCGGCCACCTCCGCTACAGCAGCCGCCGAAGTCGGGCGGGTCACCCTCCCGTGCGTGCCCTGCCGCCATTTCCCTGGAGGGAGGGCAGAGGTGCCCCCTCCTCACCCCACCCCTCGCGCCCCTCACCGTCCTCCGGGTAGAAGAACACCAGGAAGCGGGATGGGCTCCTGGGATCCTGGCGGACCTCACACTCGCCGCCTCCCGACCTCTTCGGGCTCTGGAAGTACATCTGCAACTTGGTGTTCAAGTTCTTCGGGGGGTCGGGGCCCCAGGAGCCCTCGACCAGCAGCGGGAAGGAGCCGGGCACAGCCATCCTCAGCTCCGCTCTCCGCCGGACTGCAGGGGCCGCGCCAACTCCGGGCCGCTAACTTTGACTCTTTCGCTTTCGTTTCCTGGAAAACTCCCAGGCCTTGGTTTCCTTTTGCCTTCAGCCTAACACAGCGGACCCAGGAATGGCAGAGTCATCCCCCGCCCACCTCCCCACCTTCGCATTCGGCCCACAGCCAAGGCCAAAGTAACCCTTTGGGGCTGGCCAGCGGCGCCCCGGGAAGGCGGCCTCAGTTCACCTGTGCTCCACGGGCTCCCACACCCCCTCCTAACTCCGGGCCCCCTACCTGCCGCTCGCCCCAACCGCAGATCAAGTCGGCAGCTTTGGGGCACCAGACCTTGCCCAAACGCAAAGATCATTTAATTTTTGCCGCAAGCCGACCCTTTACAAAAGAATAAAATGACTCACAAACTGTGGCCCCTTTAGAATGTTTGCTGCCTATTTGGGGACTTTTTCAGCAATCATTGTGATTATCAGAATTTTACGTTGCTTTCCCTGTTTTGCTTTCTGTTCCTTGATCTGTTAATACTACATGTCTAGAAATGTGGGGGAAACAATTACACTCACAGTTTTTTTTGTGGAATATTTACTAGGCGCCATGCACTCACTCACTGAACCCTCGCTGAGCTCACGGAGCTATGGTGAACACAGTGGGCAATAGGTGCTCTGGGAAAGAATATACTTGTGTTCCTGGAACAGATGAGGAGTGGCTCCTAGTCCAGCTGTGGCGGCTCAGGGAGGGTTTATAGGGCGGTGACATGTAACCTGATAACCCCAGGATATCAGGGGATAGCCTTGGAGGGTTAGGAAGTGGGGTTCCACGGTGTGATTCACATGTACAGGATCACTCCGGCTGCTGCGTGGTGGCTAGAGTGGAGGCAGAGAGATCAGCCAAGTGGCTACCATAGTGTCCTAAGTGAGAGACAAGGGTGGCTGAGACTGGGGTGCTGGCAGAGAAGAACTGAGAAAACGAGGATTCTCAATTAATAGTGAAAGCAGGACTTGCTGAAGAATGTGAGCCTTGAGAGAAGGAGAAGCTCAAGGATGACTCCATGGTCAGCCATGGATGGCCCGTGCAAGTGGCTGGATAATAGTGGCATCTGCAAGAGGGGAGGCCGAGTGATGGGAGAGAAGCTGGGGCTGTGTGTTTCCTTGACCCCAAATAAAGCAGTGTTGCAAGTCGAGGGGGGCGGGGGGATTATCATTCCAGTGCTACCGATACCTCAGGTCAGAGAAGTGTCTGCTGGACTGCTGAGGAGCGGCAAGCATAGTCTCCTGGTGAGGAGGGAGGAGAGGGAGATGGCAGCTACTGAAGACTGAAAGGGAGGGAAGGAAGTGGAAGCAGAGAGCGTAACACGCTCTTTGCAGAAATGTGACCGTGAAGGGGAAGAAGGAGCCAGGCAGTAGGTTGTGGGGTTACAGGATCGGGCTGAATTTCAGAATGAAGAGAACCAGAGATGGGCCAAATGGTTTACCTGGCTTTTATTTCGGCTCTGTAATAATCCTAAACAGTACACAGATATTTTCTCCTGCCTCCAGCTTGCTACCTGCAGATGGCGCTCATCATCTGATCCAAAACTGCTCTGGACCCCCGCATGCGGAAGACGGGAGGACAAGCGCCCTCAGCCAGACTTGGTGACTGTTTCTCCCCAGGGCCTTTACATCTCATCCCAAACCACAACTAAAATCAGCACTCCTCCTCTCCCACTCTCCCCTGAGTTTGGGGTTCCAGAACTCAGCAAAAAGTTTCCCTTTTTCCTCACATAATTATTGTATAAGAAATAAAGTCAGAGGCATTTCTGGATTACTTTCGAGGATTTATTTAATTATCGACAATGTGTCTTACCACCGAGGTCTGCTTATCATGCCTGGGTGGACTGGGAAGGAGCTATCAGAGGATCAGGATGGCAGGTCTTGAAAGCCAAGGAAAGAAAGTTCTAGAAGGGGCAAATTGTTGAACGGCATTAGCTCCTGCAGTACTTTGTTTTCTGCAAGTTATTTTTGCCTTGTTCACTTGAAGAATGCGTATCCTCTCACAATTCTCTGTTTCCTGTGGGTATCTGCCTTCTGATCCTTTCTTCCTGGGAAGCACGTGTCTTCTCAGGGCCTGGGGTGGGGGTGGCCTGCTGTAGAAGTGGCCGTGTTCCTTGATTCTCCTTCTACTTCACAGCTACAGCTCATCTTAATGTAACAGCCCATGTCTGCATTTTTGGGCTGAACTTCCCTTTCCCTACTTCATCTAAATTCCCCCTTTTGGTTTCTCTACAAACTGCCGTAGCCTAGCATCGTGCTCTTTTGAACTTCTCTACCAACTAGCATCAGCCTCCTCATTTCTACCATTGAGGTATAAAGGAGGGAAAGGGCTGCTTTCCCTTCTGTCCTGAATCAGTGAGTTGTAGGTACCTCATGCCCACCACTCCACCTCATTTTGCTTCTGAAACTCCTGACCTAGTCACCCCAAAATAAGACATGGCCATACATCAAGGGAAAAGTACTCCAAGAAGTTCTACCCTCAGAGGGAGCCCCCTGATGGACACATCACAGTCTTTGGCCTTACTCCCTATGCTCAGGTACCTTTCAAGAGCTTTTATCTTCAAACCTCCATAGGGACAGTCTCCATACCCCTCAACTGGCCAGGACAGTAATTACTACTGATGCATTTTCCCAAATAGAAGTAATTTCGTTTCACCAATACTATGGTTGAGTGGGAGGTGGAGGTGGCTTCTCCAGAAGAGTCCAGAGTAGACTTGATCTTTCCGTGTTTGTGTAAAGACCTTTCCTCATCATGCAATTAGGTAACCATTGAATTGAACACACATGTGTATGTCTCAAGACAAGCATTCATTTTCAGTATAATCTAGATCATATTTTTTTAAATAGAAACACACAATATTTTACTACCACACTATATCATGCATGACACCTACCAGTAATGGCTGTTAAATATTGAGCAACCAGATTTTTGAAACAAAGTTTCCATGTGTGTTATGTTTATTATAAATTTTACTGATATAATGGTTGGATAACACATAATTTACAAATAATAACAAAATATATAATACTCTATTGTAGTTTCTAAATAGCTGATTGATTCTCAAAGAATGTTTCAAAGATTTTTGCCACAATTATATCTATACTAATCATTCTGGATTTTGTTTCTTTGAATTATTGGGCAGGGAAGATACTTAAGTATGGAAGATTATTGCTCTAATTTGGGTGAAATAAAAGTTTATTAGTGCAAGACAAACATAACTCATTTAACAATAAAGTTTGTGTTGGATATATATATATATATATATATATTTTTTTTTTTTTTTTTTTTTTAAAGCCATAGGCAAACTATGGTTGCCATTGAGGAATGAGTGTAGTTTTGACATAAATGTAAGTTGACACTTTTGTTTACATTAACAAGTAAAATGAAAGTGAAGCAATGCAGACATGTCAGAACCCTTATTTGTCAATGACATAATTCCTTCTTTACTAAATTGGATAATAATTTTCAAATACTGGAAGAATATTTCCTCAATTTTTTGTGCTTTTTACAATGTAATGGCTATAGATGTGACCCACTTTTAAATAATCTGCCCTGTTAGCAAATTCTCCATCACTTTAAGTCAAGATAACCAACAAAGCAACGACTCAGGCCCTGATGTGTAGTGTTTTTCAATTCCATGATGTAAATATTCTCACAACAGCTGATGAAGTTCCCAGTGTGATTTCAGTGAATGCCGAGTTGGAAAGAGATGAACAGTGGCACACCATTACAAATATCACAGATATTTATTATCTAAAAGCTCCAAGTCCTAGATCCATCAAAGCCTGAGGCAGGACGTTTTTATTGGATTATGGACTGCCTGGAAATGTAGCTACAGAGTCAATGTGGTAATCAAATTTAAAGAAAAACAACAAAAACTGTCAGAATCCAACTTGAAAATTGAAAGAACTCATTGAGTTCTGGGCTCACTTCCAGAACTGTCTGTGTCACCCACACACATCTCCATTAAATTCTTGAATAATAAAGACAGAAAGATATTTCCAGAAGTTTTACTCAGACATCTAATCTCACCTTTCTTCTTGGTTGCTACACTGACCTCAGATCATGAAACTCAAGGAATACTTTGTTTATGTTACTATTATACTAGAAGACAAAAGTATTTCCTTTGAAGCCTAAAAAAATATATAGCAAGGGAAGCCTAAAAAAATATATAGCAAAGGAAAAATATATAATGAAGACTGTGGAGAAATAAATAGTATAAGCCTAATTCTTCTATTCAGCCTTGTGGACAGAGTTAGGAAATAGCTCTAATTTCAATCAGTCACCACAGGTTCTTTCTCTCCTACTATTTCATATTTGTATAATTCTTATGATCTTCTTCTCATATGATTCTCTTGTATGAACCTTATCTCAAAGTATGAACTTTGTTTCCCAAGAACATTAATATATTTACTTATTTTCTCAATCCTTCATTACACACAACATAGTTTGGAATTGGAACTCTGTTATAAGCTGAATGCTTGTATCCCCCCAAATTCATATGTTAAATCCTAACTCCTAATGTGATGGGCATTAGGAATTGAGGCCTTTGGGAAGTGATTAGGTCATAAGGGTGGTGCCCTCATAAGTCAGATTAGTGCCCTTATAAAAGAGAACCCAGAGGGCTCCTCTCTGCCTTCTGCCATAGGAAGACATGGCAAGAATATGGCCATCTGTGAATCAGCAGTTTGGGCCCTCTGTAGACATGAAATCTGCTGGCACCTTGATCTTAGACTTCCCAGACTCCAGAACTGTGAGAAATACATCTCTATTGTTTATTAGCTAGCCAGTCTATGGTACTTTGTTATAGCAAAACTGAATAGACTAAGACAAACACCAATACCCAATACCATTATCAACAACAAATCTACTAAATAAAGATTTCCTTGTAGTTCTTTTTATCCACTGAATAGAAACTATTGAGGGTGTATAGTAAGAGTACTAGGCTCAAAAGTTACTTGGAATACTTTTTTCCTGAGTATGGTTTTGTTATAAGACACATAATCAGGGTCATCATTTCTGTTTGGATTCAATTTTAGGGCTTTTCCTCATCCTTGTTGACTTTCTTTTTGGAAATGATAAAATTTTAACACTCAAAAATCAAAACCATATAAAGATATATATTCAGAGAAGTCCCCTAATCCTCTCACTCCATCTCCACTATCTCTGTAAGTAACCAGGTAAGCATATCATCAGTTTCTGGAATATTCTTCCACCGTTTTCTTTTTGCAAAAATATGTGTTTTGTGTATGACCTTTTCTTCTTTTCATGCAATAGGTAACATGCTATAAATAAGTAATTTATATCTGTATCTATACACACAGTTATACTTTGAATTTTACATTTAATATATGCTGTAAGTTATTCCATATCAGATCACAGAGATCTTCCTCATTACTTTTTACAGCTGCCCAGTTCACTGAAGTATAGATATATAGAGTTTATTTAACTCATCTCCTAGGCATGGCATTTAGGGCATCTCTAATATTTTGCAATTACAAATAATGTCACATTGAGTAACCTTGCACATGTTTGTTTGGTTATTTGTTTGTTTTGTTGGGAGTATATTTTCAATGTAAATCCCTAGATGTGGGAATGACAGGTTAAAGAGTAAATGCACATACACTTTCCTTATATATTGCAAATTTCTTTCCATAGGTGTTTCAGTTATCTGTGGTTAGATAACAAACCATCTCAAAATGTAATGGCTTAAAACACAACCATTTTATATTTATCACACTCTATGAGTTGGCTGGGCAGGGATCAGCCAAGATGGTTCCTCTCTGCTATTGGAGGTGCCAGTTAAGCTTGCTCATACAGCTCCTATTTGGTCTAGAAGATCTAAGATGGCCTCACTCATACCTGGCCCCTCAGCTACGATGGTTAGAATACAGAGCCTTCCTTTGATGTGATCTCTCGGGCAGGATAGCCTAGACTTTATGTGGCCCTGGCTTCACGGTGAGCAAAAATTTAAATTGCAAGGCTTCTTAATGCATGGGCTTTGAGGTCACATAACATTGCCTCCCCCATTTGATTGGTAAAAGCAAGTCACAGGGCTAGTTCATATTCATTCACATGGAAGGAGACTGATACGGTTTGGATTTGTGTCCCTGCCCAAATCTCATGTCGAATTGTAATCTCCAGTATTGGAGGAAGGGCCTAGTGGGAGGTGATTGGATCATGGGGGCTGATTTCCCCTTTGCTGTTTTTGTGACAGTGAGTGAGTTTTCATGAGATCTGATCGTTTAAAGGTGTGTAGCACTTCCCCCTTCTCTCTCTTCCTCCTGCTCTGGCCATGTGAAGACATGCCTGCTTGCTTCCCCTTTGCCTTCCACCGTGATTATAAGTTTCCTGAGGCCTCTGCAGACATGCTTCCTGTACAGCTGGCAGAATTGTAAGCCAATTAAACCACTTTTCTTTGTAAATTACCCAGTCTCAGGTATTTCTTTATAGCAATGGGAGAATGGACTAATACAGAGACTACACTGGGTATGAATACAGGAAATAGAAGTCATGGGGGCAGCATTTTGTAACAGTCTACCACAATAGTAACTGTACCATTTTACACTGCCACCAGCAATGTATGAGAGTACTTGTTTCCCTATAGCTTGCCAATAGAACATCTTATCATAAAAGTATTGATTATATTATATTTCATGGAAAAAAACAGACTGAAACTCACAAATTGATTTTACAACCCATTATTACAGTAGGATCTACAGTTCATAAAACAGTATAGTAACTCATTTAATTCTCACAACAAACTTATAAGACAATTAATATTATCTCCACTTTACTATGAGGAAACTGGTTAACAAGAGACGTGCCTAACCTAACTGGTTAACAAGAGATGTACCTAACTAAAGACACAGAAAATATCTTGGTTATCAAGAAAATATCAAGGTTAAATATCTTGCCCAAGGCCACACAGCTAGAGAATGGTCAAGCTAGGATACAAACCCAGGCTGTCTTGCCATAGAGTTCAACCTTATGCTATACTTTCATAGTGCATACTGCAATGCTCTGCTTGGATCCCTTCTTCAGAGTTATAAGCCCATTCCCTAGCTGCTGGAAATATTGGCTGCTGACAACTCATAGCAGCATCTCTCATTGGCCTTGCCTTTGCCTCACCTCTCCCACCTATAGCAGAGATTACTGTTGACTCTTACGTTTGAATCCAGGTCTACCTCAAGGCCAAGTTAGCCATATCATGTTTATATGGCCTGAATAACAAAGCTCTGGTAGTGACTGTATGGGAAAATAGAGACTTTCATACCTGGTAGATTATTTGTTAATTTTTCCTTGTAATATTGCCACTTTCTGCTTATCTTCAGATAAGCAAAATCTCAGATTTTGCTTAATTTGAAGCTATACAGTTTCAAGATTTTTATATTTTCTTTTAAGAGACAGGGTTTCGCTATGTTGCCCAGGCATGTCTTGAACGTCTGGGCTCAAGTGATCCTCCCACCTCAGCCTCCCAAAATGCTGAGATTACAGGCATGAGCCACCGCACCCAGCCTCCAGTTTCAAAATTTTTGTATCTTCCCAGTGAATTGTTCCTTTTTGTCATCAGTGAGTGTCATTCTTTCTGCTGTATTCTCATTGCCCTAATGTCCATTTTGTCTTATATTAACATTTCTATGACCACTTTACTAGATCTTGCCAAGTGGGGCAGATACTTCGAGTAGATTGATTACTTACTCTAAGATACTCTTTTTTTCCTTGCTAGGGGAATTTCAATTTTTTTTAGATACTAAGTAGCAAAGTGTTTAGCTAAAATAGATGTTCTTTTGACCCACACCTGACTGATGCTTGGGCTAAGCCAGTTTTAATAATCTAATTCCCTTCTAGTGGGATTGGTTTAGGGATGACCATGTGAGCCAGTTCTAGGCAGAAATATAAAGGGAAGTCCATTGTCTGCTCCTGGAAAACACTTTCTTCCTCCATAAATAGAGACATGTGAGAAGAAATCATTTTTCTCCTTCTTTTTTTTAAAAAAAAATGTTATCAAGTAGGATGTGACCAGCCATTTTGTAACTTTGAAGGCCAATCTCTCAGAAATCTACAAAATGCCTGGATATTTGATGGCACCATTGAGCTATAGAACCAACCTTAGAACACCTACCTCAAAATTTCTTGTGAAGTGAGTCAATATACATCCCTGTTATTTAAGCCTGTTTTAGTTAGTTATTCCGTTGCCTATTGCCAAAAGCATTCTCTCTGATACACCTGAAAAACTTTTTCATCCCTTTTCTGTCAAATTTTCTATGTCTTTAGTTTAGGTAAGTCTCTTGCTAACAGAATACGGCTGGATTATTTTAAATCCAATCTGTCTTTTAATTGGCAAACATAAATTTCTAGATATTATAAATGACTGGTATAGTTAGACTTATTCCCACTATTTTATTTGTGGGTTTTTAAATAAACTACCTTCTTCCTTGCTTATTTTTCTTCATTTCTTAGATTAGATTGATAGTTTGATATTATTAGATTGATATCAAATATTAGATTATAGTTTTTATTAGATTGATAGTTTTTCTTTATTCCCTTTTTCCTTCTCTATTTTGATTGAATTTCTGTATCTATTCTTTTGCGGAGTTTAGACTAAACAAAGTATAAAGCTAGTCAATACATCTCAAAAGACACAAAGACCTGAGAAAAACTTGCCCCCTATTTTGCTATCCTTTTGCTGTTGTTAACTGTTTTTTAACACTCCAAAATTAGTCTTTTCAGAATTAGTCAATATTTATTTAGCAATATGTTTAACAATTAACAATTATTTTGTTCTAAAGCACTCTTTTTTCTTCCTCATTCAATCTTCTTTTTCCTAAAGTAGATACTTATTATTTGCAGTTCTTTCTGTAAGAGCTCATGAATGATGAGCTTTCTCAATCTATTGGTCTGAAAATGTCTTTAATTTTAATAATTTTTATTTTGAAATAATTTTGACCTCACAGAAAAGTTGCAAGACTAGTATAGAGAATTTTTTATTTCCTGAACAATTTGAAAGTAAATAGCTGACATAATACCCCATCACCCTGAGTATGTTGGAATAGGACATCGCAAAATATGGCATGCTGCCAGTCAGAATGGCTATTAAGAAGTAAAAAAATAACAGATACTGGAGAGGTTACGGAGAAAAGGGAACACTTATACACTACTGGTGGGAATGTAAATTAGTTCAACCATTATGGAAAGCAGTGTGGTGATTACTCAAAGAGTCAACAGAACTACCATTTAACCCAGGAATCCCATTATTGGGGTATATCCCCAAAGGAATAGAAATCATTCTACCATAAAGACACATGCACGTATATGTTCATTGCAGCACTATTCACAATAGCAAAGATATGGAATTAACCTACATGTCCATCAATGACAGATTGGATAAGGAAAATATGGTACATATACACCATAGAATACTATGCAGCCATAAAAAAGAACAAGATATATATGTGTGTGTGTGTGTGTGTGTGTGTGTGTGTGTGTGTGTGTGTATGTGTGTGTATCATGCTGGCCAAATCCAGCATACTACTTGTTTATGTAAATAAAGTTTCATTACTTCCCTAACTTGAGCCTGGAATCACTCATTATTCCAATTAGTGCTGTGTTCATCGATTTTAAAGTGTTACTGTCTCAGGCTTTCTCAGTGGACAGTGCTAGGGAATACATGTGTACACACACAAGTGCATTTTTTATTTCTCTCTGTCTTTATATCTATATATCTATATACTTACAAAATGATGAGTTTATACTGATACCTCCAGTTCCAAGCCAACACTACAAAGTTCATTCTGGTTTTTTTCCTTTGCATATTTGTAACTCCTTTCTCCAATAGTGAGAAATCTGCCTTCCATTATCCCCAATATATTTACTTATTGGGTCAATCCCTTCTACATAACTGTGTTGGATTCGATATAACTGTGCAATATCCTGTGTTGGTTACATACCAATCTCCTGTTGCTACCACCATATCCCCATGCAGCCACCCTCCTCACATTGCTCAGGCATTCCTGGAACTAACCCAACTTGAACATAATGTTATATATAAACAATATATAAATAATATATATTATTATGTTATATGTAATATATATTATTTATAAATAATATATATTATGTTATATGTAATATATATTATATATAAATAATATATATTATGTTATATGTAATATATATTATATATAAATAATATATATTATTATGTTATATGTAATATATATTATATATAAATAATATATATTATTATGTTATATGTAATATATATTATATATAATATATATTATTATGTTATATGTAATATATATTATATATAATATATATTATTATGTTATATGTAATATATATTATATATAATATATATTATTATGTTATATGTAATATATATTATATATAAATAATATACATAATAAACATTATGTTTATGAATAAACATAAACGGAATAAACATTCCCTGGGAAAGGCTGACATTTTAAAGCATCTTTTAATGCCACTGAACGGAAGGCTGGTCAGTGGCTGGGAATAAGTGCCATCTGCTCAATCCATGTGTTTTCCACAGCCTAACCATGAACACCTTGAAGAAAGCAGTAGCGTCCTTCCTCCTTGCAGCCTCAAATTCAGAGTATTTGGACGTTGCATCTATCATCCGCCAAAAAGTGCAATCTTATGAGCTATTCCACGTACAATCAAGTAGTAGATATCTCAAAGCCCTTACATACAAAAAAAATTTGCTCTGAGGAAGAGATTTGGAAGATCTTTTCTGTTTCTAAAAATCGGTCATAAGCCTGAATTAAAATAAATTAAATCCCTATCCTACGTATCAACTTCTTCCCTAAATCCCATAATCTCTTAGTCATTTAAAGGCATGAATATGAAAGAAATTTCAGTATAAATGACTCCCTTTTTATAGTAGGCAATGTAGCTAACTTAAAACAATTTTTTTCATATACAGCAGGAGGTGAGAACATTATTCCAGTTATCTTTTCCTGCTTAACAATCCTCCCCCAAATTTAGTGGTATTATCCCTCAAGATTCTGGGGGTAGACTGGGCTAAACTAGACAATTCTTTCTCAAGAATTGAGAAAATTGTAATCAGACTGTGGCTGAGGCTGGAGGCATCTCGAAGCCTACTTACTCACACATCTGGTACCCAGCCTAGGATAACTCAAAAAACTGGGGGCTGGACCCTCTGGAGCTCCTCTGGTATCTCTATCAATATGTGGGCTCACCACATGGTTTCTCCAGCATGGTGGCTTCAGAGTAGGTGAACTTTCAACTTGGTGACTCAGCTCCTAAGGCATGTTGAGAGAGAGCAAGAGAGAGTCGAAAGCTCTATTACTTTTTATGACTTGGCCCTTAGAAGTTATAGTTTCACTTCTCAAGCATTCTATTGATTAGAAGTGAGTCATAGCCTGAACAACATAGCTAGACCCTGCCTAACAAAAAACATTTTTTAAAAATTAACTGAGCATGGTGGTGTGCACCTGTAGTCCTAGCTACTTAACAGGCTGAGGCAGGAGGATCACTTGAGGCCAGGAGTTCAAGGCTGCAGTGAGCTATGATGGCACCACTGCACTCGAGAGAGAGACCCCATCTCTAAAAAATGAAGTGAGTCACTAAGTCAAGTTCATAGTCAGGTAGAAGAGAAACAGATTCCACATCCTCACTGGAGGGGTGTTTAAGAATTTGCAGACATTTGCCTCTCTGTTCCGAGATGGCTGAATAGGAACAGCTACAGTCTGCAGCATCCAGCGTGATAAACACAGAAGATGGTGATTTCTGCATTTCCAGCTGAGGTACGTAGTTCATCTCACTGGGACTGGTTGGACAGTGGGTGCAGCCCACGGAGGGCGAGCCAAAGCAGGGTGGGGCATCACCTCACCAGGGAAGCACAAGGGGTTGGGGGATGTCCCTTTCATAGGCAAGGGAAGCCATGACAGACTGTACCTAGATAATCAGGATGCTGGCACCCAAATACTGTGCATTTCCAACGGTGTTAGCAAATGGAACACCAGGAGAGTATATCCCGCACCTGGCTCGACAGGTCCCATGCCCACAGAGCCTTGCTCACTGCTAGTGCAGAGACTGAGATCAACCTGCGAGGCAGCAGCCTAGCAGGGGGAGGGACGTCCATCATTGCTGAGGCTTGAGTAGGTAAACAAAATGGCCAGGAAGCTCAAACTGGGCAGAGCCCACCACAGCTCTGCAAGGCCTGCTGCCTCCGTAGACCCCACCTCCGGGCAGGGCATAGCTGAACAAAAGGCAGCAGAAACTTTTGCAGACTTAAACGTCCCTGTCTGACAGCTCTGAAGAGAGCAGTGCTTTTCCAAGCAGGTTGTTTGAGCTCTGAGAACGGACAGACTGCCTCTTCAAGTGGGTCCCTGACCCTCGTGTAGCCTAACTGGGAGACACCTCCCAGTATGGGCTGACTGACACCACATACAGGCGGGTGCCGTATGTAGAAAGTTAAAACTGGATCCCTTCCTTACACCTTATACAAAAGTTAATTCAAGATGGATTAAAGACTTAAATGTTAGACCTAAAACCATAAAAACCCTAGAAGAAAACCTAGGCAATACCATTCAGGACATAGGCATGGGCAAGGACTTCATGTCTAAAACACCAAAAGCAATGGCAACAAAAGCCAAAATAGACAAATGGGATCTAATTAAACTAAAGAACTTCTGCACAGCAAAAGAACCACTATCAGAATGAGCAGGCAACCTACAGAATGGGAGAAAATTTTTGTAATCTACCCATCTGACACAGGGCTAGTAACAAGAATCTACAAAGAACTCAAACAAATTTACAAGAAAAACACAAACAACCCCATCAAAAAGTGGCCAAAGATATGAACAGACACTTCTCAAAAGAAGACATTTATGCAGCCAACAGACAATTGAAAAAATGCTCATCATCACTGGTCATCAGAGAAACACAAATCAAAACCACAATGAGATACCATCTCACACCAGTTAGAATGGCAATCATTAAAAAGGCAAGAAACAACAGTTGCTGGAGAGGATGTGGAGAAATAGGAAAGCTTTTACACTTCTGGTGGGAGTGTAAATTAGTTCAACCATTGTGGAAGACAGTGTGGCGATTCCTCAAGGATCTAGAACTAGAAATACCATTTGACCCAGCGATCCCATTACTGTGTATATACCCAAAGGATTATAAATCATGCTACTATAAAGACACATGCACATGTGTGTTTATTGTGGCACTATTCACAATAGCAAAAACTTGGAACCAACCCAAATGTCCATCAATGATAGACTGGATTAAGAAAATGTGGCACATATATACCATGGAGTACTATGCAGCCATAAAAAAGGATGAGTTTATGTCCTTTTCAGGGACATGGATGAAGCTGGAAACCATCATTCTGAGCAAACTATCACAAGGACAGAAAACCAAACACCGCATGTTGTCACTCATAGGTGGGAATTGAACAATGAGAACACTTGGACACAGGGTGGGGAACATCACAAGTGGGGGCCTGTCGTGGGGTGGGGGGCAGGGGGAGGGATAGTATTAGGAGAACTATCTAATGTAAATGATGAGTTAATGGGTTCAGCAAACCAACATGGCACATGTATACCTATGTAACAAACCTGCATGTTGTGCACATGTACCCTAGAACTTAAAGTATAATAAAATAATAATAATAATAATAATAATTTGCAGACATTTTTCTTTTCATTTTTTATTTTTTTGAGACAGGGTCTCACTTTCTTGCCCAGGCTGGAGTGCAGTGACTCAATCATGGCTCACTGCAGCCACTACCTCCTGTGCTCAAGTAATCCTCCCATCTCAGCCCTGAGTAGCTGAGACTATAGGCACATGCCAGCACACTTGGTTAATTTTTAAATTTTTTTTATAAAGATGGAGTCTTGCTGTGTTGCCTAGGCTGGTCTTGAACTCCAGGGCTCAAGTGATCCTCCTGCTTCAGTGCAGACATTTTTTAAACCACATATACTCCAAGTCTTTTCCTTTGGATTTGAAAAGTGATTGCGCTTCCTTTGTTTTTTGGCAGGTGTTGCATCCTGGCCAAGTGATCTGAGTTTCCATACATATTCTAGAAAACAGTAGTTAATTACAAGAGCTAACATTTATTGAGGGCTTGCTAAATGTCAATCATTATTCTAAGTCCCTAAGTTCTCTATCCTGTTTGAATTGTATTTCACTTGATATCTAAATAAAATGTCCGAAATCCCCATTCAGTGCGCTGTGGAAAGGCCGAGAGCTCTCTGCAATATCTGTTTTCAGGGGCCTACATTTTTCCAGAGAAAGTGCGCAACTAAATCTGCTTCATGGCTCCTGCCTCTGTGGTCCTGTTTTCACACTGCTTCTACTCTAGAAATACTACCCCCATTTCTTACCCCCAAATTATCACTAACATACTTACTGAAAATTAATTACATCTCAATGTAGAAATCAACTCCCAGGTCAAAGTTCACACATAACTATTTCTAGGAATTAATTTATCAGGCAATTCCTGCCCAAACCATTTAACAGTTAACATGGAAAGGTCCTCTCCGACTCCCTCGCTTGAGATCAGAAGTCACAAGTTGGTGTCCACCAAACTGAAGCCTGCCTGAGACCTGCTTTTGAAAAATTCAAATTAGATGCTAACATTTTAAAAGTGAGTCTTCATATAAAACCTCAGATTTACAGCTTATTTGGGGAAAAACAAACAAACAAAAAAACAGATGGTTTGCCATCAGCTGCAACCAAGGGTCCTGGCTCCAGTTCAGTAAAATTTCCATTTGGCTCACTTTGCTCATTGGCATCCCAGCCCCTCTAGACATTTGGGTTTGCAATGCCTTGCCCTAAGATCCACCTCTTCTGATCACCCCCTTCCCCATGTTCCCAGGCCCCTACTGCTTCTCTTTAAGCCACCTATACAAACTCAAAATCCCTCACTTTATTATACTAAATAATTTAACTTTCTTTAAGTATCTTGCATACACATCTAGTTACCTAGCCCAGGTTTGACCGCAAACTTTTCCCTTAAAGAGCGAGAGAGTAAATAGTTTAGGTTATGTAGGCCATATGGTCTCTGTTGCAACTACTCAATTCTGCCATCCAAGACCAGAAGCAGCTGTTAGGGAAATATAATTAAAAGCCAAATCTCCTGCTGACCCGGAAAACCTCTACACAAGGCAGAAGAGAAAGAAAATAGTATATTATTGAATAAGCATTAAACCAGAATGTGATGCTTATCACAGGTAATCCACTAAAAAGATTTCAAAGATAGAAAGAAATCTCACCTTTTTACGTAGTCCAGTAGATACACCCCATTACACACATGTTCTCAGTTGATAACTAGCCCTCAAGTAAGAGGATTTGACAATACCATTTGTCACACATAGGTCATCCTAAACCACCCAGTAATTGGGATGGCCATCTGTGTTAGCTAATTGTCTTTATCCAAAGAAATAATAAAATTTCTCATAGTTCTATGACAAGTAGGTAGTTATGATTTGGAGCCAGATGCCAGCTGAAGTCAGGCTCCTGCCCTCCCGTGGAAACCGGGAGATGGGGCACCATCCTCCTTGATGATTACATTTCAAAGAGATGGCTCCCAGGTCCTTGAGAAAACACTCCTGGGTTGTAAAACTGGCAAGAGGCTTTAAAAAAAAAATGCCTTCAAAAGAGATTTTTATACATCTCAAAAAGGCAGAAAGAAAATTAACAATTACAAATTTTCAAAAATAAAAATGGGAGGAGAGTTTCCTCTTGTGCACCTGAGAGAATTAGATTTTTAATTTTGATTCATATTCACCCATATGCAGCCATAGAATGTACATAAACAAGTGAGTATGGCTGTACTTCAGTACAACTCTGTTATGGACACAGAAATTAAATTTCCTTTTTTTCTTTTCTTTTCTTTTTCTTTTTCTTTTTTCTTTTTTTTTTTTTTTGGTTTTTGGTTTTTGTTTTTTGAGGCAGAGTCTCACTCTGTCACCCAGGCTGGAGTACAGTGGCACCATCTTGGCTCACTGCAACCTCCGCCTCCCGGGTTCAAGAAATTCTCCTGTCTCAGCCTCCCAAGTAGCTGGGACCACAGGCTCATGCTACCACATCCAGCTAATTTTTGTATTTTTAGTAGAAATGGGGTTTTTGCCATGTTGGCCAGGCTGGTCTCATACTCCTGAACTCAGGCGATCTACCTGCCTCAGCCTCCCAAAGTGCTAGGATTACAGGTGTGAGCCACCACGCCTGGCCTGGCCTTTTATCTTTCTATCAGAATATAGATTCAACAAAGTCCCTATAACTAAACAGAAACACAGTCATCTGTCCATCTGTGCAGTTTAGGAAGGCAGCAAAAAACTGTATTTTTATAAGCCAATTCAGTGTCCTACAAAGACAATCTCATCATAGCAATATTAAAGTTTTTAAAAAATCTATTTTTTTAAGATCAGATTTTTTTGGAGGAAACAAAAAACTCACAACCCAAAGGATGGGATTTTACATCTCAGGACATCTCCCACATAATAAGTCTATAGATTATAAATCATTTTCAAATTTTACATGTATTTAGGAGAGGGACATTAATCAATCCCCATTTCTATTTTAACAGGGGGGCAAGGTAGGGGAGAGGGAAAAACAGTTTGGTATCTATTTGGAGGGAGAGTAGACATGAAGAGGGCAAACCCTAGCTTCTCATTATCTACAATCAATGTTTTTTTTTTCTTAAAAAAAAGCTTTCAATCTCTCTTTAAAAGCCTACTTCTTAGCTACTAGCCAGTCCACCCTAATTATTTAAATTCATTTGGTACACACTTTTGTTCACTGGGCAAATTATATTCATTATGCCCACTGCTGCAGCACGCATAAACCAACACCCCTGCATGGCTGAGCAGGGCCTAATCTAGGACTGACAGGAGAAGTGCTTGCAAACCAAGATCAAGGTGTCATTTCTCTGCTAATACTGTCTACCAAGCTGATCCCTACAAAAATGCACATAAAAGCAGGCAAGTTTAGCTACTGTGTTGCAAGAGAAACCAGGACCTTGTTAAATAGTTCTCTCCATTACCATTTATTCTCTCAAGGGAGACTTAAAAAAAAGAAAAGAAAAAGAAAAAACAACCCATTGGTCTGGCCACCTCATAAATCCAACAACCATTGGTGTGTCATTTCAGTGGAGAAGGAAACTTGGGGGGAAAAAACCATCGAGGTTGTGAGAAAGGCTCCCAATTTAACTGTCCCTGTCCCTATTTATCCACCTTTATTCACCACCCAAGACCATCCATTACCCTAGAGCACCCTGATCTATAAAAGGGGTCAAACCATTAGGAGTAGGCAACGAGTGAGAACCAAAAGACATCAAGAAACCGATTTGCTTGAGAAAAGCAGCGATTCTGCCTTTCACTCCTCTCCATGGCTGAGAGAAAATGCCCAAGAGATCATCTATGTGACTTAGAGACTGCTTTTTGGGAGGTTAAGAGTAGCATGAAGAGCTTAAGATGACGACAAGAGTCTAAATTTTTAAAGTTTCAAGGTTTCAACAGAATGTGGATATATTCGAACTTTCAAAAAGGACAGTGTTTAAAAAGGGTAAAACCAGGACACACAAACATTGGGAATTATCATGACCCCCAAGTGCTTCTGGCTCCGGGAAATAACCATTCTTGTGTTTGCTGGAGGTCGCACAATTTTCCCCTATTACCTGATACAAAATGACTCATTACCTCCCAAAAGCTTCTTTTCAAACCACAATTTTCCCATTTATCTTGGTCCAATGCAGTCCTATTCTTTATGGCCTATAGACTCACCCCGAACTACCCCCTTGGAGGGTAAAAAAAAAAAAAAAAAAGAATGAAAGAATTCCCTCTAGGCTGGCCCCTAAAACTCAGAATTAAATAACAGGAGGGGCTGGGAGCCTCCTGAAGACTAAAACAACTTGAGGCTAAATCTACCTTTCCAAGAGTGAAAAATTTATTTAGATGTTTGAGAATTCATATATGCCACAATAGGGTAAAAAATAAAAAGTAGAAATCTCACACTTTTCCTTATACTTCCTTCCCCTACTGTCCAACCAGATTCCAGACCTTATCTCACTGTCATTACCATTTCCACTAAATGGAGGCTCCTAGGTATTAATCACTCTGGCAACTGCATGGTGACAAAACGCACCACAACTTTTCCACTAAAAAGCTGTAGTCTCTTTCTCTCTGGCTATATTGGCGATTCTCCAGTTACTTCAATACTCTAAAGGCTGCAGCAGCATGCAAAAGAATTTCACTTAAAAAAAAAAAAAAGAAAGGTAAGAAAAGTCTCCAGGAGATGGTGAGTTTTATTTTGTCTTGTCTGGATAGAAGTTTGATTTGCTCTCGAACGTTCCAGGGTGGAGAGAAACTAGGAGAAAGCACAGGATGTCTAGGTCCACTCGGCATAATCTTCTCCCTTGTTTTCATCTTCACCAGAAACGGAGACAGCAGCATACTTGCTTGCAGAACTGAACTTGGAAGCTGGATTTTCCTCAGGTTTCTTTGGCTCAGGTGCAGATCTGGAGTCTTGATCCTTTTTGCCATCTTTCCTATCTGACTCCTTTCAGTGGTCTTTGTTCCCTCCATCTCCTGGACCACAGCTAGAGTTCCCAGTTTGACCTTTTGGGACTTTCATCCCATCCACTTTATTTTCATCTTTCTTTGCTGGTCCTTCCTCAGATGATCGAGCTGGAGCTACTTTTCCCCCACCACTTGTAGGGGATTGCTGCTCTGTGTCTGAGCTCTGAGATGGAGCAGGAGCGTTAGAACTTCACTTCACCGAAGCATTCTCCTTTGGTGGAGGGGCTGGCATTACCTTTGGGTCTGGTAGGATCAGGTTTGAGACGTTTAGAAGTTGGAGAGTGACAATCTTCCTCCTTATTGAGTGTTTCATTTTCTAGAGACTTCTCACTCTCTCTCCTTCGTGCATTTCTGCTGGGTATGGCGGAGGTCTCAGTCTGCGATGACTCACTTCCTGTCCGCGACCGTTCCATTCTTGAGTTTCTTCACTTTGCCAGCTTGGGTGTCTCTCCCGAGGCCGTCGTTCTAGTTATGGCTCATCCAGCTGACGCTGCAACTTCTCTTGTTCTGTAGCATTTCTTCTACTTCTCTTTCTCTACCAGCTGTGTCAACCGGCTTTGCCCCTCCAAAGATAGAAGCAGCTCGACTGGACTGGGAGGTACTAGCAGAGGAATCATCTTCCTTGGGAGTACTCCAAAGCTTTAGATTCAGTTTGGGTCTTTGCGGGGACCTCTATCATCACACCTATAATCATCCCAAGTGTAATCATCTCTGGAGCTCCACGACCGATCATCCCGTCTGTTGTATCGGTCTTCAGAGCGGTCCCTGCCTCCTCTGTAGTCATTATCCCTGCGGTACCCACTACCAAATGCTCTTCTGCCATTGCCTATCTGGGAATCATAGCCTCTATCATAGTGTCTGCTGCCTGGGTCATCATAGCAATCCTGGCCGCCATATCGATCCATATCCCAGCGTGGGCCATCCTGATACCCCTCCCGATACCCACCGCGATACCGGTCTGAATCATAACGATCTTGATACTTGTCTCCAAAGCAATCATCACCTCTTCTAGGCGAGTAGTCATCCAAGCTGTCTGTGACAGGACGAGCCCTCCAGTCTGTATTTGTTTTGTCAAAATCCCGATTTCTCTCATGGCCAAAAGAACGATCGTCCCTGTCTTTATCCTGTGCTCGGTCAGCAACGTCCACTCGAATTCTCCTGTTACCTAGAGATTCTTTATTGAGACTCAGGGCACTGAACAGGGAATCCAGGTCGTCAAATTCAGCATAACCAAAACCTTTCAACCTCTCTGGATTGCTGGGTTCACGTGGTAAACACACTGCACTGATATTTAATCCTCTAAATAATTCCTTAATTGACTCTTCTGTCACGTCATAGGGTAGGTTCCCTAGAAAAGCAGTGTAGGGTGGCGATTTGGGAAGACCGCTCCGGTCGATAATGGGTTCCCTAGCAGCCCGTGGAGCAGTGGGAAGGATGGAACGGTCAACTGGGGGCGCCCTATACACATCGTCATCGTTACTGTGCCAAGCTGAAACATCTCCTTCAGGTCATCCGTTTCATCAACCCAGCTGACTGGTTTGGATACATAGCTACTTCCTCCACCAGTCCGCCATCCTCAGCCAGAAAGTCTGTTAGGGAGATAGTCTTCCCCTTCTTATTCTTCTTTTTCGCTGAGGCAGCCATGTTGGGAGAGGGAAAGAGAACGCAAAGGGAAATCTAATGTCTTAACAACTTGACAGAATAATTCACTGCAAGTCTGTTGATCTTAACCCAGCTAGAAACATTTCCTAGGTGTGTCCTTTTCTCACTTTGCTTATGTATATTCATGGTTCTGTTATAGTCATAATGGGTGTGTATGTTCAATTTGGTATTCTTCCTTTTATGTAACATGATTTATCCAAATATTTTCTATTTCCTATAGCACCTTCATATTCATCATTTTTAGTATATCACTAGAGTATATCATTTTGATATGCCATAGTTAGCTTCTTTCTGTATATCTGTATTGTTGGGCTCTTAGCTTTATTCCAATGTTTGCCATCATAAAATAAACATTATATATACATACACTTTTTATTAAACATCATTTCCTCAGGATAAATTCTATTACTTGGTCAGGGGTTAGGCATATTTATGATTCTTTCAATAAAGTACCATTTTGCCCTTCAGGAAGACTGAATCAGTTTACGCTGCTTTCATTAATGCATGAGCATATCTGCTTCCCGAAGCCTTGCAGGCTTTGGCTTTTACAACTTTTTAAAAGTTTTTCTAAATTTTTTTAAGGC
Source organism: Homo sapiens (assembly GCF_000001405.40). Classification (NCBI taxonomy): domain Eukaryota; kingdom Metazoa; phylum Chordata; class Mammalia; order Primates; family Hominidae; genus Homo; species Homo sapiens. The sequence continues at coordinate 122,660,010 of NC_000003.12, read as the reverse complement.
ACAAAATGAAACTTCACCGTAGGTTTAATTTGCAGTTATTTTACCAACAAGGTTGACTGAATAGTTTTAAAATTATGATTTACTGACAGTGTTTCTTGTTGTATGAACTGTTTTTTAATCATTTGTTTAATAGTTGGTAATTTTACCTATTTATATGCACTCTTTATACTTTTTAGTTATTGAACTTTGTCTTCATTTGCAAACTTTTTCTCCAGTCTTCTGAATTTTTAAATTTCAGCTTTATTGGTATTCATTCCACCAAAGATAAAGCTATCTAAGTCATGAACCTGTCCGTCTTTTTTTCATTTATATTCCATCGACAGTCAAAAAGTGATTTCCCCTAGTGCTAGTCTTTTACATATGTGTATTTGTTTTTTTAAATGTATTTAACTCCCAATCTACCTGGATTTTTTTTTTCAGAGTGTAGTGCAAAGTGTGGGTCTTTTAAATATTCTCATTATTGATATTCCTGTACACCAAGTGTTTCAAATTTGTTACCAGTACATTAAATGTCTGCTAGGACAAATTCTTCTCATCACTCTTTTTGAATCTGAAATGCTCTTTGATGTACTTGCTCATTTATTTTCTCCACATACAATAAAAATTATATTAATTTTATAAAGCATCTTGCTTCTAATTGGTGACTTGTATCTAATTCTAATTTAGAATTAATTAAATCTAACCCTGAATCCTCTATGCACTGTGGTGAGTTGAGGCTGAGTTGTGTCCTTCGTAAGGCTCAGCCTGCATTGATTTTACTCCTGCTTCTTCAGGATTTTCAGCAGAAATCCTAGTGTATTCTCCATGCTCTTCCACCTGGTGGGCCAAGAATTCTAATCTTTGTCTTTACAAGACTGCCGAAGGCTCTGTTCTGCTTCAGAAGTTTTCTGCTTCTCTTTTTAGACTCCAGCCTCATGCACCCCTGTAATTTAACAGATGTTCTCTGGAGACCTTCCAAATCTCCTCCCATATCCCTCCTGGCCTCTGCCTCCCAGCAGTGGCCTTCCTTGGGTGCAAGGCCTGGGGTTATCAGTCTCCTCCCCAAGCACAGAATCAGCAGATGACCCCTAGGCACAGTGGCTGCAGAACTCAGCTCTCCCTAGCTGTGATTCTCCCTCTCTGGAGTTTTGGCTCCTTCAGTTATTGCTAACTCAGAAGCCCTTTTCTGCCTTAAAATAGATGCCTCCTCTATTTTGTTCTAATTTTCTGCTTATTTTAGGTGAGAACACATTCTGTCACTAGCTAATTCATCCCACTTGGAAACATAGGTTTATTTCACCTTAAACATTTTTCTTCTACCTTCTTATATTTTAAAACCAAAAAATCTTATTTCTGTTTGACATATTCCTCAGAAAAGCCTATCCTGACTTCTCAGACTCAGTTAAGCAGTACATTTTATATCACTCTCTACCTCTTTTTAAATATTTATTGCAATTTTAATTAATTCTGTAATTTATTTTTTAATTATTTTATTTTATTTTATTTTATTTATTTTATTTTGTTTTATTTTATTTTATTTTATTTTATTTGAGACAGAGTCTTGTTCTGTCACCCAGGCTGGAGTGCAATGGTGTGATCTTGGCTCATTGCAACCTCCGCCTCCCAGGTTCAAGCGATTCTCCTCCCTCAGCCTCCTGAGTAGCTGAGATTACAGACACCATTACGCCCGGGAATTTTTTGTATTTTTCATAGAGATGGGGTTTCACCATGTTGACCAGGCTGGTCTCGAATTCCTGACCTCAAGTGATCCACCCGCCTTGCCTCCCAAAGTGCTGGGATTACAGGCATAAGCCACTGCGAACTGTAATTTATTTATTTATTTTTAGAGACGGTGTCTCACTCTGTTGCCCAGGCTGGAGTAGAGTGGTGCAATCACGGCTCACTGCAGCCTTGCTCAACCTCCTGAGCTCAAGCAATCCTCCCACCTCAGCCTCCTAAGTAGCTGGGACTGCAGGCATGCACCACCACGCTCAGGTAATTTTTGTATTTTTTGTAGAGACAGTGTTCTGCCATGTTGCCCAGGCTGGTCTCAAACTCCTGGGCTCAAGTGATCTACCTGCCCACTCCTCCCAAAATGCTGGGATTACAGGTGTGAACCACTATGCCCAGCCTGTAATTTATTTATATAATCTCAACACGCCCTGTTGGTTCTGTTTCTCTAGAGAACCCTGACCAATACAATTATTTAGTATCAGGCCAAGTTAAAGGTTTTTTTTTTGTTTTGTTTTTATTTTTTATTATACTTTAAGTTCTAGGGTACATGGGCACAGTGTGCAGGTTTGATACATAGGTATACACGTACCATGTTGGTTTGCTGAACCCATCAATTCCTCATTTACATTAGGTATTTCTCCTAATGCTATCTCTCCCCCAGCCTCCCACCACCTGACAGGCCCCGGTGTGTGATGTTCCCCACCCTGTGTCCAAGTGTTCTCATTGTTCAATTCCCACCTATGAGTGAGAACATGCGGTGCTTGATTTTCTGTCCTTGTGATAGTTTGCTCAGAATGATGGTTTCCAGCTTCATCCACATCCCTGCCAAGGACATGAACTCATCCTTTTTTATGGCTGCATAGTACTCCATGGTGTATATGTGCCACATTTTCTTAATCCAGTCTATCATTGATGGACATTTGGGTTGGTTCCAAGTCTTTGCTATTGTGAATAGTGCCACAATAAACATACGTGTGCATGATTTACAATCCTTTGGGTATATACCCAGTAATGGGATCGCTGGGTCAAATGGTATTTCTAGTTCTAGACCCTTGAGGAATCACCACACTGTCTTCCACAATGGTTGAATTAGTTTACACTCCCACCAACAGTGTAAAAGCGTTCCTATTTCTCCACATCCTCTCCAGCATCTGTTGTTTACTGCCTTCTTAATGATCGCCATTCTAACTGGTGTGAGATGGTATCTCATTGTGGTTTTGATTTGGATTTCTCTGATGACCAGTGATGATGAGCATTTTTTCATTTGTCTGTTGGCTGCATTAATGTCTTCTTTTGAGAAGTGTCTGTTCATATCCTTTGCCCACTTTTTGATGGGGTTGTTTTTTTCTTGTAAATTTGTTTGAGTTCTTTGTAGATTCTGGATATTAGCCCTTTGTCAGATAGGTAGATTGCAAAAATTTTTTCCCATTCTGTAGGTTGCCTATTCACTCTGATGGTAGTTTCTTTTGCTGTGCAGAAGCCCTTTCATTTAATTAGATACCATTTATCTATTTTGGCTTTTGTTGCCATTGCTTTTGGTGTTTTAGTCATGAAGTCCTTGCCCATGCCTATGTCCTGAATGGTATTGCCTAGGTTTTCTTCTAGGGTTTTTATGATTTTAGGTCTAACATTTAAGTCTTTAAACAATTTTGAATTAATTTTTGTATAAGGTGTAAGGAAGGGATGCAGTTTCATCTTTCTGCATATGGCTAGCCAGTTTTCCCAGCACCATTTATTATACAGGGAATCCTTTCTCCATTTCTTGTTTTTGTCAGGTTTGTCAAAGATCAGATGGTTGTAGACGTGTGGTGTTATTTCTGAGGCCTCTGTTCTGTTCCATCTGTCTATATCTCTGTTTCGGTACCAGTACCATGCTGTTTTGGTTACTGTAGACTTGTATAGTTTGAAGTCAGGTAGTGTGATGCCTCCAGCTTTGTTCTTTTTGCTTAGGATTGTCTTGGCAATGCAGGCTTTTTTTTGGGTCCATATGAACTTTAAAGTAGTTTTTTCCAATTCTGTGAGGAAAGTCATTGGTAGCTTAATGGGGATGGCATTGAATCTATAAATTACGATATTGATTCTTCCTATCCATGAGCATGGAATATTCGTCCATTTGTATGTGTCCTCTTTTATTTCATTGAGCAGTTGTTTGTAGTTCTCCTTGAAGAGGTCCTTTACATTCCTTGTAAGTTGGATTCCAAGGTATTTTATTCTCTTTGTAGCAATTGTGAATGGGAGTTCACTCATGATTTGGCTCTTTGTTTGTCTGTTATTGGTGTATAGGAATGCTTGTGATTTTTGCACATTGATTTTGTATCCTGAGACTTTGCTGAAGTTGCTTATCAGCTTAAGGAGATTTTGGGCTGAGACAGTGGGGTTTTCTAAATATACAATCATGTCATCTGCAAACAGGGACAATTTGACTTCCTCTTTTCCTAACTGAATACCCTTTATTTCTTTATCTTGCCTGATTGCCCTGGCCAGAACTTCCAACACTATGTTGAATAGGAGTGGTGAGAGAGGGCATCCTTGTCTTGTGCCGGTTTTCAAAGGGAATGCTTCCAGTTTTTGCCCATTCAGTATGATATTGGCTGTGGCTTTGTCATAAATAGCTCTTATTATTTTGAGATACGTTCCATCAATACCTAGTTTATTGAGAGGTTTTAGCATGAAGGGCTGTTGAATTTTGTCAAAGGCCTTTTCTGCATCTATTGAGATTATCATGTGGTTTTGTCATTGGTTCTGTTTATGTGATGGATCATGTTTATTGATTTGTGTATGTTGAACCAGCTTCAAATCCCAGGGATGAAGCCAACTTTATCATGGTGGATAAGTTTTTGATGTGCTGCTGGATTCAGTTTGCCAGTATTTTATTGCGGATTTCCGCATAGATGTTCATCATGGATATTGGCCTAAAATTCTCTTTTTTTGTTGTGTCTCTGCCAGGCTTTGGTATCAGGATGATGCTGGCCTCATAAAATGAATTAGGGAGGATTCCCTCTTTTTCTATTGATGGGAATAGTTTCAGAAGAAATGGTACCAGCTCCTCTTTGTACCTCTGGTAGAATTCGGCTGTGAATCCATCTGGTCCTGGACTTTTTTTGATTGGTAGGCTATTAATTATTGTCTTAATTCCAGAGCCTGTTACTGGTCTATTCAGAGATTCAACTTCTTCCTGGTTTAGTCTTGGGAGGGTGTATGTGTCCAGGAATTTATCCATTTCTTCTAGATTTTCTAGTTTATTTGTGTAGAGGTGTTTTGTTTGTTTGTTTGTTTGTTTGTTTTTGAGACACAGTCTCTCTGTGTCTCGCAGGCTGGAGTGCAGCGGCACGATCTTGGCTGACTGCAACCTCCACCTCCCAGGTTCAAGCGATTCTCCTGCCTCAGCCTCCCGAGTAGCTGGGACTACAGGGGCATGCCACCATGCCCCAGCTAATTTTTTTGTATTTTTAATAGAGATGGGGTTTCACTGTGTTAACCAGGATGGTCTCAATCTCCTGACCTCGTGATCCACCTACCTCAGCCTCCCAAAGTGCTGGGATTACAGGCGTGAGCCACCACGCCCGGCCTGTGTAGAGGTGTTTATAATATTCTCTGATGGTAGTTTGTATTTCTGTGGGATCAGTGGTGATAATCCCCTTTATCATTTTTTTTGGTGTCTATTTGATTCTTCTCTCTTTTCTTCTTTATTAGTCTTGCTAGTGGTCTATCAACTTTGTTGATCATTTCAAAAAACCAGCTCCTGGATTCATTGATTTTTTTGAAGGTTTTTTTGTCTCTCTATCTCTTTCAGTTCTGCTCTGATCTTAGCTATTTCTTGCCATCTGCTAGCTTTTGAATTTGTTTGCTCTTGCTTCTCTAGTTCTTTTAATTGTGATGTTAGGGTGTCAATTTTAGATCTTTCCTGCTTTCTCTTGTGGGCATTTAGTGCTATAAATTTCCCTCTACACATGCTTTAAATGTGTCCCAGAGATTCTGGTACGTTGTGTGTTTGTTCTCATTGGTTTCAAAGAACATCTTTATTTCTGCCTTTATTTCGTTATTTACCCAGTAGTCACTCAGGAGCAGATTGTTCAGTTTCCATGTAGTTGTGTGGTTTTGAGTGAGTTTCTTGATTCTTCTAATTTGATTGCACTGTGGTCTGAGAGACAGCTTGTTGTGATTTATTTTTATTTTTTCTTTTTCTTTTTTTTTTTGAGGTGGAGTCTCGCTCTGTCACCCAGGCTGGAGTGCAGTGGCGAGATCTCAGCTCACTGCAAGATCCACCTCCTGGGTTCACACCATTCTCCTGCCTCAGCCTCCCGAGTAGCTGGGACTACAGGCACCTGCCACCACGCCCGGCTAATTTTTTGTATTTTTACTAGAGACGGGGTTTCACTGTGTTAGCCAGAGTGGTCTCAATCTCCTGACCTCGTGATCCACCTGCCTCGGCCTCCCAAAGTGCTGGGATTACAGGCGTGAGCCACCGCGCCTGGCCTGTGATTTCTATTATTTTACATTTGCTGAGGAGTGCTTTACTTCCAATTATGTGGTCAATTTTGGAGTAAGTGTGATGTGGTGCTGAGAAGAATGTATATTCTGTTGATTTGGGATGGAGAGTTCTGTAGATGTCTGTTAGGTCTCCTTGGTGCAGAGCTGAGTTCAAATCCTGGATATCCTTGCTAACCTTCTGTCTCGTTGATCTGTCTAATATTGACAGTGAGGTGTTAAATTCTCCCATTATTATTGTGTGGAAATCTTAAGTCTCTTTGTAGGTCTCCAAGGACTTGCTTTATGAATCTGGGTGCTCCTGTATTGGGTTCATATATATTTAGGATAGTTAGCTCTTCTTGTTGAATTGATCCCTTTACCATTGTGTAATGGCCTTCTTTGTCTCTTTTGATCTTTGTTGGTTTAAAGTCCGCTTTCTCAAAAACTAGGATTGCAACCCCTGCCTTTTTTTCCTTTTCCTTTGCTTGGTAAATCTTCCTCCATCCCTTTATTTTGAGCCTATGTGTGTCTCTGCACGTGAGATGGGTTTCCTGAATACAGGACACTGATGGGTCTTGACTCTTTATCCAATTTGCCAGTCTGTGTCTTTTAATTGGGGTATTTAGCCCATTTACACTTAAGGTTAATATTGTTATGTGTGAATTTGATCCTGTCATTATGATGTTAGTTGGTTATTTTGCCCGTTAATTTATGCAGTTTCTTCATAGCATCGATGGTCTTTACAATTTGGCATGTTTTTGATGTGGCTGGTATTGGTTGTTTCTTTCCATGTTTAGTGCTTCCTTCAGGAGCTCTTGTAAGGCAGGTCTGGTGGTGACAAAATCTCCGCATTTGCTTGTCTGTAAAGGTTTTTATTTCTCCTTCACTTATGAAGCTTAGTTTGGCTGGATATGAAGTTCTGGGTTGAAAATTGTCTTCTTTAAGATTGTTGAATATTGGCCCCCACTCTCTTCTGACTTGTAGAGTTTCTGCCAAGAGATCCACTGTTAGTCTGATGGGCTTCCCTTTGTGGGTAACCTGACCTTTCTCTCTGGCTGCCCTTAACATTTTTTCCTTCATTTCAACCTTGGTGAATCTGACAATTATGTGTCTTGGGTTACTCTTCTCGAGGAGTATCTTTGTGGTGTTCTCTGTATGTCCTGAATTTGAATGTTGGCCTGTCTTGCTAGGTTGGGGAAGTTATCCTGGATAATACCCTGCAGAGTGTTTTCCAACTTGGTTCCATTCTCCCTGTCACTATCAGGTACACCAATCAAATGTAGATTTGGTCTTTTCACATAGTCTCGTGTTTCTTGGAGGCTTTGTTTGTTTCGTTTTACTGTTTTTTCTCTAAACTTGTCTTCTCGCTTTATTTCATTAATTTGATTTTCAATCACTGATACTCTTTCTTCCACTTGATCAAATCAGCTATCAAAGCTTGTGCATGGGTCACAAAGTTCTTGTGCCACAGTTTTTAGCTCCATCAGATCATTTAAGGTCTTTTCTACACTGTTTATTCTAGTTAGCCATTTGTCTAACCTTTTTTCAAGGTTTTTAGCTTCCTTGCGATAGGTTAGGTACACGCTCCTTTAGCTCAGAGTAGTTTTTTATTACCGACCTTCTGAAGCCTGCTTCTGTCAGCTCATCAAAGTCATTTTCCGTCCAGCTTCGTTCCATTGCTGGCAAGGAGCCGTGATCCTTTGGAGGAGAAGAGGCACTCTGGTTTTCAGAATTTTCAGCTTTTCTGCTCTGGTTTCTCCCCATCTTTGTGGTTTTATCTACCTTTGGTCTTTGATGTTGGTGATCTACAGATGGGGTTTTGGTGTAGATGTCCTTTTTGTTGATGTTGATGCTATTCCTTTCTATTTGTTAATTTTCCGTCTAACAGTCAGTTCCCTCAGCTGCAGGTCTGTTGGAGTTTGCTGGAGGTCCACTCCAGACTCTGTTTGCCTGGGTATCACCAGCAGAGGCTACAGAACAGCAAATATTGTAGAACAGCAAATATTGCAGAACAGCAAATATTGCAGAACAGCAAATATTGCAGAACAGCAAATATTGTAGAACAGCAAATATTGCTGCCTGATCCTCCCTCTGGAAGTTTCATCCCAGAGGGGCATCCGCCTATATGAGGTGTCAGTCAGCCCCTACTGGGAGGTGTCTCCCAGTTAGGCTACACGGGGTTCAGGGACCCACTTGAGGAGGCAGTCTGTCCATTCTCAGAGCTCAAACGCCGTGCTGGGAGAACCACTGCTCTCTTCAGAGCTGTCAGACAGGGACGTTTAAGTCTTCAGAAGTTGTCTGCTGCCTTTTGTTCAGCTATGCCCTGCCCACAGAGGTGGAGTCTATAGCGGCAGTAGGCCTTGCTGAGCTGTGGTGGGCTCTGCACAGTTTGAGCTTCCTGACCTCTGTGTTTATCTACTCAAGCCTCAGCAATGGCAGATGCCCCTCCCCCAGCCAGGCTGCCGCCTCGCAGTTCAATCTCAGGCTGCTGCCCTAGCAGTGAGCAAGGCTCCGTGGGCATGGGACCCACCGAGCCAGGCACGAGAGAGAATCTCCTTGTCTGCCAGTTGCTAAGACCTTTGGAAAACCATGGTATTTGGGCAGGAGTGTCCCATTTTTCCAGGTACAGTCTGTCATGGCTTCCCTTGGCTAGGAAATGGAAATCCCCCAACCCCTTGTGCTTCCCGGGTGAGGTGATGCCCTGCCCTGCTTTGGCTCGCCCTCCGTGGGCTGCATCCACTGTCCAACCAGTTCCAATGAGATGAACCAGGTACCTCAGTTGGATATGCAGAAATCACCAGCATCAATCATGCTGGGAGCTGCAGACTGGAGCTGTTCCTATTCAGCCATCTTGGAACAGAGCTCAAGAGTGTAAAGGGTTTTAAAAACATTTTTTGAAAGATAGAAATGGTCCAGAAGGGTTTTTTAAAGCAAAATATGTATTTAAATTATGGTAGATATGAAACCATATATAATGAAAGATTAACATCTGGATTTTAAATTTTTATTGTTCTTTAAAAAATACATCAGAGAAATGAAGGAAGGAAGGGAGGGAGGGAGGGAGGGAGGGAGGGAAGGTATTGCCTTCCATAGGACAAAAATACCTTCATGTTCTCTTCCTTTCCTCCATCTCCAGGCATTCAGCCTCCAGGTCTTTCCATCCAGTAGCGTGGAAGGGCTGGGAAGTTAAGGCTATGACTTTCAACTGACACTGTAGGTTACAACGATTTTGTAGATACTAGAGGAAACATGGGCCTTGCCAAATGCTGAGGAAATGGTGAATATGGTTTGGCTTGTGTCCCCACCCAAAATCTCATCTTGAATTGTAATTCCTATAATCCCCATAATCCCCAAATGTCAAGGGAGAGACCAGGTGGGGGTAATTGAATCATGGGGGCAGTTTCCCTCATATTGTTCTCATGAGATCTGATGGTTTTATAAATGTTTGGTAGTTCCTCCTGCATTCACTCTCCTTCCTGCCGCCTGGTGGAGAAGGTGCCCGCTTCTCCTTTGCCTTCTGTCATGATTATAAGTTTCCCGAGGCTTCCCAGCCATGCTGAACTGTGAGTCAATTAAACCTCTTTCCGTTATAAATTACCCAGTCTCGGGCAGTTCTTTATAGCAGTGTGAAAATGGACTAATACCAAGGTTGTAGTCTGGAAAAGGAGGGAAGGATCAAAGTTGGGAGAAGTTAAAAGAACATGGGAGAAAGGAGAACACAGTAGCACAAGGAAGGGAGGAGCGTTCTGTATCCCACTTGCTTCACCTGGTTAAGGCCTGGACGAGGAGACTGCCCATAGGGATGAGTTCCAGTAAAGACATGAGGTCTCTTTTTCCCCCTTACAGTATGGCTACTTCCTTGGGGTACTCAGAGTAAAGAGCACACGGGGTATCTGTTGCAGTTGCATGGTTGTGTGCTCATACCACAGAGAGAAGAGAATAAAACGAAGTCTCTCACCCCAGTCAGTGACAGACACCTGACTGGTGGTGTCTTCAATGTGGATGAAAAACTGGACAGACCCTCTTGGAGATGACTGTCAGATAGAGAGTAAGGTTGAATTACCTAAACAGCTTCCATCTTTCTCCATGGGCTGAATCGCAGTTGAGACTTTCTCTTCTTCTATTTGGGAATTAGTTTGCTTACCGTTATAAAATGTACAATCCATACCATCTTTCCTTTTACTTTTTGTTTGGTGTGTTTTAAATGATGCCTTATCTATAATACACCTAAAGACCCTGACTTGCTCTCCAAAGTGATTACTCTAATTAGTATTTCCACCAGCTATATGAGAGCTCCTGTTCCACAGTCTCAACACTTGATATTGTCGGACGTTTAAATTTTCCTAAACTGATACATATGAAATAATATCTTATAGTTTTAATGAAGTTGAATGTTTAAGAAATCTATTTATTGATCATTCAATTTTCCTCTTCTGTGAATTGCATCTTCATGGTCTTGCCATATATTTGTGAGGAGTCTTGCTTTTTCTCTTGATTCATAGGAGTTCTTTAGTATTATCTGGATACTAGTCCTTTACTGGTTATATGCACTATAAATCTCTTGTTTCAACATGTGACTTGTCTCTTTCACCTTATTTATTGCTTTTTAAAAATTTTTAAAGAAGTTGTAAAATTTTAAGGGATAGTATTTGTTTTTTTAAAAAAATAGGTAAGACATTGATATGATTTGGCTGTGTCCCCACCCAAATCTCATCTTGAATTACCACATGTTGTGGGAGGGACCCAGTGGGAGGTAATTGAATTATGGGGGCAGGTCTTTCCCATGCTGTTCTCGTGATAGTAAGTCTCACGAGATCTGATGACTTTATAAAGAGGAGTTTCCCTGAATATGCTCTCTCTCTCTTTGCCTGCTGCCATCCACGTAGATATGACTTGCTCCTCCTTGTCTTCCACCATGATTGTGAGGCCTCCCCAGCCACGTGGAACTGTAAGTCCATTAAACCTTTTTTCCTGTATAAATTACTCAGTCTCAGGTATGCCTTTATCAGCAACGTGAAAATGGACTAATACAGACATTCTTGAAGTTCAAAATTCAAAGGCATGAAAGTACCCAGTGAAAAATCTCCCTCAGGCTGGTCATGATGGCTCATGCCTGTAATCCCAGCACTTTGGGAGGCTGAGGTGGGTGGATCCCTTGAGGTCAGGAATTCAAGACCAGTCTGGCCAACATGGTGAAATCCTGTCTCTACTAAAAATACAAAAATTAGCCAGGTGTGGTGGCAGGTGCTTGTAATCCCAGCTACTCAGGAGGCTGAGGCACAAGAATCACTTGAACCTGGGAGGAGGAGGTTGCAGTGAGCTGAGATTGTGCCACTGCACTCCAGCCTGGGCAACAGAGTGAGACTCTGTCTCAAAAACAAACAAACAAAAACCTCCCTCCTACTCCATCTAGCCTTCTAGTTTCCTTTCTTGCAAGGAAAACAATGCAAAAAAAATGCTATGCTGCTACAATAAATAACCTTTTACAAATAATCGTTCTTCAGTTTTATCTGTATGACAAATTCCTAGCAATGGAATTGCTGGGTCAAGGATATATGCACTTGTAATGTTGATAGTTATTGCCAAATTGCCCTCCATAGAAATTGAGCCAATTTACCCTCCCACCAACAAAGCCCCCACTTTCCTGCACCTTCGCTGACACAGTGTGTTACAGAACTGATCTTTGCAAGTCTAATAGGTTAAAAAGAGGGATATCTCAATATAGCTTTTAAAATAAAATGTATTTTATTTTATTTATTTTTCAAATAGGTGATATATGCACATAGTATAAAATTTAAAGGAAACAAAAAGGTAAACAGTAACAATTAAGTCTGCCTTACACCTTTATTCCATAGCACCCAGTTCTGTCTAGAGGGAACACAGTTACTAGCTTCTAGTATATCCTTCTAGAGATATTCTATGCACATCCAAACACATATTTAAATATGGGAGGATTTCTCTTATTTGGACAGACTTGTGTTTTCTTTTGCGTTGCAGTCTACAGTGATCAAAAGGCTCTTGCCATCACTATAGCTAGAAATATCTTCCTGTTGGAATTTTTCTTATTTTTGAGACAGGGTCTTACTCTGTTGCCCAGGCTGGAGTGCCGTGGCACCATCAATGCAGCCTTGACCTCCCAGGCTCAAGCGACCCCCAATCCTCCTTCCTCAGCCTTCCCAGTAGCTGGGACTACAGGCATGTACCACCACACCTGGCTAATTTAAAAATTTTTTGTAGACATAAGGTCTCACTCTGTTGCCCAGGCTGGTCTCAAACTCCTGGGCTGGGCTCAAGTGATGTTCCTGCCTCAGCTTCCCAAAGTGCTGAGATTACAGCTGTGAGCCACGGTGCCTGGCCTCTGCTGGAATTTTGAAAGCATTGTTCCATTGTCTTTAAGCTTCGTGTTGGTGCTAAGAAATCTGAAACCATTCTGATTATTGATCCTCTGTAGATAACCTGTTCTCTTTTCTTCCCTCTAGAAGTTTTTCCTTCCTGTTTCTGAAATTTCCCCATGGTATACTTTGGGGTTGGTCTGCATTTTTTTTTTCCATTATGCTGAGCACTAGGTACAAACTTCTAATCTGAAAACTTGTGTTCTTTAGTTTGAGGATGTTTTCTTGAATTATTTCTTTGATTTTTGTTTTTCTCTCTGCTTTCTGATCTCTCTTTCTGATGTTGGACAACTTGGCCTGGTCCTCTAATTTTATATTTGGTTTTCTATTCTCCACTTCATTGCCTTTTTACTCTACTTTCTGAGATTTCCTCAACTTTATCTTCCAATGCTTTTTTTTTCCATTTCTGTTATTATGTTTAAGACCTCTTGCTTGTTTCCTAAATGTTCCCTTTTTATGGCATTTTCTTTCTTATTATAGTTTTTTTTAAAAAGCTTTATATTCTGAGTTAGAGATTTTCCTGCAATGTTTGTTAAACCTTGGTTGTCTGTTTCACAAGAGTTTAAAAAACTAGTGAGAATTCTGAGCTAGTGAGTGGGGCTTATCAACTTTGAGTTTCACTCTACAGGATTTGGTGGCCTGTGTGTTGATGAATCTCTAACGTCAGTCTCTTTAGGTAAAATTTCCACTTGTATAGAAATTTTCAGTCTCTTGCTTGGTGAGTAAACTTCTGGCTGCTGCTATTCTGGGAGCCAAATGGTGGAAGGCAGTTTGGGGAGGGCTGTCATTTCAGGATTAAGCATTTAGTGTGCTTTTGGCTTCTGATTTGCCTATTTTTGGTACAGTACCAAATGCCTTGTCTGTGCCTGATATCCTCAAAGACCCTTCAATTTACTTTTTATAGGGAATAGCTTCGAGATTTCTCCTGGAGTAGGAGAAAGGCAGTTATTCTGGGGAAAGAAGGGGCAGAGAGATCTAGGGATGTACTGTTTCTTAAACGGCTCTCATCCTATCTTTCTTATTTTAGCACCTGCCATGCTTTGCTGCTTTACTGTTAGCGCCAGAGACACTCTCATTCTCAGTTCCTGAGACTTTTAAAAGTAAATCAGGTGGTTTCTCAGCTTTCCCTCCACTTGCCAACTTAGGGTTGAGCTGTTGTAAGTCTGCAGTCATAATCACAGATCCATCTGCCTCTAGCTTCTAATATGGTGTAGCTACATTTCCTCTTCTACCTCCCTGTTCTGGAGGGCATACGTGTCCTTTAAAATCACATTAATGTGGTTTTCCTAGGTTAGAGAAAGCAAAGTTAGATACATCTAATTCAATCAGACATCTTAACCTTGAACCTCAATTTTTAAAATGTTAATGTAATCAAATGTATTTATGGTTGTCTCTATGGTTTGTGCTATTCATGACTTCCCTTCCAAATTTTTGGTTTAAAATAGTAATATGTTTTTTTCATTATCATTTTGGTATTATCTTTAACCCTGGAAGTTATTATTTCAATTTATTTATTTATTTATTTATTTATTTATTTATTTATTTATTTATTTATTTTGAGATGGAGTCTTGCTCTGTTGCCCCGACTGGAATGCAGTGGCATGATCTTGGCTCACTGCAACCTCCGTCTCCTGGGTTCAAGTGATTCTCCTGCCTTAGCCTCCCGAGTAGCTGGGACTACAGTCATGTGCCACCACACCTGGCTAATTTTTGTATTTTTAGTAGAGATGGATTTTCACCATGTTGACCAGGCTGGTCTTGAACTCTTGACCTCAAGTGATCCTCCTGCCTTGACCTCCCAAAGTGCTGGGATTACAGGCATGAGCCAGCTCTCCTGGCCTATTATTTCAATTTAAATATGAGGAATTGAGGCTGAGTGTAAATGACTTGCCCAAGTTTACCCAGTTAGCACATTATATTAGTTCTAAGTTTAGGACTGACCCCTCCAAGTTTGCTGATGCTAGGCCAGGACTACATGGTACCAACTCTTGATATTCTGAAATGAATTTTCTTTCCTTCTCTTTAATTTCTAAATTTTTTTTGTACTTAACCTCTTGAATTTTTACTCTGTTAGGGACTGAATTGCGTTACCCCCAAATTCTTATATTGAAACCCTAACCTTCAATGTAACTGTATGTGGAGATAGAACCTTTGAAAAGGTACCTAAGGTTAAATGTGGGCATAAAGGTGGGTCCCTAATTCGATAGAACAAGTATCCTTAGAAGGAAACAAAGAGACACCAGGGATGTGAGCACCGAGGAAAGGTCACGTGAGGACACAGTAAGAAGGGCCATCTGCAAGCCAAGGAGAGAAGTCTCAGGAGAACCAAACCCTGGTGACATTTGGATCTTGCACTTCCAGCCTTCAGAACTATGAGAAAAATGGATTTCTCTTGTTTAAGCCATGCAGTCTGAGGTGTTTCTCTATGGCAGCCCTAGCAGATTAATGCACTGTCTCTCAATCTGCTTTGCACACCAACCTCTTTTGTTAGTGCATTGGATTAATATTTATTACCTATAGAAAGTTAATGATGACCCCCAAATCCCTGGGTTGTCTGGCAGCAAAGAACAATCTCAGCAAATGGGTTGTCCTCAGTTCTGTTTCTTGGTTGTGTGGCTTCCTGAATCATAGGCCGCTTGCCTGCCTAGTTTATTCTCTAGGTCTTCATACGATGTAGGAAGAGTCAACATGGTGGAAAGATGAATCCAAAGAAGAAAGGTTTTTTTCCCTGAAGCCAAGAGCCCAAATGGCCAAGTCTCACACCCCAAGCCTCCTTTCCCTCGGATCTCACCCTGGCCCCATTAGCCTTTCTTCTTTTCTCTTTTCTTTTCTTTTCTTTTTTCTTTTCTCTTTTCTTTTCTTCTCCCTTCCTTCCTTCCTTTCTCTCTCTCTCTCTTTCTTTCTTTCTTTCCTTCACAGTCTTGCTCTGTCATCCACACTGGAGTGCAGCGGCACCGATCTTGGCTCTATAGCCTCCACCTCCCAGGTTCAAGCGATTCTCCTGCCTCAGCCTCCCAAGTAGCTGAGAGGCAGGGTTTCACCATGTTGGCCAGGCTGGTCTCAAACTCCTGCCCTCAAATGATCCACCAACCTCGGCCTCCCAAAGTGCTGGGATTACAGGTGTGAGCCACCGCGGCCAGCCCCCATTAGCCTTTCAAAGTGAGATGGCTTCTCTGGGGAAGAGCCAGCCCCATGCTTTTCCCATCTCCAGTTCCTTCGTACTGCCCCACTTCCCTTGTATGAGAGAGGGAGAAAAAGGAACTGGAAAAAGAGAGTAAAAAGGGTCAATCCAACAGAAACACATCCCTGAGTATCTTGTCTCAATTATTGAGAGATATCCCTGAGAAAAGCATTCTCCCTTGACTCACACTGGAGTACTTTTCCTTTGCAGGTAGGCACACAAGGAAACCATTTAGTTTGTAGCTAAAGCATGCATCACTTAACTTTAGTTAAAAAGCTTACTGGCAGGGTGCGGTGGCTCACGCCTGTAATCCCAGCACCTTGGGAGGCCGAGGCAGGCGGATCACTTGAGGTCAGGAGTTCAAGACCAGCCTGGCCAACATGGTGAAGCCCCATTTCTACTAAAACTAAAAATAAAAAAATTCGCTGGGCATGGTGGTGGGCCCATGTAATCCCAGCTAGGAGGAAGGAGAATCCCTTAAACCCAGGAGGCAAGGTTGCAGTGAGCAGAGATCGCACCACTGCACTCCAACCTGGGCGACAGAGTGAGACTGTCTCAAAAAACAAACAAACAAAGAAACAAACAAAACTTAATTTAGGCCAGGCACAGTGGCTCATGCCTGTAATCCCAGCACTCTGGGAGGCCGAGGCAGGTGGATCACTTGAGGTCGGAGTTTGAGACCAGCCTGGTCCCCGTCTCTACTAAAAATACAAAAATTAGCCAGTGCCTATAATCCCAGCTACTCAGGAGGCTGAAGCAGAAGAATTGCTTGAACCCAAGAGTCAGAGGTTGCAGTAAGCCGAGATTGAGATCATACCACTGCACACCAGCCTGGACAACAGAGCGAGACTCTGTCTCAAAGAAAAAAATTATTTTTAAGTATATTTTAAAACTTGGGGGCTGTTGGTGGACAATCTAAGGTAACAAAATAAAAGTTATTCTAATGCATGTGATTATTATGCAATCCCCCTTAATTGAATGAAGTATCCTTCTTCCCCCAAGGCTATATTCTTTTTTCAATTCCAGGAAATTTTCTCTTTCATATTCTTGACTTGTGGTTTTTCAAGCTGCCTGTTGGTTGTGTTTACTCAGAAACCCCTTTGGTTAGGACTTTGAATTTGCATACCCTGTTTTCTGAGTTAATTAAGCCTTCTTGACTTCTTGTGATAGGACTACTTAGTGCTCTTTCGTTTTTCAGTTTTTTGCTGTGTTGGTGTGTGTGTGTGTTTGTTTTTTGTTTTTTGTTTTTTTTTTTTTTTGAGACAGAATCTTGCTCTGTTGCCCAGGCTGGAGTGCAGTGGCGCAATCTCAGCTCACTGCAGCCTCTGACTCCCAGGTTCAAGCAATTCTCCTGCCTCAGACTCCCGAGTAGCTGGGATTATAGGCATGCACCACCACTCCTGGCTAATTTTTGTACCTTTAGGAGATACAGGGTTTTACCATGTTGGCCAGGCTGGTCTCAAACTCCTGACCTCATGATCCACCCACCTCAGCCTCCCAAAGTGTTGGCATTACAGACGTGAGCCACTGTGCCCAGCCATTTTTCATTTTATTTGTTGATTCACCATTCTGTAAGTCAGTATACTGTTTTCTGTTTCCATTCATGCAGTGTGGAGTCTATCAACAACTATGGTCTTTCTCAGAGATTTGACACCCACTCCCAGCACTGCCACTTACTAGCTGAATGAGAGAGGCATGTCAGTTGATCCCTTTGAGGATCAGCGTCCTCCATCAAAGGGGCCTCCTTCCTCAGAGGACTGCTACAGAGAGAAGTGAGATACTGTATATATTAAAATGCTCTGTTGGCTGGGTGCGGTGGCTCATGTCTGTAATCCCAGCACTTTGAGAGGCCAAGTAGAAGGATCACTGGAGCCAAGGAGTTTGACACCACGCTGGGCAACATAGGGAGACATTTTCTCTACTGAAAAAAAAAAATTATTCCAGTGTGGTGGCACGTGCCTGTGATCCCAGCTACTTGGGAGGCTGAGATGGGAGGATCACTTGAGGCTAAGATGGGAGGATCACTTGAGCTTGTGAAGTCAAGGCTGCAGTGAGCCATGATTGCACCACTGCACTCTGGCATGGGTGACAAAGTGAGACCCTGTCTCAAGAGTAAAAAACAAGGCCTGGGGCAGTGGCTCAAGCCTGTAATCCCAGCACTTTGGGAGGCCAAGGTGGGCAGATCACCTGAGATCAGGAGTTCGAGACTAGCCTGGACAACATGGCAAAACCCCATCTCTACTAATAATATAAAAATTAGCCAGGCATAGTGGCACATGCTAGTCCCAGCTACTCAGAAGGCTGAGGCACGAAAATCACTTGAACCTGGGAGACAGAGGTTGCAGCGAGCTGAGATTGCACCACTATACTCCAGCCTGGGCAACAGAGACTTCGTCTCAAAAAAAGAAAAAAAAAAAAAAAAAGAACAAACAAACCTCTGTTAACAATAGAAGATTTGGCCAGGTATGGTGGCTCACACCTGTAATCCCAGCACTTTGGGAGGCTGAGGCAGTCAGATCACCTGAGGTCAGGAGTTCAAGATCAGCCTGGCCACCATGGTGAAACTCCGACTCTGCTAAAAACACAAAAATTAGCCGGGCGTGGTTGTGAGCACCTGCAATCCCAGCTACTTGGGAGGCTGAGGCAGGAGAATCGCTAGAACCCGGGAGGTGGAGGTTGCAGTGAGCCAAGATGGCACCACTGCACTCCAGCCTGGGCAATAGAGTGAGACTCCATCTCAAAACAAAAAAAAACAAAAAACAAAAAACAATAGAACATTATAAAATTGTTATTGCTCTATGATGTTTATCATTATCTGTTCTAGATTCTAATACTCCTACTTTTACTTTCTGGGTTCTTGTTTTATCCTGAATTTACACTGAAATTTTGTTTTTGTTGTTGGCCCCAGATTTGTTAATTTTATGTTGTTCTTTTTGTATTGGTACTTCCCTTATCTCAGGCACTTTAATTGGAATTTTAGTGGAATTAATATGAAAAAAAGAGCTCCATCTAACACCATAAACTACAAAGACCTAAAGAGAAGCATTTTCATTATTTTTTTTTTCCGTTTAGGTGGAGGGTTGATCTCGCATTGTACTAATTGAGTAAATTGAATGTGAAAAAGGTGTTGAGAGTTGAGCCATCTAGGTGTGAAGAGACAAGAACACATTAAGCACGTGTAAAGAAAAGCTCAGATTGAAGAGGTGGTTGGATTTTGTGGAAGCCAAAATCACTCCTCTGATAGGTCTTAGTTATAGGGTGATAATTTTAGGAACAAGAGACTTAAGGGAATTAAATACTGTGTAGAAAATGCCCTTCTCAGTGAAATAAAGAAAAGAAGATTAGAGAATATTTATATCCTAGTGACCACAAAAATAACATAAACAAAGAGAAATGGGCCAAAGGTCTTTTAAGTTATTCATACTTTGAATTTAGTTGCAAGATTCCCTTCCTATGTTTACTAATGTGGTGAGACCAAAGCTAGGATATGTAATAATTTAATCAATTAATCTTGTAAAGCATATTTACTATAAAGCTTATTTACTAAAAGAAACTGTATTTGTTCTAGTAAAGTACTCAAAAGAAATTGAATTTGATCATACTAGCTATGAATGATCTCACCAGCCCTGTGATAACCTGCCACACTGTAAATGAATTTGTAAACCTTGTGTTCAATTAATACATTACCATATATACTATGTGGAATTTGAGTGGCTATCTACTATTGGTGCAGAAAAAAATGAAAATATTTCCTCTGATTCATCCAAGCAGAGTGTGTGTCCTTTTTTTCCACAAGTGAGAGAAAGAATTAAAAGAAACAAAAAAAGGAATAAGAAGGAGAAGAATGGTAAGAAAAGCAATAAGAGAAGATATTTGAGACCGTGAAGCCTTCCGTGAAAGAAGGCTGCCAGTCCAGAATTAGAGCTCATGGTCTCTGGTCTTGGATTAATCAGGTACCATTTGCTTGAACTCTGAAGATACAGAGAAAAGAGATGGATTTCTTCAGTAATTAACAGTTTGACAAGACTTCTAATTTTGATACTAAGCTAGATAACAGTTAGTTCTTAGGATAAAAGTAGAGACCATTCTAGTCATATAGAGAGAAAACATCAAGCCAAGTGGGAAGGAGATGGACTTAAAGGATGGAAAGATACAATTTAGCTTCAGACTGATGGAAGGTAGAATTTCTAAATAACTATAATTATTGATTGGTTCATAGTTTGTTCCTCAAGAAAGAATAACAACTTTAATAACATGGGTATACTTTACTCAAAACTTCTTTTTTTTTTTTTTTGAGACAGAGTCTCACTCTGTTGCCCAGGCTGGAGTGCAGTGGCTCACTGTAAGCTCTGCCTCCCAGGTTCACGCCATTCTCCTGCCTCAGCCTCCCGAGTATCTGGGACTACAGGCGCCCGCCACCACGCCCAGCTAATTTTTTTTCTATTTTTAGTAGAGACGGGGTTTCACTGTGTTAGCCAGGATGGTCTCAAACTCCTGACCTTGTGATCCACCCGCCTCGGCCTCCCAAAGTGCTGGGATTACAGGCATAAGCCACCACGCCCGGCCCACTGTAGTCAAAGCTTCTGTGTCTTACTCCTGAAGTAAGGGTACAGCAAAATAAACTGGGGAACAACATCCTTGAGTAACAACATTGGAGGAGGCAACAAGTCAGCAGCAGACATTGTAAATAAGAGTCCACCTAACCTAAGTAAAAGGGTCTTTTCTTTTTGAGATAGGGTTTTGCTCTGTGATCCAGGCTGGAATGCAGTGGCAGGATCATAGCTCACTGCATCCTTGACCCCCTGGTTCCAAGCAATCCTCCCACCTCAGCCTCCCAGGCAGCTGGAACCACAGGCATGCGCCACCATGCTGGGCTAATTTTTTTATTTTTGTAGAGATGGGGTCTCCCTATGTTGCCCAGGCTAGGAGTCCTTTCTTGTTCTAACATGGCTCACTAGAATTCTGCACTGGTATTGAGAACCAAGGCCCAGGCAGGAACTGCATTATTTAACCATACTTTGTTCTCTGGGACTATATTTCCTTCAGGCGTGCTACAAATTGCAGCAATAGAGCATTTTAACTGTCTTGTTGAAGGTAGACTAGGATCTTTGCATCTCATATTCTAACCTCATATTTATCAAAAATATAGGTACCTTATTTTGACATGACATGTAGGTAGAAACAGGCAATGAAATACGGTGCAACCATTAAAAATGATACGTAAAATATTTAATGACGAGGAAAATGATACACTGCAAGATGAAACTGATTATTAAACTATAAATAATGATGATTACATTTTTAAAAACTTTATAATTCTATATACATAAAATAGGGAAAGATATAAAGCAGAATATCTCTGCCATTAAAATTATGTTTACAGAAAAAATAAGAACACAAGAGAACAACTTGTAATGTTTAATGAAAAATGGTAGAAATATGGGATCTAATTAAACTAAAGAGCTTCTGTACAACAAAAGAAACTACCATCAGAGTGAACAGGCAACCTACAGAATGGGAGAAAATTTTTGCAATCTACTCATCTGACAAAGGGCTAATATCCAGAATCTACAATGAACTCAAACAAATATACAAGAAAAAAACAAAGAACCCCATCAAAAAGTGGGCAAAGGATATGAACGGACACTTCTCAAAAGAAGACATTTATGCAGCCAAAAAACACATGAAAAAATGCTCATCATCACTGGCCATCAGAGAAATGCAAATCAAAACAACAATGAGATACCATCCCACACCCGTTAGAATGGCAATCATTAAAAAGTTAGGAAGCAACAGGTGCTGGAGAGGATGTGGAGAAATAGGAACACTTTTACACTGTTGGTGGGACTGTAAACTAGTTCAACCATTGTGGAAGTCAGTGTGGCGATTCCTCGGGGATCTAGAACTAGAAATACCATTTGACCCAGCAATCCCATTACTGGGTATATACCCAAAGGATTATAAATCATGCTGCTGTAAAGACACATGCACACGTATGTTTATTGCGGCACTATTCACAATAGCAAAGACTTGGAACCAACCCAAATGTCCAACAATGATAGACTGGATTAAGAAAATGTGGCACATATACACCATGGAATACTATGCAGCCATAAAAAATGATGAGTTCATGTCCTTTGTAGGGACATGGATGAAGCTGGAAACCATCATTCTCAGCAAACTATCGCAAGGACAAAAAACCAAACACCACATGTTCTCACTCACAGGTGGGAATTGAACAATGAGAACACATGGACACAGGAAGGGGAACATCACACACCGGGGCCTGTTGTGGGGTGGGGAGAGGGGAGAGGGATAGCATTTGGAGATATACCTAATGCTAAATGATGAGTTACTGGGTGCAGCACACCAACATGGCACATGTTTACATATGTAACTAAACTGCACATTGTGCACATGTACCCTAAAACTTAAAGTATAATAAAAAAAGATTAAAAAAAGAAAAATGGTAGAAATAATATTATATGATTTGTGACAGAACAAAATGTGATTTTGACTTTGTTGAATTTGGACAGAGAAGAAACTGGAAGGGAGACATGAGAAATTGGCAGTGGTTTTCCCTTAGTGCTGGAATTATGAGTGAGTTTGGTGAGTTATTTTTCTTTATACTTTTCTGTTCTCTTTAAATGCGCATGTAATTTATTTATGATAATGTAAATACTTCTTAAATGTCTGTAACTCTTCAAAAGTGATGCTTCAGGATAAATGAGCTGCTAAGCATTTTAAGAATTTACGTAACTCTAATATACTGGAGGGAAGGGATGGATCTGAAAGGCTACCATCAGTAAGAGGAATAAAACTTGCTCTGTGTCCTCCAGAAGTCTGGACAGTGATCAGCAGGTAATAGACACAGAGGAACTGATTTCAACTTTTGAAAAAGAGTTTTCCACTAATTAACACTGTCCCACGGCGGAATAGGTTCCCTGAAGATGTTGAGTGCTGAAAGTGATCAAGCAGAGGCTAGAGGGCTTCTTGCCTGGGAGCAGGGGAGGGTTGGGGGAGAAGGACAAGAGGACAGTGGGGTAGGTGACCTCTAGCATCATTGTCACTGCTAATATTCTATCTGTGCATTCATTTGCTCATTCACACAGCTTCCAAGATGGCCCCCAATGATCCTTGCCAGTGGAGTATTCATGCCCTTGTGCAATTCCCTCCCAGACTGAACAAGCTGATCAAAATAATCAACAGGATACTCGTGGAAAAGATGGTGCATGACTTCAAACATAAAGATTTGGTAGCTTCTGCCTTGCTCTCTCTTGAGTTGCTCACTCTGGAGTAAGCCAACTGTTGTGTCATGAGGACACTCAAGCAGCCTGTGGAGAGGCCTGAGAGGAGAGGAACTGAGGACTGCCAATACCTGACAGAAACGTGCCAGGTATGTGAGTGATTCACCTTGGAAATAGACCTCCAGCCCAGACAAGCCTTCAAACGACCACATCCCCTGACATCTTGTCTGTAACTTCAGAGAGACCCTAGCAGAATGATCCAGGTAAGCCATGCCTGAATTCCTGACCCATAAAGACTGTGTGGGATTAAGTCACTAAAATTGGGGGTAATTTTTTAATATTAGATAACAATGCGATACATTTTTACCTGAAATGTAAACAGGTAAAATCTGTTATGATTTGTTCCATAACAGAGTTAATATTCTGTGATTCAGTCATTTCAGCTGAACTATTGACAAGTTTTCCTTAATAAGGCAAAATCCCCAACTGTGATAGATGCATAACGGTAGCCGCTCCACTTAAGCAGTACAGTTTAACCCGCCACCATTCGATGTCTTAACATGTTCCAAGAAGAACAATGTCATCTTGGTTTTAAGGTGATGCATCTTGTTTTTTTCTGATAGAAAAAGAATAATGTGCTTTTTATTCTCCTAGAGATTTGGTGTCTGTGAATGGTTGTAGCTCTGTGACATTTACCATACATTTCTCAGCTTCCACCCATCAATTTGCTGAGAAAAAAAGGTATGCTACAAATCGCAGCAATAGAGCACTTTAAAAAGGTAATTTTCAGCATTTTGGCACCTAAAAGGGAAACTTTCATCTGCTTACACAGGCCAGAAGCAAAGACAAAGATTGCATGTTGTTCTTACAGATGACTTAAATCATCTCTTTGATGATAAAAATATTTTTAAGCCGTGAAAGTTATGAGATATTCTGGGTAAGCCTGATTATCAAAGAATACCACAAATAGCTTTGGAGATCGTGTATTGTTTGTCACTGAGTCAAAGAGATCTGTGGGATTGTGAGGATTCTTGGGTGGAGGGGTGACTAATCCTGCACGTCCCTTTGTGAAGACTCCAGTAAGTACTCGCACAACGTACATGTGCTTTCTCCCATTGCTGTCTGGCTTGGAGTAGGTGTCCTTGGCAGAATAACTGGCATCCACAGCAAAATAGGTTCCTTTTCCATAGGATACAGCTGGAAAGAGAAAGACAAAAACCTTCCTAAGAATATAAAATTACACAATGTGTAGAACCATGCCCAATCTGACAAAATTGTTTTCTAAATGCAGTTTTAGCCAGGTGTGTTGGCTCATGCCTGTAATCCCAACACTTTGGGAGGCTGAGGCAAGAGGATTGCTTAAGGCCAGGAGTTCGAGACCAGCCTGGCTAGCATTATGAGACCCCTTCTCTACAAAAATAAAACAAAATTATTAGCCAGGCATAGTGGTGCATGCCTGTAATCCCAGCTACTCAGGGGACTGAGGTGGGGGCATCATTTGAGCTCAAGAGATCAAGGCTGCAGTGAGCCATGATCTTGCCACTGCACTCCAGTTTGGGTGACAGAATGAGACCGTCTAAAAAAAAAAGCCCATTAAAAAAAAAACTGCACGTTAAAGTTATTTTTCATCATTTCTAAAATTCACTCCATCTTCCCTTAGAAGGTTGCCAGTCTCCTTTACAGTGAAACACAGTGAGCTCTATTCTGACAGTGATAATACAGCTGCCCACCATGGTTCCACACTGCTTGGGTATGAAAAGTCTGAGACTATTGTTTGCCTTATTCTGATCAGCCAAATTACTTGCTTCCTTACCATTTTTCCCAGCACAACTTCTATTAAAGCCGTGCTGATTGACATATGGCACTGAGTCTGCATCTGTCCCATGGAAGAGGAGTCTCTCATTATTCTTATGGTCATTCTTGATATCCATTTGCCTTTTCTTTACCTGGTAGCTCTGCCAGAGAAATGCATTCTGTATCCTCTCAATCTGCAGGTAACAAAAGACAAAATATTTCAGAAAGGACCTTGGGGCTCAGTATATTGTACTTGTTGTGGATTTAAAATAAGCAATATGAAAAAGAAGGAAGAGGAAGAGAATTTGGTGAAGGAAAAGGAGAAGAAAATACAAATAGACAGCAAATTCAGAGAGTAGGCAGCTTTCTGCCTTTAGAGAAAGATGGGCTAAAAGTATCTATTAGTGTCTATGCTTTGTAATAGTGCTTGTTGGTATATATTTTAAATAACATAATTTGCGGTTTATATCTAAATGATTACCAACATATATTCCCTGGAATTCCTGGAGATTCACTGACATTCAAACACCTACTCAAAAATTTGTAGTCATTCAATAGCCATGTCCTTAACTCCTCATCTTCCAACTCATTCCATGTGGCTTCTCCTCATAACAATTCTTTCTGTTATTGCTCCAATTATGGTCACAGATCACCTCATAATTGCCTAATCTTATGACTATTTTTTTCTAGACCTCTGAATAGCATTTCAAACCACGAGCCATCCCCTTCTTAAAACTCTGCTCTTCTTTCACTTCTTTTCAAAATATCACCCTCTACTGGTTCTCCTTCCTCCTAGGAAATGGAGTTAACATCCATTCAGTCATCACCTACTGAACATCTCTATGAATCAAGTTTGTGTTGGGTCTCTGTCCTCATGAAACATTCAGTCTAATGGCATGGGGGTGGTGGGCAAGACAAGAAAACTAATCACTACTGCTCAGAGTGATAAGGGATGGTCAGGAGAACACACAAGGGGCTATGAAAATATAGGAAGGGGCTCCAGATAACCTGTGTCTGGGGAAGGAGGAGGAAATCTGAGAGGATGATGTTCTGGAAACAGAGGAAGAAGAGAGGTTCAAGAAGAATGGAGTGAGTACCTGGGCAGCTGTTGAGGAGAATCCAAGCCATAAAAGCAGGTGAGAAAGTTGTTCTGCTGAAAGTAGTGGAGGCCTCCGGGAGAGTAACGAAGGTTTGCAATGGGGAATGTGTGAGGGGGTTGACTGGAGGAAGCAATGAAGGATTCCAGGAAGCCTGGAGGGTCCAGCTGAGGCTGGGGACCATGAATTAGTAAGGATTTCATCTAAGAGCAGCAGCAGAGAAGGTAGGTTATGGGACTAATCCAAAGTTGGGGGTTTTCAAAAGAAGTATGAGCCAAGAAAGTCACAGATATTGTGTAAACACAATTGAAATGAGGTTCTTGCACTTCTTGTACAGTCATCCCTCAATATCCATGGAGGATTGGTTCCAGGACCTCGCAGATATCAAAATCTGAGGATGCTCAAGTCCCTGACATAAAATGACATAGTACTGTATTTGTATTAATATATAATCTACACAATCCTCCCATATACTTTCAATCATCTGTAGATTTCTTATATTACTTCATAAAATGTATTAACAAATACTATGTAAATAGTTGTTATATTGTTTAGGGAATAATGACAAGAAGAAAAAGTCTGAAAAAAAAAAAGAAAAGGTCTGTACACATTAAGTACACTCAACCATCATAGGCCTCACCACACTTTCCATCCGAGGTTGGTTGAAATCATGGATGCAGAACCTATCGATTCAGAGGCCCAGGACTGTACTTCCAACAGCTTTTAACACCACGAGGTATCTCCTCCTTTAAATTCTGTCCTTCCTGCAGGATGTCTCTATCTCCTGGCTCCCCTTTCTCAGGAATTAAGCTCATTCATTCAATCAAGTTTACTCAACACATATTGTGTCCTACTGTGTGCTAGACAGCTTCCTAGGTACTGAGAATGAAGAAATGAACAAGATGCGACTCCTACCTTAAGCAGCTCACTGTCTAGTCGGGGAGCCAGGTATGTGAAAAGTTATCAAAGTACCTTATAAGTGCTGTAATGTAAGTACATAGTTACAAAGTACCACTTTATAAGTGCTCCAAGAGGTAAGTACACAGTTCTATGGAAGCGGTAACAAGATTTTAAATTACTAGGATGCTACACCCTGTTCTGATACACATGGTATGATAATGACCTCGTGATAAACCCCTATAGTTTACTAATATTTTTATGCAGCATAGTGGACATTGTGGTAATCTTCTAAACATGCATTCTACCCCATCAGCAACCTCTGGTTTGAGTGGGATTGGCCCTACTTATAGTTCTAGGATGGAGTCTAATTAAGTTAAACTGATCAGGATTTCAATATGGATCACACATTGATGGGATCTGATAGCTCAGGCCCAAGCCAACCAGAACAAGGTATTCCCTAGACACGGAGATGGTTGCAGTAGTTGGGATTCTCGTCCAGTAACTGCGGGACAGGACACAGTTGTCTTCTATGGGTTGTGAATGAGAAAACAGAGACCCCCTAATTGCTGCCAGCAGCCATCCAACAACCACAAGGAGAGTCCAGCCTTAAAACAAAGCTGACACAGAGGACAGCAAAGTTGGAGCAACTGGATCCAGGACACCATCAAGCCGCTGGATCAGACTTCTCCAAAGCCCATCCTACTTTGGGACTTTCCATTAATTTCCAACACAGTTCTCCTTGTTTAATCAGTTTGAGTGGGTTGGTTTGTGACTTGCAACTGAAAGTATCCTAACATACACATGTGACTTGGAATCTCCTTCATTACTGCTAATGAATAAACTATGAGATTTGAAGTCTATGGAACTTGAGTAAGTCTAATTCCAGTTAAAATAAACATAGTAAGGTACAAAGGAAGGAAGGGTGTTATTTAAAAAGAGATAGCTTTTATGTTAGTTCATCAACATTTTTGAACAGTAAATTTTAACACAGTATTACCTTCTCTATTGCGTAGGAAGAACAAGTTCGGGTGAACTTGTCCTTTATGGTATTATATTCTGATTGTCCTGGCTCTAGCTGGACCATGCAAAACAGCTGATGATTCATGTCAGTCCAGTGTTCAGGAAGATTACCTGGAAAGTCAGCATTTGGTCAAAACACAACATTCATTTCCAAAGACCTCTGAAAATCAGGGCACCTCCTCTGCACTTGTCTCTCGTCATCCAAACCTGGTCTTTAAAGGAGAAGTTACACATTTCACAATTGCTTCTTCTATTATCCTCAGTTGAGTAAATCCAGATGAAGTGAATGGTCTGACACAAATATGACACAATATATTCATTAATGCTCTAGATAAAATATTTAGATAAACTTAGATCCACTGTAGCTTGAAATTGTAATTTTCCCAGAGATTTCTATGGAATTAATTTTGTAAGAAACTAATATGTAAACATGAATGCTAATTTATAGATGCTTTTGCTTTTATCAGTAATATTTAATGTAGTTCTCTTCTATTTTTTGAAAATGATTACCTTGCTAAAGACATTTAAAGCACATTGTTCTGTACCCCATCTTATACACCAAGTAGAGAAAGCACCATGTAAAGAAAATAGCAGATGTGCTGAGAGAATGCTTTCCCATAAGGTGATCATGCCCGGGTTTCCTTTGTTTTCAGTGGCTTCCTGGAACTTCTAAAACACCAAGGCTAGACATCAACTTGCTAAGATAGCAGGACTAGTGTGAATACGGACACCCTGCATTAGAGATACACCACCACAGGTAAAAACCAAAGGATTTCTTCCTTACAAACAAAGCCACAATTTGCTCATTTTTAGTGAAAGATATACCTGGCCTGAGAGAGGGATCCAGGGCACTGTCTTCCTGTTGAGCAAGTCCATCCAGGGTAAGTTCTCGTGACACAGGGAGGCATCTAACCCTAATCAGTAAGCTCTTTTCAAACTCCATTTTTAAAGTCATTCTGGCAGTTTCCCACCAATAAGGTGCGTGATTTCTGAAAGCTACATTCCTTCCTTTCCCCACTGTCCATCTCCTTCAGGATCTTTCTGCCTAATCATTTCTAGTCCAAGGCCTTACAGTCCTTTTGGATCTGCTGCTTCCTTTCCCCTGAATACAGCAGGCAAGCCTGGGAAGTAAGGAGGTGAAGGTTTTTTGGGGGCCTTCTATTCCTTTCATGCCCTGAGGCTGGAAAGCAGGAAGCTATCAGGACTTGGAATCAGAAGAACAGATCAGCCTCAACCTGTGACCAGCCATATGACATTGAACACATATAACACCACTTCTGGGTGAGTTTTTATTTTCTCATCTGTGTAATGGGAATTATAAGATAGATCCCATGAGCTCTATCTACCACCTCATGGGATTGTTGCAAAGTTAAAATATAGTAAGGAGTCTGAAAGCGCTTTAGGAAATGCCAAGTCTTTTGTAAACATAGGGTTATTATTCTTAAAAACCAATTAAGCTTGATATTTTTTACATCCCAGAGGTATTTGTATATTATTATTAATTATTATTATTATTTTGAGACAGAGTCTCACTCTGTTACCCAGTCTTGAGTGCGGTGACACAATCATGGATCACTGCAGCCTTGACCTCCTGGGCTCAGGCAATCCTCCCACCTCAGCCTTTCCAGTAGCTGCAACTACAGGCACATGCCACTATGCCTCGCTATTTTTTTTTGTAGAGATGAGGTTCTGCCATGTTGCCCAGGCTGGTCTCAAACTCCTGGGCTGAAGCAATCCTCCTGCCTTGGCCTTCTGAAGTGCTGGGATTACAGGCATGAGCCACAGCGCCCAGCTGGTATTTGTATATTAATAAGGAATAAAGCATAAAGCCAAAGGTATTTTCTTGAGGGGAAAGACATTTAAATCACACCCTTAAGCCACACCAAACCATGCTATCTACTCCAACTTCTATGTACAAAAGGTGACTTCGGCTAGACAATTTAGAGGAGAGAAAACAGAGTCCCAGGAATACTCACCCAGCATCACATGGAAGGTCATTATCAAAGTAAGGAGCACTGTTGACTTGCAGCCCACGGCTTCACAGAAAATAGCATGATAACTACCCTTTTAAAAGTGTTTCCATGTGCTAGGCATTTTCCTGAGCCCTCTTCCCATACAGCTCTTTGAAAAGATTAGTGTTTTTTAAGACAGGGGTCCCCAAATCCCAGGCCACAGACTAGCACTGGTCTACAACCTGTTAGGAAGCAGACTGCCCAGCAGGAGGTGAGCGGCAGGCAAGAGAACAAAGCTTCATTTGTATTTATAGCTGCTCCCTATCATTCACATTACCACCTGAGCTCTGTCTTCTGTCAGATCAGTGGCAGCATTAGATTCTCATAGGAGCTCAAACCCTATTGTGAACTGTGCATGCAAGGGATCTAGGTTGTGCACTCCTAATGAGAATCTAATGCCTGATGATCTGACACTGTCTCCCATCACCCCCAGATGGGACTGTCTAGTTGCAGGAAAACAAGCTCAGGGCTCCCACTGATTCTACACTGTGGTAAGTTGTATAATTATTTCATAATATATTACAATGTAATAATAATAATAACAAAGTGGACAATAAATGTAATGCACTCGGACCATCCTGAAACCACCCCCTTCATAACCCAGTCCGTGGAAAATTTGTCTTATATGAAACTGGTCCCTGGGCCCAAAAAGTTTGGGGACCACTGTTTTAAAAGATAAGCTCTACTTTCAAATTCCTGGTAGTTCAGGATAAATGCCCTCACCTGTGGGGGTGGGATTAAAAACCAAGATCCCAGCTGAGCACGTAGGCTCATGCCTATAATCCCAGCACTTTGAGAGGCCGGTGGGTGGATCACTTGAGGTCAGTAATTTGAGACCAATCTGGCCAACATGTTGAAACCCCATCTCTACTAAAATGCCTGTAATCTCAGCTACTCAGGAGGCTGAGGCAAGAGAACTGCTTGAGCCTGGGAGGCAGCGGTTGCAGTGAGCCAAGATTGCACCACTGCACTCCAGCCTGGGCAACATAGTGAGATTCAGTCTCAAAAAAACAAAAACAAATAAACAAACAAGATCCCTGGTTCTGCCCCCAGTCTTCCTCTCCTCACTGTTTATTCTCACACTTAAGCCAATCACACTTAAGGACTTCAATCCCACCTACTCACATGACTTCCCAAATCTATATTTCTAATATCTGATATATACTTGGTGCTCAATAAGTAATCTCTGGACTCAATAAATAGCTTTAACATACATTTGAAAAGTAATTGTGTATCATCTGCACAAATGAAACTCAAAGCTATCCTCTTTAAGTTCTTTTTGGAAAAGGGCTATATGATAAATCCTTACTAAAATTCCAGTTTATCTGAGCCAACAAACTTCCTTTTATCTGATATTTCATCTGTATTATTCCTTTTCTCTAACAACAAAGATGACGTAATGCAGTTGTATTGTGGTTTGTTTTTGCCTCGGGTGCCAGAAGTTCAGGTTGAAATCAGTCTTTCACAGCACTGACAACCCTGCTGTCTCAGAGGGTCAGTTGTCTGCTCATTTTAGTCAGTTTTTTGTTTGCTTCTCTCTTCAACTACACTGTTTTGTTTTTTAAATTTGTAAGTCAGTTTAAAATCTCGATGAAAGCAAAGAGTGATGAACCAGTTAAGCTTTATTTTTTACTTTACTGATAATGACTTATTTACTGTTCTTAAATTTAAATAAAAATTTTCATCTACAAGGACCAAAGGGAAAAAATGTTAGTTTATATATCCCTAGATACTATAGTAGGTACATACTATTTTTAACTGCCCAGTATCCTTTTCTCCTCTTCTGGTAAAAGCTTTCTGAATTTCCTCTGGGGAACAGCTATTCCCCATTGCTTCGGATGGTGACCCCCTCTAGCTGAAGTGTGGAGCATGTGACTCTGGCTTGGCCAGTGTAATTCCGGTTCCCTGCCTGCAATGATAACCTAAAATGGTCCAATCAGAAAGACTCTCAGCGCTTAAAAGAGCTCTGTTCCCTGGCATCATGTTCCTGATGATGACTGTATATCTCCACTGGATATACTCTTTCCTCTTGAAACTGAGTATGGAAGGATGTAGGCCTAAAGCTGCTAGCAGCCAGCTTTCACCATATGAAGCTTGAGGAAAAAGACAACATAGCTGAGAAGAGAATGAGAGATGAAGAAATTCAGGGTCTAGATGATATTATTATATGAGCACCTGGACCAAACTGTACCTGAACCCAGGAATGTGTGGGCTTTATAATAACATGAGTTATTGAATTCTGCTTTTTGCTTAAGCCAGTGTAAGATGGACTTTCTATTATTTGCTACTGCAAGAACTTTAACAGATCCAACTATTATATTCATGTTTTTATTGTGTGTGTCCTACATGTATTGTGTGTTGTAGCACACCAAGGAGAATGCTTGTCAGGAAATAAATGTAGAGAGAACTGACATTTCTTCTGACAGCAGCAGACAATCATTCTCAGTTTAGGGAGGCTGTTGATGGCATATGTGCCTTATCACTAGCAAAACTCACAGTGCTTTAAGGGTGAGTGCTCCAAATGGCTGAAAATAGTGATTGCAAGAGGAGGCTGCAATCCTAGTTATTTTAATAGCAGTACAAATGCCACAAAATAGGGGAAAACGAAATCAGAGGAGGAACAGGTTGGTACAAGTACTTAAAGTATAAACACACCTTACAGAGTAGCAGCTGGGGATCTGGAATCTGTCTGGCTGCTTGTGATGTAGTACACCCAGCTGACCCTAGCCACTCCCTTCTTACATCTGATTCTATTCCAGGCTAACATGTCTATAGGGGGATGATTAGCAGACCAATATTAATCAGCTAGTTCACAGCTCCAAGAGGAAATGAGGGTCAATACCAACCAATCAATAAATATTGGCTAGAATTTGCAAAGCCTCCTCCCCTCTTTCTGCTTCCTCACTTCCATTCTCTTCCTGTTTATTTACCATTCCTATTTCCCAGGCATGATTTTGCCTCTCAGGAAAATAATCAGTTGACAGGAGGTTGCATTCTCTAATTTTTATACTTTTCCCATGGATCATAAGAAGTTGTCTGAAAAGTCCTAAAACGAATAGAAAACTATAAACTCAGTGTACATTCACACTTAAACATTTTCTAAGTGATTATCAGAGCCAGCAGGGTGATTTTTAAAAAGTGAACATCTTACATGTAGTCATGGAGAATGTGGACTGAAAGTTCAGTGATGCAGAGAGGTCTCTTTTTTTCATGCTGTCGTAGAATATATTTAGCAGCTCAGGTTGAAAAATGACAACTTTAACTGTTTTTAATGATGGGGTGGAATGTTGTGATGAGAAGTCTACAATAGCATCGATTATGTTATCAGCAACTGTGATAGGGTTTTTTCCGGCATTTCCTGAAAAAAAAATTTAATGACAAAGAAGTTTCCCCCGATGTTGCTAATATGATGAAATATGGCAAATCCAGTTCTCAGTGCTGAGAAACAGGAAAGCCCCTCACAGCCAGGAATTGATCTGACACTCACAGCTAGTTGGTGTTCTTTAGCTGAATACAAACAATTTCATAGTACATCATCCATGTAACCACTCTGACCATGATGAATTAACACAAAAACAAGACTACTCCATAATTGTGTCTTATCGCAGACAAAAACATAAACCCTGCCCAAATCACAGAGATGGCCAAATATCTCCCTATCTTGACTAATAAGAGTGCCAGCTGCTAGGCCAGGTGCGGTGGCTCACGCCTGTAATTCCAGCACTTTGAGAGGCTGAGGTGGGTGGATCACGAGGTCAGGAGATTGAAACCATCCTGGCTAACATGGTGAAACCCCATCTCTACTAAAAATACAAAAAATTAGCCAGGCGTTGTGGCGGGCACCTGTAGTCCCAGCTACTCGGGAGGCTGAGGCAGGAGAATGGCGTGAACCTGGGAGGCGGAGCTTGCAGTGAGCCAAGATCGTGCCACTGCACTCCAGCCTGGGCGACAGAGCAAGACTCCGTCTCAAAAAAAAAAAAAAAAAAAAGAGTGACAGCTGCTGCATTACCAATCATACATTTAGCCAGAATGCATCCTCCTTCCTTCTAGATAAGATACCCAATCATAGAATTATGTCTGTTTCCTAAAAGTCTCTGATCCAGAGAAAAGCCCCACTTACTTGAGACTGCCACAAAATCACCTAAAACAAGCCCAAATCCATTAAGTCCTTTCTAACACTCTCCTACTGAGATGCTGCAGAGGTCCCCGTAGTGTGTGTTCCTGGTGATCTTTAGCTGATGGGCATTGGCAGTGCAGAAATAAGAACATGTGATCTGGATGCAGAAGAGCTGAGTTTATGTCCTGGCTCCACTACTTACTAGCTGTCTGATCTTGGGTAAGTCATTTGATCCCTCTTGAAGTTAGCTAGGGCTGCGGTACAAAAAGCCATGGACGGGGGGCTGAAGTAAGAGAAACTGATGTTCTCATAATCTTGGAGGCTAGAAGACTGAGGCCAAGGTATCAGCAAGGTTGACCCGTAGATGGCTGTCTTCTCTCTGTGTCTTCACATGTTCTTCCTTCCATACCTGGCAGCGTCCTAATGTCCTCTTCTTATAAGGACATTAGTCATATTAGTTTGGGGCCCACCTTAATGGCCTCATTTTAACTTAATTAGCTCTTTAAAGACCCTATCTCCAGGCTAGGTGCTCACGCCTGTAATCCCAGCACTTTGGGAGGCCAAGGCGTGCAGATCACTTCAGGTCAGGAGTTTGAGACTGGACCGGCCAATATGGTGAAATCCTGCCACCACTAAAAATACAAAAATTAGCCAGCCATGGTGGCGGACACCTGTAATCCCAGCTACTCGGGAAGCTAAGGTAGGAAAATCACTTGAACCAGGGAGGTGGAGGTTGCAGTGAGCCAAGATCGTGCCACTGAACTCCAGCCTGGGTGACAGAGTGAGACACTGTCTCAAAAAACAACAACAAAAAAACAAACAAAGAACAACAACAACAACAAACAAAACCCTATCTCTAAATCTGAGGTACCAGGGTTAGGACTTCAACATATGAATTTTGGAGAGACACACTCAACCTATAACACCTCTACACTTCAGTTTGCTCAGCTAGAAATTGGGGGTAATAATAGAAGGTAATAGGGATAAGAATATGGTAGGTAAGAATAGAGTAATTAAGAATATAATAATGGTAAAAAAATGTAATAGTAAAAAAAAAAAGTAATGGTAAAATTTGTGCAGGATTTGGGACCAGGCTGCATGGCTTTGAACCTAGCTCTGTTGCTAGGTTGAACCTACCCTCAAGTTCCTCATCTACAAAATGGGGACACAGAGTATAGGATGGATCCAGGTTTTGAAATTTACATATCTCAGAAAAAGAATAAGTATACAATTATGTATAATGGTGAATATTTAGAATCAGAAAAGAAACCACAACAAAGTGTATCTTTTAAAATGCTGAAAATTAGATTCCTAACGCAACTTTCCTTAGCTGTATCGCATAAATGTTTACAGCCACCCCAGCATCACTCAGTGCAAGGGGAAGTATGAGACGTCAAAGTGGGGGAAACAGTGGTCTTAATTCATGATGGTTAAAATATCCTACTTTTGAAATTTTACTAAGTCATATAACCAGGTGAAGACATTATTAGGGCTCCTCTCAGGATCTTTTAAAAAGCCTGTGCAAGTGAAGTCTGATCACTTAAGCTTCATTATCTTCACAATAAACTTGTCTTTGCTAATAGTTTCCATGTCACAGGTATGAAGACCAACCCTCCCAGTTTCCCCAGAGCAGAGAGGCTGCCTGCAACATGGGACTTTCTGTGTTAAAACCAGGAAAGTCCTGGTCAAACTCGAAAGAATTGATCACCCTATATAAGGTTACTGTGAGGAATACATGAGCTTTGACATGTAAAACACCTAGAACGTACAGTAAGGACTCAATAAATCTTAGCAATTATTAATATTACTAATACAACTAATGTAGCTATTCCAGCTACTTCATAGGAGTTTAGTGGTACTCAAAATAGACTGCGTCTAGTAAGCATTTATTTTTTCTTTCTTTCTTTTTTTTTTTCCGAGATAGAGTCTCACTTTGTTGCCCATGCTGGAGTGCAGTGGTGCAATCTCAGCTCACTGCAACCTCTGCCTCCCGAATTCAAGTGATTCTCCCACCTCAGCCTCCTGAGTAGCTGAGACTAGAGGTGTCCGCCACCACGCCTGGCTAATTTTTCTATTTTAGTAGAGACAGGGTTTCAACATGTTGGCCAGGCTGGTCTCGAACTCCTGACCTCAAGCAATCAAGTGATCCACCCGCCTCAGCCCCGCAAAGTGCTAGGATTACAGGCGTGAGCCCCTGAGCCAGGTCTGAGAAACATTCCAAAAATGTCCGTTGAAATCAATGGGGAAGAGAACATCCATGAGCATCTCTGAAGGCATCATCAAAATCACCTGTTATTCATTCCTCCATTCAACAAAATTTAATGGGCAATGATTCTTCACTCAACACGGGGCAGAGAAGACATAAAGATCTGGTCCTTCCCTTTTGAGGATCTCACAATGTATTCACAGTCGAAGAGGTGTGGCACAAGCATTTCATGGCCTCCCACTTCCTCCTCTGGGGCTTTGCACTTACTCTCCTCCAACACTTACGATTATTGGTTGGTTCTTTTGCTGACTTTTCTGCCCTTTCCCTGCCACAATCTACCTGTGGGCATTTCTCACTGTTCTGGTCTCAGCCCTCTTCTCTTTCTGTATGCAGTCCCTTGACAGGCTCATTCCACCTATCCAGTTGCAACCCTTCCCACTATGTGGCTGAACACACCTACACCTGTGACCTCTGCATTGGGTATCATTCTTGGTTACAATGTCTTGCATCTGTTCCAAAATCATGAATTCCTGAAGGGGCCAGAGCTTACTCCACTCTGTTTGCCCAGTGCCAAGTAGCAGAGTGCTTGCCCTGGGTGATGGGAACAAAACAATTTGGGTTTGTGAGAGCTGTAATTTGCCAGATGGTGTGGGAGAAGCTCCAGATCGGGAGAAATGCATGAATAAAAGAAACAAAAAGTGGTAACAAAATGCCTGCAGCACGTTCCCCCTGGCTTCCCTATTGGCCTCATTACCGCCGATAGCAAAAGGTTATAACAAAAGGTTATCGGTGTGTGGAAGCCAGGAAGAATGTACTGCAAACATTGCAGGGTGCCCTGGGGTTCATACGAGAGGGACCTGGGATACCTGCAGGAGCATTCTGTTTTAATCTGGGAAGAGGAAGGAAGTCTACAGAGTTGAGCTAAAATGATGGTGGTGGCTGTAAGACCAGGAATTTAATTGCTGAAAAACTCTCTTAGATTAATGGTAATCTGTGGCTACATACTATTAATACTTCCCAAATAAGAAGCCCTCACTTCCATGAGAGTGACAGGGGACATGGATGTGAATGAATCAGGAAGTGAGTGACCAGTAGCACTGTCAACTAAGAAGAGCAAATGACTGGATGATATGACAGAGATGAGGAAAGCGTTCCTAGAAACTGTGAGCAGGACAAACCTGAGTTTGTTGCTCATGGGGAGTGACTGCATCTTACTCATGATTTTCTCCCCAGTGCCTTGCACAGAGCCTAGGTAACGGCATTTCAATTCAATGAATGAATGCACAAATGAGGAGCCGGCTGGGAGATGCTGAAGTAAACCAGATGGGGGAGGTCTGAAGAGTTTGGAAACAAAAAGAAAGGCTGGAATTCAACAACTCTCTGGAAGAAGATTCAGCAGGACTTGCTGACTGTGGGTGTCTGGGGACACAACAAAGCAAGGATGGCAGGCCAGGGCAGCTGGGAGCGTCATGGCACCACCAAAGGAGGAAACGAGAAAGCCCAGGAGCTCAAGAGGAGTGTCTGTTTTCAAGAGAGGATCATGAGTTTGGATTCTGATGTAATGAAGTTTCTGGTAATAGAAAACTCCCCCAGAGGAGATCCTGGAGAGAATGAGAAATGCTGATTTGGGAGTCAATGCAGAAATGTTACCAGACATGAGACTGAATGAATCCCCCAAGGAGAAAAAATGAAGAGTGAGAAAACTATGAAGTTAAGGACCAAACTTGGAAAGATACTTAGGGAACATAAAATAAAGAAGAAAGGGGTGGGCACAGTGGCCCATGCCTGTAATCCCAGCACTTAGGGAGGCTGAGGCAGGCGGATTGCTTGAGCCTAGGAGTTTGAGACCAGCGTGGGCAACATGGGGAAACGCTGTCTCCATAAAAAATACAAATATTTGCCAGGCATGGTGGTACACACCTGTGGTCCTAGCTATTTGGGAGGCTGAAGTGGGAGGATTGCGTGAGCCTGGGAGGAGGAGGTTGCAGTGAGCTGAGATTACACCACTGCACTCCAGCCTGGGCAACAGAGTGAGACTCTGTCTTGAAAAAATAAAGAAGAAAGATGGAGGAAAGAGGCTTCGGCCCAGTAGCTGGTGGTGCCCTCCAGATCTAAAAGATGGCTCCCTCTCTGATTTACATCATTGTTCCCACTTTCAGATGGATTCAGCACTGATCTGCTTAAGAGTGAGACTAATTCTAAAGGAATTTGTATCACTCAAATTTTATTATAGAATGATAAGCTGCAAACCTGTTCCAATGGCTGGAAGGGAAACCGATGTGTACTTCCTCTGTTCACACTCTTCTAGAACACTGGTGACCGTTTTCCTGACATCTTTTCCCCCAGGAACATGAATTATTATTTTGCACTTTAAGCATCCACCTGGTGTAATTATAAAATCTCTGTGAGGCTGTGCAGCTGAAAAAAAGGAAAGAAAAACAAACATGCAGCCCATTAATTACTGGAGGCAACACTTTGATTTTTGAGAAATGAAAACAGCTGACATCCGTGAAGGCTGTGAAGCCCAGTCTCACTCGAGCTTGTTGGTTTCATTCACTGGACTGTGACAACCACATTTTCTTTACAATCAGAATTCTCGAGCTCAACAAATACACTGTTGAGTATTTGGGGTGCTGTTCAAAAGTACTTTATCTGCATCAATCTGCTCAATCCTCAAAACAAGCCTATGAGGCAGGTACTGTTTTCCCCATTACACACATGAAACAGCCACAGAGAGAGGTAAGGTCAGTAGCTAAAGATTGCCTAGGACTCGAACCCAAGCAGCCAGTCTCCATAGCTCTTAACCCCCACTCTGCTGTCCCAGAAGAGCAATTTCTATGCACATTCAGCCACATTAATTTTGAAGGAGATAAAAGCAACGTACTCTGTGGCACAGAGGTGTGAAAGGATGAAAACTTCTCCTTGGCTCAGGACCCTAGAGCTCTTGAGCACATGGAAATTATGAGGGCCATTTTAAGGCACTGCTTCTTTGGTTCAGACTGCTCTGAGTAAGGCTGGGGCCAGCAAAAGGGAGGAGGAGAGTGGATCCCTGCCCATCCCATCCTGCCCTCCTGAGGAGCACCCATGACCAGGCACTCCCTAGGGCCCCTCGGGTGTCCCTCCCACCCTCCCCTCCCAGGCAGCCTCCTCAGGCTTTTCCAGCTTGTCCAGCCCACCTTCATCCTCTGCTCCTGCCTCCCAGGCACAGCGAGCTCTCCCAGTACTCAAACACCTGCTAACGTCCTCATGTTAGTAATCAAATATTACCTTCCTTTGCTGTCACTCCAGAACTGTATTCACTCCAGAGAAATTTCTTAATCAGAGGACAGCTACTAAGATAGGAGTTTCAGGCATTGTAGCAGGTCGGTTGTGGGAATACATTGTCAAACATGGTGCTCTATGACTTCTTGAAAGCATACTCATAGCTGAGTGTCTACCCTACTCTGCAAGGGATATTTTGAAGGACAAACAGTTTATAATCACTACCTTAGGTTCCCCACTCAAAGTCCACACTCATTCATAAAAGGATTAGAAGTTGGCTATATGCAGTTGTGCTGGAAGAAGTAGAACAAGTTTGGGGAAAGTTTGTACAGCACTTCACAGTTTACAGAACTTTTCACATTAATTGTTCCTTCTGATCCTCAAAACCACCTGTGGCACAGCTTTCCCACACTACTTATTAGTAGAACTTTCCTACTGATGAGAGAAGCAAAGCTCTTAGCAGTTAGATGACGTGCCTAGGATCGCTCAGTAAATGGCAGAGCCTGGATTATTAGGACCCAGGCCTGGGTTCTTTTTACTACTCAGGAAGTAAGAGACAGATGAGATGGTGGGATGAAGAACCTCTCCCCCATAGCCTCCAAGTTCCACCACCTCTGCCTGCTCTTCCAGTGAACCAACCTTCTTGCAAAGTTTTGCTCGCTACTTACTCCACCTCCAGTCCTCCTGTACATCCTCTCACTGTAATCTCAGCCCTCTGATTTTCAAGTTTGTAGTCAAAAGTAACATGTGCCCATACCTAGTACAGCACATTCACTTTCCACAGCTTGTCCAGCACCTTCTAAAATAGCTCTTGACACACCTAAATAAGACATGTTAATGGTAAAAGGCATCAGTTAGAATTCAATAAGTGGTTATAGTTTTTGTACATTAGACTTCTGCTCAACTCACCCTTTTGTGCATAATCCATTGACCACCCCCACGCCCGACCAACTGCTCTTTCTATAGCAACCTCCACCCAGTGGCTGATGAACAGTCTGATCTCAGTGCCATGGAAGTGCCCAGGAGCTGAAAGGCTGGCGTCTGCAACTTTACCTTCTCTATTTATACAGGACTGTTTTTGCAGTTATTTGAAATTTTTTGCATTCTACCCTTATTATTTTGTAAAAACGAATGAAACTATAAAAATAAAAGTTCTGATACTGAGAAGCATGGATCTCAAAACTGTAATAAAATCAAGCACTTTACTAAGTTCTTTGATTCCCTGCCCTGCTCAGTTAAACAGCTGGTTTCACTCCAGTGAATCTTCCAGTCAAAGTCGTAGCTTCACCACTTTGGTCAAGTCTAATGACAGCTGGGTCGAGTCGTTAAAAATATGGACTTTGCATTTTGACAAATTGGGTTGAAGTTGACTCCAGTATTTACTAGCTAGTATGTGACTAATAAGTTCCTCATCTGTTACACAGAGGCTAATATGGCACTTCCCTCACAGGGTTATTTGTACATTAAAAGAGATAATGGATGAAAAATGCTTAGCACAGAAGCCGGCATGCAGAAAATATTGAATGAATGTTAGTTGTTTTATCATTATGAAGATATCTATATCTCTATATCCTTGATTATATATGTGTTATAAAATGTCTCTTTTTAAAAAAATCTCTTTTCAATTTGTTTGTTCTGGTCTCTGTCTTTGCTGTGAAGATTTTCCTCAAATGTCAAGTGATCTTCACCAGTCCATTCCTATTTAAGAGTGAGCTTAGAAGCTCTATGCAAGAAGGCTTGTTGACCAGCGGGCTTCAGTGTAAGGCGAGCAGGCAGCACCTCCTGTCTGCTGCTCTGGGATCCATGCAGGAGAGGGGCTGGGCACTCGATGTTTGGTCCACAGATGTTCTCTTAAACAGTTTTCAGCCTAGCTCCTCATCTCACCTATGCCTGGTGCCCTAAGTCCAAAATCCCTCTGGTTCTGTTTCTCTAGAGAATAAACCTCCCATCTCTGGCCAGGGAAGAGCAAGGAAAGTTACTGCTGTATAGGATGGAGGATCCAATCAAGTAGTCTAACTGCTACTGATCTGGAATTTCATTCAATCTTATTTTCATCTCTGTACTTGCCCCCTGCCTTCCCAGATACCAGCAGCCTCTAATTCCTGTGTCTCTGGGGCTACTCTTCTCGCCTGCAGGTACTAAATTTTCTCTACTCCATGGCAGTTACCACCCTTGGCTAGCAGCTCCCCATCGTCTAAAAATTTGTTATCTTTTGTTCATAGTTGTTTTCCTTCCAACGTTCTTTTTTCTTGTGTGTTTATATCCTTTTCATTCCTTTACAGTATACAACTGTATACTGTAATACATAATGGAATTCCAAAAGGGGACAGGGATAAATGCATAGATTCAACTTAGCATGTTTCAAATAACCAAATGTTCTTTATGTCTACATTTTAAATGACTGAAAAATGGAATGACCAATGAATTAAATGGATATTCTACAGATTCACTTCTGCATGGTAAGTTCCATAATATTTTTCAACTTAGAAAATATTTAAATTCTATTTCCGTTTTATTTTACCCTTTTAATTTAAAAGTCAACATTTTATAATATACAAAAGTTTAAGAGGGCTGGGCATGGTGGCTCACACCTGTAATCCCAGCACTTAGGGAGGCCAAGACAGGCAGATCACCTGAGGTCAGGAGTTCCAGACCAGCTTGGCCAACATGGCAAAACCCCATCTCTACTAAAAAATAAATAAATAAATAAATTAGGGGGTGGCACATGCCTGTAGTCCCAGCTACTCAGGAGGCTAAGGCATGAGAATCACTTGAACCCGGGAGGCAGAGGTTGCAGTGAGCCAAGATTGCACCACTGCATTCCAGCCTGGGCGACAGAGTGAGACTCCGCCTCAAAAAACCCAAAAAGGTTGAGTGTATGTGTATAAGTTATAAATTAATAGACATATGAGGGGAGGGCCTGCCCGAATGTGTTACTATAATGGGAGTCAAACATGTCACGGAAAATAAAGAAAAACGGTTGCGTTTCATTTCTCGGTCAGTGTAATGCAGAGAAGAGAAGAGCTACCGAAGGTGAGTTCTAAATGCCAAGTAGGTTACATAAACAGGAAAGTAAAAATAGAGGAACTTAGAGGTACTAAACTATACTTGTGGAAATTCAACAGTTGAGAGCTGACACTAAGTACAATGCGTCAGTTAAACTCCACCTTTATATCAGTTAACACCCCATCTAATCCTCTCCTGGGAAATAGGTGTTTGACAGGCAAAGAAACTGACACTCAGAGAGGTTAAGTGACTTGTCCACAGCTACACATTGCTAAGTGGCATAGCTGGGATTCAACCCACGTCTTCCTGAGTTCAGAGACCACATATTTTCTACAACACTCTCTGTCCACTCAGGGCAAATATTAGCCACAATTTCCCTTCCAGAAATTAGTCATACTAATAATTACAATATATTGCTTAAATAAAGTACCTGATTTCCGATTAAATGTCCTTGCTGTTGAGTTTACAATAACATCTACCTGTTCAGTGGCTATATCTCCAGTAGCAACCTGAAAAGTAATTGCACCGATTTTCATTTCATATGCTGTGAAACAAGGCTTAGAGACAGTCCCGACCACACCTGAAAAGAAAGAAAATAGGTAAAGAATGGGCTGGCTCAGCTTCTGGAGGAACAGCACTCATCTTGGGGCCCTATTCTCTTCCCAGCTCAGCCCTCTTTCTTTTCCCCCAACATAAACCGAAATATTGCCACATCTCCTGGCCTCTTAAACAGCTTGGTTTTCTTTTTAAAGGAAATTAGAAAATAACGCTTTGTGACAGTAAGCATATCTACATTTTCTGAGTTACATAGGATAAGGCAGAAATATCCGATAGTGTCAGTCTGTTTACTGGCAAGAGCTGCTGGGGTGTCAAGAGAGAGGAGTGAGAAAAAAAAGGGAGTGTGAAAAGGGCACTGTCCTTTCTTGCAGACAACACTGCTAGGAGGGTCTTTTATTACCACAGGTGTAGCAATATAAAGGCTGCTCCAAAATCCCAGCACTTTGGGAGGCTGAGGTGGGAGGATCACTTGAGGTTAGGAGTTCGAGACCAGCTTGGTCAACATGGTGAAACCGTGTGTTTACTAAAAATACAGAAAAATTAGCTGGGTGTGGTGGTGCACACCTGTCATCCCAGCTACTCGGGAGACTGAAGCAGGAGGATTGCTTGAACCCAGGAGGCGGGGTTTGTAGTGAGCCAAGATCACGCCACTGCACTCCATCCTGGGTGACAGAGCAAGACTCCATCTCAAAAAAAAAAAAAAAAAAAAGACTGCTCAGAGGAAGTTACCTTTAACCTGTTGGCATATTACTCTCCACTCCACACTCTGAGGCTTACAACTTAGCTGTGCCACTTCAGCTCATCCCTTAAACCCTTTAGATCTACCTTTCAACGTTTATACAGTGGCAACAGAACCACCTGCCACGGGGCCATTGTACACGTTAAATAATATACTATATATGAAAGCAATCAGTAAAGTATAGTGTGCCAGGCACGGTTTAGTTATTATTTTATTACCATTTCTTAGAAACTCTGGTTTCATTACCATTAATTTGGTTCATGTTAATATGCGATTGCTTCTTTGTGTGCCCAGACAATGGGACATGCTCTAACACCTCCCCCATCACAGATTTGTTCTTCATGTGAATTAGCTTTGCCTACTTCTACTGGACTTCAACTACCACTGAAGAGTTGCTCAGCAAAAGGAAATATTTCCTTAGCAGAACGACTTTACCAGACCTTGGGTATCTCCTGCCATGGGAATCCTGGCCTTGTTGGGATTTATTCTTGACCAGTTAGTGAATTCATCTAAAAATGCCTGGAAATAGAAACAGTTACTGACTACAACAATATTGTGTAAAAATATTAATCCAATTCTTTGGAGCATTGATCATCAGATATCAAAGAGTTGATAACAATAGTTCTCAAAATATTTCCTCTTCCCTCAGAGACTTCTTAAAGGATTGCGGTTCAACCTAGGAATTTTCTCCACAAATAGCAGTGCTGATTTGCTTTACTTTGTGAGTAAACTAACACTGTCCAGGCAAGTATGTCAGCAGGGGTGCTGACTGTGGCTCTGCAGGAAGTCACATGCCTTTTTTGTGACCACTATCGTTATCCCTCCTCTTTTGAAGCCCCATAATTCTAATCTCCTACATCCAATAGGCTGAGGGAAGTGTAGAGTATTT
Organism: Homo sapiens; assembly: GCF_000001405.40. Taxonomy (NCBI): domain Eukaryota; kingdom Metazoa; phylum Chordata; class Mammalia; order Primates; family Hominidae; genus Homo; species Homo sapiens. The sequence goes on along the minus strand of NC_000003.12, from coordinate 122,615,408 downwards.
GTAGGTGAGCAGGGGGCAGGGCAACAACGTTCCTTGGCATCTTTGGCTGTTAGGTACATTCTGGGGTTGATTAACAACAAATACATACAGTATGCTTCATCTCTTAGGTCCAGCCAAAGCCTCCTGAATGAAAACACGAAAATCCACGTTAGAAAACCTCAGACATTGAAGTTTTGTTTAGAAATGGAAAAAACAAAAAGGCATTTTGGTCGTGTGAGTGATAAAATTGAGCAATGGGCGACAGAGTAGAGTTATAAAGTTTCACTTGGGTTGTCTTCATCCATTTTCTTTCTTTTCAGGTATCTTTGGGACTGTTTCTACTTTTTCTTTTTCTCTTTCTTTCTTTCTTTTCTTTTCTTTTCTTTTTTTTTTTTTTTTGCAGACAGAGTCTCATTCTGTTGCCCAGGCTGGAGTGCAGTGGCATGATCTTGACTCACTGCAGCCTCAACCCCCTGGACTCAACTGATCCTCCCACCTCAGCCTCCCAAGTAGCTGGGACTACAGATGTACACCACCACGCCCGGCTAATTTTTTGTATTTTTTGTAGAGATGAGGTTTTGCCATGTGGCACAGGCTGGTTTTGAACTCCTGGACTCAAGCAATCCCCCTGCCTCAGCCTCCCAAAGTGCTGGGATTATAGGCGTGAGCCACTGCACCAGTCCATGTTTCTAATTCTTGGTTAACAATGAAATTTGGGGCAGTTACTTTCCAGATTGCTACTGAAGATGTCACCCCAATAAAGGGCAGATGTTATTGTGAACTCAACAAGGACACAGATATCACGAACAGTTTGCTAATAATAATTTCCCCCAGTTTATCTTTGAGCAAAAAAATATGTCTCTGGATATTTTATATTTACCGGGGGAAAAAAACTAAGAACCTTTGGGGGTAAATGTTGTTTTTTAAAATATTATTATTATTTCCTATGGATAAATTTGCTTACAAACTACATCATGCAATACTTTGGAGTGTTTCTGGGGAACTCTGGGAAACATCTCTGGAAAGACCACACTTCCATCCAGAATGGGTAAGTATAACTAAGAACTTAAAAAACAAAATTATCTTTGATCCAGTTTAAGTGGTGATGTTAGTAAGTTGTAGCAATTGCTTGTCAGTCCTTAAAGTTGGGTAATGACTACTACCAGTTTTGGGGGTTTTCTATGTGCTAGATATCATGCAAAACACTTCAAATACACCCGTTTTAATAGTTAGAACAATTCCGAAAGGTGTTATTACCACACTCATCTTACACTTGATAAAACTGAGATTCAGGCTGGGCACAGTGGCTCACGCCTGTAATCCCAGCACTTTGGGAGGCTGAGGTGGGTGGATCACCTGAGGTCAGGACCAGCCTGGCCAACATGGAGAAACCCCATCTCTACTAATAATACAAAAATTAGCCGAGCGTGGTAGCACATGCCTGTAATCCCAGCTACTAGGGAGGCTAAGATGGGAGGATTGCTTGAGCCCAGGAGGCGGAGGCTGCATTGAGCTGAGATCACGCCGCTGCAGTGAGCCGAGATCACACCACTGCACTCCAGCCTGGGTAACAGAACGAGACTCTGTCTCAAAAAAAAAAAAAAAAAAAAAAAAAGCTGAGATTCAGAGAGGTATGTCACCCAACTTTTAAATGGCAAAACTGAGATTAAACCTAAGTATACCATTCTTCTAATGTCAGTGGGAACTACTTAGTTAGTGTGCCTTGACTGCTTCTCCACTGCTGAATATGGTGCTGCTATTTCTAGTTTGTAGACACTCACAGACTTGTGTAGACTGGTCTATGCTATCCAAATAACTAAATCCTTGAGGCTTCTCTCATTCTGCCCTTTCCCCATAGATAAAGCCATGACTTAGCTTTCATGTAGTCAGTGTTAAAATGTCTAGGCCATTTTTATGCCAATAACTTTCCACTTCTTTCTAAGAATGTATTTATTACAGATTAGCTTGTCTCTTGATGAACTGTCTAGGAACATGAGTTATCAGTGTTGGCTCATAGTTAAGTCATATGACAACCTCCCATTAGCAACCATCACTTATAGGCACAGGATTAGAAAACACGGTTATTCCTAGATCTATAAAAACATCTGAATGCGCTTGGGTTCACTTGCCAGAATTAACCAGATGGGATATGTAACCATACCTGACAGCCTTCATCGTCATTTGTATATACCAGAAAGTGGACTTCTTGTAAAGGGCTAGTTATCGGCCTTGTGCTGCTACTGTATTCGAACACTTCTGAAAGGATTAGTTTAGCAAAAACAGCTTTGGGAAACTGCAAACTTCCTGTTCCAATCATGGGAAATGTGATTGATGAGAAAGATAGCACTTCTACAGTTGTCAAACATTTCTTGATTATATTTGCCATGATCTGAAATGTGCAAAGTACATTTACATAAGTTAGGGCTTAAGCTAGCGGAAAACAGAAAGAGTTGTGGTCCCAGCAACTCTGACAAGGACCTCTCTGCTATTGTTGGCTTAGTCAGGGCCTGAGAAGTCAGAAAGAGGAAACAAAAACAGGGCAGAGTACTTTCCAGAGAGAGTCACACTCATTCAGGAGAGGCGGGTCCAACAGCGTGGGAATGGCTGCATAAAAATGGTAGCTCAATGTAACTAAAAGTGGTGTTTATGAAGAGTCTTTAACAACATGCAGTATTTATGTTAAGTTAAAAAAAAAATGTATTGGCAGGGCGCGGTGGCTCCCAGCACTTTGGGAAGCTGAGGCAGGCAGATAATGAGGTCAGGAGATCGAGACCATCCTGGCTAACACAGTGAAACCCCGTCTCTACTAAAAATACAAAAACAAAATTAGCCAGGCGTGGTGGCAGGCGCCTGTAGTCCCAGCTACTTGGGAGGCTGAGGCAGGAGAATGGCGTGAACCTGGCAGGCGGAGCTTGCAGTGAGCCAAGATTGCGCCACTGTACTCCAACTCCAGCCTGGGTGACAGAGCAAGACTCCGTCTCAAAAGCAAAAACAAAAACAAAAACAAAAAAACTGTATTTAAAAATGTTTAAAGAGAATATTGGTTCAAAAAAAAAAAAAAGAGAGAGAATATTGGGCCTAACACAGTGGTTCACACCTGTAATCCCAGCACTTTGGGAGGCTGAGGTGGGCAGATCGCTTGAGTCCTTGAGTTCAAGACCAGCCTGGGCAACATGGTGAAACCCCATCTTTACAAAAACACAAAAATTAGCCAGGGATGGTGATGTGTGCCTGTTGTCCCAGCTACTCGGGAGGCTGAGGTAGGAGGATCACCTGAGCCCAGGAGGTGGAGGTTGCAGTGAGGTAAGATCGCGCCACTGCACTCCAGCCTGGGCAATAGAGTGGGACCCTGTTTCAATTAAAAGAAAAAAAAAGAAGAGAGAGAAAGAGAATCTCAACTAAGACATAAATATGCTGTCCAGTTGTGGTGGCTCACACCTGTAATCCCAGCACTTTGGGAGGATGAAGCAGGCAGATCACCTGAAGTCGGGAGTTCAAGACCAGCCTGACCAACATGGAGAAATCCCATCTCTACTAAAAATACAAAATTAGCCAGGTGTAGTGGCACATGCCTATAATCCTAGCTACTCGGGAGGCTGAGGCAGGAGAATTGCTTGAACCCGGGAGGCGGAGGCTGCGGTGAGCCAAGATTGTGCCATTGCACTCCAGCCTGGGCAACAAGAGCAAAACTCCATCTCAAAAAATAAATAAATAAATAAATAAATATGCATAAAGTCATAAAGTTGACTTGAAGGAAATATAGTAAAATGTTAACTAAAGTTACCTCTTAAGGCCAGGCACAGTAGCTCATGCCTGTAATCCCAGCACTTTGGGAGGCTGAGGCGGGTGGATCACTTGAGGTCAGGAGTTTGAGACCAGCCTGGCTAACATGGTGAAACCCCGTCTCTACTAAAAATACAAAAATTAGCCAGGCCCCGTGGTGGGCACCTGTAATCCCAGCTATTCAGGAGGCTGAGGCAGGAGAATCACTTGAACCCGGGAGGCAGAGAGGAGGTTGCAATGAGCTGAGATGGCGCCCCACTGCACTCCAGCCTGGGCAACAGAGCGAAACTCGGTCTCAAAAAGAAGAAGAAGAAAACAGTTATCTCTTGGTGGTTGGATTATTATTTTTATTGTCTTTTTGTACTTTTCTATATTTTCCACAATGTATTTGTATTACTTTTTTATATTCTGAAAAAAAGTTGGGAAATTAAACTGGTAGTGGAGGTGGGAATGATGTTATCGAAAGAAGGGCACTGACTCTTTTTTCTTCTTCACCACAGTGCTGGGCGCACCTCTTTGCTGTACTGAAAGATTATTACATTACAACTTAGACACCACTCCTGTAGAATCCCAATGAATGTTACTACCTCCAAGGGTCAATTACTTGGAAATAACTGGTAGTTGTGATGAATTCTCCATGGAATGTAATAAAGATTTCAATAGATAGACAGGGTTCAATCAATACGAGGGTTTCACAGCCTAGGGCAGACACTTCTTTGTTGTGGGGGCTGGTGTGTGCATCATAGAATATTTACCAGCATCCCTCGCTTCTACCCACTAGATACCAGCAGCAGTTGTAACAACCCAACTGTCCTCTGTGGGGCAAAATTGCTTCCCTTGAGCACAGATCTATACCACACCAGAAGGAGATTCCCAAAGCCACCCAATACGTTGGAGAACTAAGAGCGTTCCCTACCTGCCAAGAAGTCTCTGCTCCATTATTCCAGTATGGAGCCACAGCATGGAGCACAGCTTTGCAGTCCAGATTGCAGCCGCTTGTCATGAATATGTTACCTACTTTTTCCTCTGTTTCCCGCCTTCTGTCATCTAACTCTTTCTGGAGCATGGGACCAGCTTTCTGCAAAAATGCCCGAGATAGTGGTCCTCCTCCAAGCTGAAGATTCATGGGAACGCTGTTGACAATGACATCGGCCTTAACGAAAATAGCAACAGTTAGAGATTGAATCAATAATACATAATGATGGAGCAACTGTAAATTTACTAAGTATTGTGGGGTAATGTACAGATATGTTTTGCCTGTCATACTAACATGTCAGCCCCACCCTCAAGGAGCTTACAGTCTATTGTTAGCACTGAAACACCATGATGAGGTTACTTCCAAAACTTAGACATTAAGGAAATATATTAACCACTGCTGTGAAATCAACACGTAATGAGTCAGAGTAGAGCTATGAAAATGAGTCAGAGACCAGAGGCAGAGAGTCAGAGACGAAGACTGAGAGAGAGAAATGGAGAAAGAAGAAAAATGAAAGTGAAAAACAGAGACAGAGACAGACAGAAACAAAAACACAGAAAGATTGAGACAGAGAGACAGGGGAAGGGAGAAAGAATTGCTCTCAGCCTGGCAGGAACTGAGAATACTTGTTTTGAATTTAACAATATACCAAAAGAAAGACTAGGTCAATGTGAAGGAGGGTATGGTCGGCCCTGAAGGCCTTGGCAAAGGAAAGTCACTAAGGTGAGGGTAGGCAGTATCCATTCTAGCCTGTCCAGGGATGTTGAGTTCTCCAGTGTCAATGCTAAGGCTGTTCCTTTGGTGAAGTGAGGGTCATAGCCTAATGCCATGAGATGTTACATATTCAACTCATAACTCCTATTACTCAGATTTTGTGCTCACCAGAAACCTTCTGATTCCCTGGTAAGTTGGGAGTAAGAGGAGACAAACACTCTCATCGTGTGGCCTTTTTTTTTTTTAATTTTTTTTTTTTTAAACACGATTTCGATCTGTTCCCAGGGCTGGAGTGCAGTGGCATGATCTCGGCTCACTGCACCCTCTGCCTCCCAGGTTCAAGCAATTCTCATGCCTCAGCCTCCTGAGTAGCGGGGATTACAGGCATGTGCCACCATGCCTGGCTAATATTTGTATTATTAGTAGAGATGGGGTTTTGCCATGTTGGCCAGGCTGGTCTTGAACTCCTGATCTCAAGTGACCTGCCCACCTTGGCCCCCCAAAGTGTTGGGATTACTGGCATGAGCCCAGCCTGATCATGTGGATTTTTAATGTCCTGGTTCTTTGGGGAACTCTTCTTCATTGTAAATTAAAAGATGTCTATGTCTCTGGGACATATAATAGGTTATATTTCTCAACCTAATAATCGGCATTCTTGGATCCACTTATATAATGTTAGTTAGCATATGAGGTATTATATGAAGTTAGCATAAACTAATCTCAATATCTGAGAAGCCCCTTGCAGAGACAAGAGTGAGCAAGCCATCCAAGAAACAAAACAAAACAAAACAAAACAAAATTAGATCTAGCCCATGTTCTCCTCACTCCCACTTGCAGTTTCACTCTCCATTTACTGATTCCTACACAGTTTAGGGAAGCAATATATTAACATGTAAAAAAATAGGCTGGGTGTAGTGGTTTACTCCTGTAATCCAGCATTTTGGGAGGATGAGGCAGGAAGATCACTTGAACCCAGGAGTTCAAGACCAGCCTGAGCAACACAGTGAGACTTTGTCTCTACAATTAAAAAAAAATTAGCTAGTGGCCTGTATTCCCAGCTACTTGGAAAGCTGAGGTGGGAGGATTGCTTGAGCCTAGGAGGTTGAGACTGCAGTGAACCGTGACTGCGCCACTGCACTCCAGCCTAGGTGACAAGGCAAGACGCTATCTCAAAAAAAAAAAAAAAAAGTAACCTTGTTGTAATGTTTAAATCAATTCAAAATAATCAAAAGACATTGTTAAATATACAAATATTAGTTGGTATAGATTTCAAAAAAGATAGGAAATCATTTAGATTGGAATAGTGAGTGAAGGCTTTTTAAAGGGGATAAGAATTTCAGATTTCAGATAGGCCTTGAAGAATGGCTATAATTGGGTCAGGTAGAAAGAAGGCAGCAAGGCATTCAAGGTGCATGGAATATTTAAGAAAGCACAGGATTGTGGCCGGGTGTGGTGGCTCATGCCTGTAATCCCAGCATTTTGGGAGGCCAAGGCAGGCAGATCACCTGAGGTCAGGAGTTCGAGACCAGCCTGGCCAACATGGCAAAACCCGGTCTCTACTAAAAATAGAAAAATTAGCTGGGCATGGTGGTGGGCGCCTATAATCCCAGCTACTTGGGAGGCTGAGGCAGGAGAATCACTTGAACCCAGGAGGCGGAGGTTGTAGTGAGCCGAGATCACACCACTGTATCCAGCCTGGGCGACAGAGCAAGACTCAGTATCAAAAAAAAAAAAAAAAAAAAAGAAAAGAGAAAGAAAAAAAGAAAGCATGGGATTGTGAAAGATCAGAAAGTAGTCCAAATTTAGCTAAAGCAGAGGTTCAGTAGTGAGAAGAGCGGCTGGGAAGAGATTTAGGGCCAGACGATGGAGTACTTGGAAAGCCACACTTTTTTGGACTTTGCCCTATAGGTAGTAGGAAGACACCGAAGATGTGTGTGCAGAGAAGTACCTGCTAAAATAATGTTTTTGGAATATATATCAAACAGTGATGTAGAGGACAGATTAAAGAGTGACAAGGAGGTAAGGGTAGTACTGAGGCGTGATTGGAGGTTGGGAGTGGTGTGTACCGAAACACGGGTAGACAATGGCAATGAAAAGGAAAGACATGTACATGAGATATTTTGAAAGAGGGCTTATTAGGGCTTGGAAACTAACTGGATAGGAGAAAGAATTCAGAGAAGAAAGATAAAGAGGATTCCAAAGTTTACACAGCACCATCCAATGGTAAGAATAGGTAAACCCCAATATGAGTTGACACGAAATTTATAATCAACTCAGTGGACTGCATAGTGAAAAGACCTTGGTTTCTTTATCTATAAAATGTGGGTAAGTCATATATTTCTTCATTAGGTTGTAGTACTAATTGAGTAAGGTAAAATATAAAGTGGCCCATCATAAGGGGATAATGATAATAGCTATCATTTTTTTGAGTCCTTATTATGTGCAAGGCAGGGGATAAGTGGTTTATATGAATTATTTCATTTAAGCCTCATAACAACCTTCATATCACCATCATCCATATTTATAGATAAGAACTCTGAGACATAAGATGGATATTGACCAAGATCAGTGGCTGCTGAGTGGTGGAGCAGTATTTGAACCCTGCCAGAACTGACTTTAGAGTTGGTCTGCTTACCCACCACACTATGCCTATAACTAGAGTGAAAAATAAATTTACTGTCCTTTTATATCATCCAGTTCTTCTGGTTATATCACTCACCAATCACTCTCATAATACTCGGTTGCAGAGCTCACTATTACCAGTAGCCATGGCAATTATCTTTCTCATTGCAAATGAAATAATTACAATTCCAGTGTTATAAGTAAGTCTCTTGAGTTTGATTAGTGTGAGTCAGATCAATTCTGTGTAAAATGACAAGATGCAACTTCTCAACCTGCTGATTTGAGGACAAGGTCCTGAACCCACGTGACAGAGGACTCTAAAACTCTAGAGAACATGAAGAAAGCAGCCGGCTGCCTCCCCTCTGCCATCCCATTAACTACAGCAAATGCAAAGAATATTTCCAGTGGCTCACAATCCAGAAGAGTCTCCCAATTTCTCAGCAGAGTTCTCTTTCTGTTAGTCCTGAATGTCTGCCATCTGAAGGTAAACATCAGGTGTCCAAATGGTGGGGCTATAGAATTCTAAGAAGCATCTGAACCAGTGATTCTCAGCCCTAGCTGCATAAGATAATCACTTGGAATGCTTTCAAAAACTATTGTCGCCTACACCACATCCCTGACCAATTAAAGGCAGGATCTCTAGGGGTGGGGCCTGGGAGTCCGTATTTTTAAAAGGTCCCCCGGATGATTATGATCTGCAGCCAGGATTGAGCACGATGGATGTCAACTATAGGAGGAATATAGGGCCTGTATCTTCTGTTAACTGGTGATTCCAAGGAAGAGGAAACAGTAGGAGAGGAGGGGTAGGCAGGAGCCAGGCTGAGGATTTAGCACCTCTTCTGGTAACCTTTATCCCTCCTCATTCTTCCTGTGTTTCTGCAAAGTGCTCAGGCAGGAGCAAAGGCGTGTTTGTGAAGGGTGATTCTATAGTGTGCTGTACACATATCTTCCTCACTAATGCTGACTGGTGCAGGAGAGAAAAATAGAACTGGGTTGAGAGTAAGTCAAGATCAGTTACAGAGAAATAAAAGAGATAGATTTGCAAACTCTTGTTTGTGGTTAAACTTGAACCCCTCCACATGAGTACATGTGGAAGAATATAGGGGATGGTAAGTATATATCTGCATAAACTTTAAGTGGGTTTAACTTCTCAAATTTATCTTTGATATCTTTAATCTTTGATTAAGATAAAGAACAAATTAAATCATGGAACAACTCACAGAACAAGTTAAATAGATCCCACTGTTCCTTGGTAGATTTATTAAATGGCATCACCTACCCAGATGTACAGAACATCTCCACTTATCAACTTGAGATTCAGACCTTCTTTGGTTTGGATTGAAGCTACAACATTCCTGATTGAAAGACAATCTTTCTTGCTGAACTTGTTGTCTCTGGACTGTGGAGAAAACAGTAAAGCATTACCAGCAATGCCAATTTCAAGAGTTCTCTTAGGCCAGGTGCGGTGGCTCAGGTCTGTAATCTCAGCACTTTGGAAGACTAGGTGGGAGAATCACTTGAGCCCAGGAGTTCAAGAACAGCTTGGGCAACATATTGAGACCCTGTCTCTACGAAAAAATAAATAAATAAAAAATTAGCCGGGCTCAGTGGCATGTGCCTGTAGTGCCCACTACTTAGGAGGCTGAGATAGGAGGATTGCTTGAGCCCAGGAAATCAAGGTGGCGGTGAGCCATGATGGCACCACTGCACTCCAGCCTGCGTAACAAAGCGAGACCCTGTCTCAAAAAGATGAAAAATAAGTAAATAAGTAAACTTTCCTTATAGGTGTTCATATAGAAAATAACTATTACATTTCACAGAATTCTCCAACTAAACTCATAACTTGGCTCTGAGATTTAAAAGCAGATAGTTTATTATTATAATGTTTGAATATCAATTGTATTTAATATCCCAAATGCCAGTGAGTTTTTTACTTATTCCCCCCAAGAATCCTAGCATAGCCAACCCTGTCTGTATTCCCCAGCCCTTACTACTTAAATGTACCCTGGATATATTTCCAACTGTATTTCTTGCCTGGAGACTTTCTCTAGTGCCAAATCTCATTTGGCTTGCTGGTGTAGCAGAGAGGAAGTACAGGCATACTGAACCCCCCTCCACAATCCCCCACCACCAGCCCTCATCCAGTGATTGACAGGAGCTGGTATAAAAATACAGCAGCAACCTTGCCTCCCAGAGAGATTCACTATGAGTTTCCCCAGTGGGATTAAGTGGGAGCTGATTTGATGATGCGCCCTACCAGTTTCCTTTACTTTCTTTCTTTCTTTCTTTCTTTTTTTCTGAGATGGAGTGTTGCTCTGTCACCTAGGCTGCAGTGAAGTAGCGTGATCTCGGCTCACTGCAACCTCTGCCTCCCGGATTCAAGTGATTCTCCTGCCTCAGCCTCCCAAGTAACTGGGATTACAGGTGCACACCACCACACCCCGCTAATTTCTGTATTTTTTTTCTTTTCTTTTTGAACAGAGTCTTGCCCTGTCACCCAGGCTGGAGTGTAATGGCACGATTTTGGCTCACTGCAACCTCTGCCTCCCGGGTTCAAGTGATTCTCCTGCCTCAACCTCCTGAGTAGCTGGGATTACAGGCACTCGCCACCACTCCCGTCTAATTTTTTGTATCTTTACAAAGATACAAAAATTATCTTTTTAATTGTTGGCCAGGCTGGTCTTGAACTCCTGACCTCGTGATCTGCCCGCCTCAGCCTCCCAAAGTGCTGGGATTACAGGTGCGAGCCACCACACCCGGCCCTACTTTCTGTATTTTTAGTAGAGACACAGTTTCACCAAGTTGACCAGGCTGGTCTCAAACTCCTGACCTCAAGTGATCCACCCGCCTTGGCCTCCCAAAGTGCTGGGATTACAAGCATAAGCCACTGCACCCAGTCTGTTTTCTTTATTTTCTTAGTTAAATAAGTTGCACTTGAATCCTGTCTTAGGGTGCTCTTCAGGAGGCACTCAACCTAAGACACATCCCTGAGTACTCCATAATAATGCATTTGAAGTTTGACTATTAATCGATCATAGAATTTTAGAATTTAAAGGGTCATGACAGACCATCCAGGATAGAAACTTCATTGTCCTGAAAAGGAAACCAGTGTGCAGATGGATGAAATCATTTGATCAAAATCAAACTACTAGCTAATGAAGGACACAGTACTTGAATGTGGTCTCTTGACACCCAGTTCAGTTCTACTCTTCATGGAATCTGAGCTTATCTACCTCATGGTATTTCTCACACAAATGGTAAAAATATAGTACATGTTATCCCTCTTGCACTTGTGACAGACATTACTAATCCATATCAGCATTCTTTTTCAATCAACCCAGATCCAGTCTCAGAATCTTCCTCAACACAGAGCTCCAGGCAACAATTATCATTTGGTCAGAGGTAATCCATGAAACTAAATCTATTTTCCATGCCTGATCTCACTCAAAAAGGATATCAATTTTTTTCTGTTTAAAATTGTCTTTGATTATTTTTCAGTCTATGCTTTGGCAGTAGGTTTCTGGGCAATACTTTCATTTGCTCAAGAATTTCATGATTTGTTACTCTTCTGCATGCACACTGGTATGTTTGATGAAAGTTTTATCCGTGATCTCCCACCCAGAGAATACTTTGGGTGAGAGTCTTAAAGCATTGATGTGAAGACTAGAAAACCTCCCAAAAGAACCAGCTACATTCTCAGTCACATTTTGGTTTTCCTTTTTGTTTTGGTTGGTGCTTTCTCTTATTGTCTTTAATTGTGTTACAACTCTTCACATCCTCCAGACAACCAATTATTATGACCATCTCCTTGAACATATCAAATTCAATCAAAATCCTATCATCCTCTAAACTGTTTTTTATGTCCTCCCATACTGCTGGCTTCATATTCAATCTGGTGACTTGATATTTAGACACAATGCAGGAGGTTTTTTTAGAAACATGTTCTCTACAGGTCTTGATGACACTGATTTTTTTTCGGTCTTCCTTGAGTAAGCTGGGTGGTTGTAGACCTGCATGTTGCCTCCAACCCCTTACACCTTGGGGTCATGTTACCTCACAGTGACAACTTCTCATCCTGTGATTTGTCATTCTGATCAGGTGATGCATTTTAGGCAGGAACTTCCATATGCGAGGATCCAGGGCCACCAGGAGTGGTGCTGGCCTGGCAACTTTTTCAGGGACTTTTCCCCTTGATACAAGGCTGTGGCCAAAGACACACAACACTGGGACACAGAAATGGGCCTTTCATTGAAGACCCAGACTTTTTGGTCAAGTAGGTGTTCACCACCAAAAATAAAAATAAAGGGTAGTCATCATTCAGACAAAACCAAATGGTAATATTTTAAAGAGTAAAAGGTACCTCTGGCACATAAATGCTGACACTCATGAGACTGAAATAGAGTGTCTTCCTAAAATGGCACCACTGTCAACAGGTCAGTGAAAGAATGTGACATTCGTAAATGCAATGGAGGTAATCCTCAACTAATGGAACAAGTCAATTCCATGCATGTTTACTTAGCCATAAAGTTTTATCACATTGGTCTGATTTTCCCACTGACATTCGTTGTAATATTGAAAAAGTAATTCTTTCCTGAAAAAGTCTTGCCCTTAGAGATTCAATAAATACAAGCAACAATGCAGGAGCAATTCAAAATAACCTCTTTAAAGTAAGGTCATTACTATTTTTGAAAGGAATGGTTATAATAGACAAAAATATTAGGAACAATTTTGTGCTATAATTGAAAGAAGTCATAAAATTAGGTCAGATTCCCTAGCAACAGAGCCTGAGTTTGGGATTCATATGCAAGTGATTTATTAAGGTTGTGCCCGCAGGAGAAACGTGTAGGAAGTGAGAGATGAAGATAGAGAAGAGGAAGAAGCTAAGCTAGAATATGTTTTTCGGTGTACCCTGGTATCTGCCTGATCTCCCAGGGAGCTCTAGAGTGTATAACTTCCATAACAGCATTTGTCCCTCCTAGGGGCAAGGGAGCTCAGTTCCTCTACCTCCATACCAGTCAGTTATTGTCTACGTACCATCTGATCAGGAGATGAATGTCAACTCCCAGGCACCTCTGGGAGAGGCACCCTTCAGTCTCCCAAAGGCAGTGCCCTGGGAAAGAATCCAAGTGTGAGTCCTTAACAGTAATACAGTCAATAAGCAGTTGGCTTATGAATGCACCTGATAAGTAAAAGAGACCAAGCCCAGGGCATCTGGGAGAGGCACAAAAGAAAAGAAAGACCACTAAGGAAAGTCCAAAGAATAACTGCACAAGTTTGAGAGAAAGAGAATGTGGCTCAGCAGCTAAGTCATATAAAAACGTCTAAGGGATCCTGATTGGCAGTAAACTCAGTACAAATTAACAGTAATATAGTCCTGTTTAAGAAAGAAAAAAAAAAGGCCACCAAATGCAAGGATGTGGAGCAGCAGGAACACTCATTCATTGCTGGTGGGAATGCAAAATGCTACAGCCACTTTGGAAGACAGGCAGTTTTTTACAAAACTAAACATACTCTTCCCATATGATTCAGCAGTTGCATGACTTGGTATTTACCCAAATAAATTGAAAACTTTTGTTCACACAATACCTGCACATGAATGTTTCTGGAAGCAATAAAGCTTTATTCATAACTGCCAAAACTTGGAAGCAACCAAGATGTCCTTCTGTGAGTGGATAAATAAACTATGGTACTTCCATACGATAGAATATTATTTAGCACTAAAAAGAAAAAGAACTGAGTTATCAAGCCACAGAAAGACATGGAAGAAACTTAAATGCAGATTCCTAGGTGAAAGAAGTCAGTCTGAAAAGGCTACATACTGTATAATTTAACTATATGACATTCTGGAAAAGGCAAAACTCTAGAGACAGTAAACAGATGAGTGGTTGCCAGAGATTTTGGAGAAGGAGGGAGGGATGAATAGGTGGAGCACAGGCAATTTTCAGGGCAGTGAAACTATTCTGTATGATATTGCAATGGTGGACACATGACATTATGCATTTGTCAAAAACAATGGAACAGGCCAAGGCAGTGGCTCATGCCTGTAACTTTGGGAGGCTGAGGCAAGTGGATCACCTGAGGTCAGGCGTTTGAGACCAGCCTGGCCAACATGGTGAAACCCCATCTCTACTAAAAATACAAAAATTAGCTGGGCGTGGTGGCAAGCACCTGTAGTCCCAGCTACTTGGGAGGCTTGACCCAGTAGGTGGAGGCTGTAGTGAGCTGAGATCGCACCGCTGCACTCCAGCCTGGGTAACAGAGCAAGGCTCCGTCTCAAAAAAAAAAAAAAAAAAAAAAACCATAAAAGACAAACAAAAACCAATGGAACTATACAACACAAAAAGTGAACTCTAAACTATGGACATTAGTTAATAACAATGCATTGGTTCATCAGTTGCAACAAATGTATCACACTAATGCAAGATGTTAATAATAGGGGAAACTAGGGGAGGGGGGTATTTGAGAATTTTCCGCTTTCGCTAAATTTTTCTGTGTACCTAAAACTACTCTAAAAACAAAGTCCTTTCCTTAAAAAAAAAAAAGGTAATAATGAATTTGGGGGCAATACTAATAGAAACATACTAACGAGAATGGGCATGAATAACGACTTTATTCTACTTTTCACTGTTAAAAACAGGCAACACCTGTGGTATGTGCTTACTTCAAAGTGCCAAATGTTGCAAAGGGATTATGAAAACTAGGTATGTGCAGAATAGAAAAACCGATGCCCTGAAAGGATGCAAAACCATGTCACATGAGGATATGCAGAAGGGAATGAGAATCTTTAACTTGCAGGAGTAGAGATAATGAGTGGGGTGGAATGCAAGAGCAGTTGTCTTTAGACATTTGAAGAGCTGCCTTATGAAGGAATGATTTCTACTACTCTAAGTTGGTATGTACAGCTATAGTAAAACATATTTGGGCTTAACATAAAGCTACGTTTTAAAATAATTAGAACTGCCCTAAGATGGAATGGGTAGGTCAACATGGGAAACAATAACTTCCCAGGCAAGCAGAAGATAGACCATCACTTAGTGGTCTGGTTTTACATCTAAGTGAACTCTTTTGCCTTTTTTCTCCCATATTTTTCTTAATTGAACTCCCTAGCCTACTTTGAATGCATTTTACTAGTAAAAATAGTTTTATTTTAGTACTCTTATGTCAGAGGTGATAGCAATGAAGGACAGTGAAAATGAAAGAGTGAAATACTTAAATAACATTTAATAATGGCATTTTGTGCTTATATCTGCTAAGAATTATAGCTATCCAAAACACAATTCATACCTGTTATTTCTCACCAAATTAGTAACTTGTGTTTCCCATTTGTTCTTAATTTGATAATTATAATAGCTTTATTTATTGGGTACCTGTTATGTGTCAGATATTTTGTAAATATTATCTCACTTAATTTAATCTTAACAATGAGCCTGTGAGATAGATACTTTCTGAATGAGGAAACAAGCCTGGTGCAATGGTTCATGTCTGTAATCCCAGTACTTTGGGAGGCCAAGGCAGGAGGATCATTTGAGGCCAGGAGTTCAAGACAAGCCCGGCCAACATAGCAAAACCCCATCTCTATGAAAACATTGAAAAATTAGCTGGGCTTGGTGGTGCACACCTGTAATCCCAGCTATGCTGGAGGCTGAAGTGGAAAGATTACTAGAGCTCTGGATTTTGAGGCTGCAATTAGCTATGATTATGCCACTGCATGCCTGGGCAACACAGTGAAACCCTGTCTCAAATAAGTAAATAAATAAATGAAGAAAAGGAAAGAAAAAGAAAGAAAGAGAGAGAAAGGAAAGGAAAGAAAAGAAAAAAGAGAAATTCGAGGAAGAAAGGCAAGAAAAAGAAAGAGAGAGAGGGGAGAGAGAGAGAATCAGAAAGTAACTTTGCCATTGTTATCCAGCTAATAAAATCTGGAAGGATTTAGATCTATACATTTGGGATTCTTTTTTTTTTTTTGAGACTATGTCTCGCTCTGTTGCCCAGGCTGGAGTGCAGTGGCACAATATCATGGCTCACTGCAGCCTCAGCCTCCTGGGCTCAAGTGATCTTCCTCTCACCTCGGCTTCCCAAGTAGATGGGAGCACAGCCATGTGCCACTACACCTGGCTAATACATTTGGAATTCTAAAGGACAGGCTGGGTGTGGTGGCTCACGCCTGTAATCCCAGCACTTTGGAGGCTGAAGCGGGTGGATCACCTGAGGTCAGGAGTTCAAGACCAGCCTGCCCAAAGTGGTGAAACCCTGTCTCTACTAAAAATACAAAAAATTAGCTGAGTGTGGTGGCGCACACCTGAAGTCCCAGCTACTCAGGAGGCTGAGGTGGGATAATTGCTTGAACCTGGGAGGCAGACCTTGCAGTGAGCTGAGATCACGCCACTGCACTCCTGCACTCCAGGGTGACAAGAGCAAAACTCCATCTCAAAAAAATAAAAAATAAAAAAAAGAATAAAATAAAAATAAAGGACCGTGGTGCTCTAATATTTCTATATAGATGGCTTAGGTGTGACAATCTGGCTAGAAGTAGAGGGTGGTGAAGGGAGACTGTCTTGAAGCTGTACCTTCTTGGATAGTGAAAGTAAGATCACTCTCAATTCCTACTTCCTGGTCATTGAGCCTTTGCGTAGTCTCCTTCCATATCATATCAGAGTTGGCTGTGTGACCAACAAAATATGGCAGAATTGACGCTATGTCACTTCTGAGGCTGGTGTATGAAAAGCACTGCAGCTTTCTGCGCTCTCATGGCCTCTCTTTCTCTCTCTCTCTTTCCCTCTTCCTCCCACAGATAACTCAATCTGGGGAAAGTCAGCTGCCATTTATGAACAGCCCTATGGAGAGGCCCTCAAAGTCAAGGGACTGTAGTGTCTGACAGGAGCCATGTGAGTGGGCTCAGAAGCAGACTCTCCAGTCGCAGTCAAGCCTACGATGACTGCAGCCCCAACCAACAACTGAATAACCACGTCATGATAGATACTGAGCCAGAATCACCCAGCTAAGCTGCTCTCAAATTCCTGATCACAGAAAGTGTGAGATAATAAATGTTTGTTATCTAAAACACCCAAGTTTTGTGGTAATTTGTTATGTAGCAATAGAAAAGTAAAAATATAAATTGTATGCTTATATAGGATGGCTTGAGGAGGCAGGCTGGTAGAGACAGTGGGGATAAGGCTGAAACTCCCATCCCCTAATCCTTTTTAGCAAAGTAATTGCTGAGAGCCAAGCTCTAACCACTATACCAGCAATATGAAATTTAAAGGTCTTAACAAAAAACATGTAAATATATATCCATGGGTTCAACCAACCATTGATTGAAAATATTTTTTAAAAAATACAAAATAACACAACAGTGAAAAATAAATAAAAATACAGTATAACAACTATTTACATAGCATTTACACTGCATTAGGTATTATAAAGTAATCTAGAGATGACTTAAAGTATATAGAAGGATGCATGTAGGTTACATGCAAATACTAGGCCATTTTACATAAGGGACTTGAGGATCCATGGATTTTGGCATTGCTTGGGGTCCAAGAATCTATCCCCTGTGGATACTGAGGAACAACTCTGTGTATATTATAATATGCATATATATAAAATCTATATGTATAGACTAGAAAAGAAAATGCATCTATTCCTTAGCAGCGAATGCACATATTGCAACAAAATTTATTTTTCCAAATTGCAACAAATACTGTTCTTTTAATATAAGGTATGGTCTGGGATATAAAATATATTTCTTAGGATGTATTGTGGAAAAAGAAAAAAAAAGCTGGGCGCGGTGACTCACATCTGTAATCCCAGCACTTTGGGAGGCCAAGGCGGGCAGATCACCTGCGGTTGGGAGTTCGAGATCAGGATGACGAGTTAATGGGTGCAGTACACCAGCATGGCACATGTATACATATGTAACTAACCTGCACATTGTGCACATGTACCCTAAAACTTAAAGTATAATAATAATTTTAAAAAAGAAAAAAAAAACCACTTGCTATGGTCTGAATGTTTGTGTCCCTCCAAAACTGATGTTGAAACCTAATTTCCATTGTGGTATTATTAAGAGATGGGGCCTTTAAGAGGTGATTAGGTCATAAGTGTGGAGCCCTCATGAATGGGATTAGTGCCATTATTTTAAAAAGGCTTTCAGAAGCCTTCTACCTCTCTGCCACGTGAGGACACAGCAAGAATGTGCCATCTTTGGAAGAGAAAATAAGCCCTCATCAGACACTAAATCTGCTAGTGTTTTGATCTTGGACTTTCCAATCGCCAGAACTATGAGCAATACATTTATGTTGCTTATATATTACCTGGTCTAAGGTATTTTGTTGTAGTAGCCTGAACAGACTAAGACACCACTATTGAAAGTTAAGCTCCTTTTCTTTGTAGATAGCCTCTCAACTTTTAGCTCTCCTACCTGACTGGTTTTCATTGAAGCTATGTGAGGAAGATCCTAATATCTGCTTCTATCCTCTGACTTTTCCCCCAGTGTTCTCTTCCCACTTATAGTTTCAGGGATACTTTTTGGCTTCACCACTTCTTCCTCATGATCACAGTTGGGAAGGGACATGCAGGTGAGGTACAGCCATTAAAAAATGATGTTTATTTGGTCATATTATCCAAAGTATAAGTATAAGCTATTTTGTGCATGGTAAACCCTTCAAGAAAATGTTACTGTCTTTAAAATGGTTCATTCCATTTTCTAAATGCTTTATGTTTTATTTGACAAGTGATCAGATTCTGAATATATCTTGAAGGTGAACAGGATTTCCCAAAGGAAAATAGAGGATATGAGAGAAACAGAAGAGTCAAGATGACTCCTGGGCTTTGGTCTGAGCAACTAGGAGGATAGAGTTGCTATCCGCTGACATGGGAAAGGCCATGGGTAATGCAAGTTGATGAGGTGGGGTGGAGAGGGTAAGCAGTTTTTGTTTAGGACATGTTACGTTTATGCTTTTTTTTTTTTTTTTTTTTTTTTTTGAGATGGAGTCTCGCTCTGTTGCCAGGCTGGAGTACAGTGGCGAGATCTCAGCTCACTGCAACCTCCGACTCCTTGGTTCAAGGGATTATCCTGCCTCAGCCTTCCTAGTAGCTGGGATTACAGGCACATGCCACTACGGCCAGCTAATTTTTGTATTTTTAGTAGAGACGGGTTTCACCATGTTGGCCAGGATGGTCTTGATCTCCTGATCTTGTGATCCACCTGCCTCGGCCTCCCAAAGTGCTGGGATTACAGGAGTGAGCCACCGCACCCAGCCATGTTTATGCATATTCTTTTAGACAACCAGGTATGGAAGTCTTCTGGGCAATGAGCATAGATACTGGAGTTTAGGAGAGAGTCTTGACTGCAGATAAAAACTGAGCCATAGGTACACAGTATTTAATGCCACTAGATCCTAGAGAGTGTAGAGAAAGAGGAAAAAAAGAACCAAGGACTAAGTCCCACATTAAGAACTGGAGGAAAGAAGAGGAATGAGAAAAGAAGAATAAAAATGAGCAGCCAAGCCAGCGTGGTGGCTCATGCCTGTAATCCCAACACTTTGGGAGGCCAAGGCAGGCGGATTGCTAGAGCTCATGAGTTTGGGACCACCCTGGGCACTGTGGCAAAACCCTGTCTCTACAAAAAAAATACAAAAATTAGCTGGGTGTGGTGGTGCATGCCTGTAGTCCCAACTACTAGGGAGGCTGAAAAGGGAGGGGGAAGTGGCAGTGGGCCAAGATCGTGCTACTGCCCTCTAGCCTGGGCAGCAGAGCAAGACTAAAGTCTCAAAACAAACCAACAAAAAGCAGCCACTGAGGTAGGACAAAACCGAAAAGTATGGTGTCCTAGCAGCGAGTGAAAAACCTGTATTTAGGAGGAAGGAGCCATCAATTGTATGAAATGCTGCTAAGAGATCGAGTAAAAGGAGGACTGAAAAGAGGATATTGAGTCCAGCAAAGTGGAGATCATTTGTGACTTTGACAAGAACAGCTTTGGTGGAACACTGGAGGTAAAAGCCTGTCTGGAATGGATTTAAGAAAGAATGGGGGGAGAGGAAATGGGGGTGAGGTAGACAAATTTCGATCAAGAAATTTTGCTGCAAAGGGAAGCAAAGAAATGAAGTAGTAGCTATGTGGAAATTGGGGTCAAGGGAAGCTTTTGTTTTGTTACTGCGAAAAAAAAAACAATTCCTTTAGCTAGATCCCCATAGAACCTGTTCAAAGCTTGAGTTAATTCACAGCATATTCCAGTAAGAATGTTGTGGCTTTGATGGGTTTCCTTATCACCTGTGCAGCCTCTAATCTGACTTCATCCATGCATTAAAAGCTGAATAACCACTTTGAACATCAAGAAGGAAGAGAAATTAATCCTTTGTAGTCAGAAAACTCAACCAGGGCTGAACCCTCCTCTGGGAAATACTGAACATTGGTTACTCTTTCTCTTCCATTTTTGGGATTTTTGAAGAAAATTGTTATGTAATTACATTCACCATCAAGTGGCATATTTTCAATCTTAATGGTTGTTGTCTGTTCCAAAGGTTCTGAGGAAATCTGAAGTTGCTGAACTTCCATGGTGTCCATCACAAACATTAATAAATGTGTTGACATCTAGAAGTAAAAATCAACTTATTGGTATTGTAATTTTATTTCATATTAGAAGAAAATAGATTTTTAAAAGTAATTTGATTTAGAGGCGATAACCACAAATTAAAATTAGATGCTAATTTCTATGTAAAGTTAGATTTCACAACGTCAATTTCAACCTCCCCTACCCTATATCAATTTCAACTTACCCTACGTTGCCTACCCTGAATACACAGCAATCTTTAACAATGACTTCCAATTTGAGATCGTTTGAGGAACAGGATCAACAGTTACCTCTCCAAGTGTAATCAAGGACATGGAGCTACTTTGTAATATGATAATAGTAATAATTGTTACACAATATTGTTTTCTCAATCTGATTTATCTTTGTCTCCCATACAAACTTACCCATACCTTGATATCTATTTGGACATGTCATGATTATAAAGTCATAAATATCTGATTCTTTGTTGTTGTTGTTGTTTTTCTGTTGCCTAGGCTGGAATGCAGTGTCCCATCATAGCTCACTGTAACCTTAAACTCCTTGGCTCAAGTGATCCCTGACAACAGCCATGTCATATAGCTTCACTATTAAAACTCACTGGCAATTTGAGGGGATGTACATAGCAGTTAAGAAAATACACTCAGAAGTCAGGATGTCTAACATGGAATTCTGAAACAGGTACTAGCTGTGTGACTGTGAATATGTCATTCAATCCTCTCTAACCCCCAATTTCATTCTTACTAATAGTACCTATCTCATATTGCTATATGTTTTAAGATAGGGTAAGTAAAAGTCTAAGCACAGTGCCTGGCATAGAGTAAGTGCTTAATACATGTTAGCTATTAGTAGTAGCAGAAGTAATTATGCATATTTCCCTCACAATTCTCTCTTACTGAGTGTTAGAAAGAGCACAACTTTTTTTTTTCTTATAGGATTCTACCTTTTCAAAACAAGCGACAAAATTTCTATAAATGTAAATATATACTTGTGATTTTGTAGTAAAATTGATTTCCCAGTTTGGGGCAGGTGGGGCTGGGAAAGGCTGAGGGAGTGAACACAGAAGAAAAAGTAAAACACTAGAGAAAACAAATGTGTTTATAATAAAAATGTATGTATGTATAATGTCCTATACATTAGTATCATTTTATCTATATATTTGCATATATGCATCAAAAGATGTACAAATGCATGGTTACTGAAATATTAAGTTATTAATAGGATTATTTTTGCATTTTTCCATACATATTTTTGTACTAATTTCTTTTTTACAGTGAATCCACGTTATCTTAATAACATAGATAAAAACGTATTTAAAAATATAAATTGGCCAGGCGCAGTGGCTCATGCCTGTAATCCCAACACTTTGGGAGGCTGAGGTGGGTGGATCACTTGAGATCAGGAATTCGAGACCAGCCTGGCCAACATGGTGAAACCCCGTCTCTATTAAAAATGCAAAAAAAATTAGCCAGGCATGGTGGCGGGCATCTGTAATCCTAGCTACTCGGGATGCTGAAGCAGGACAATAGCTTGAACCCGGGGGGTGAAGGTTGCAGTGAGCTGAGATTGCGCCACTGCACTCCAGCCTGGACGACAGAGGGAGACTCTGTCTCAAAAATATAGATAGATACATGATAGATAGATACATAGATAGATAGATAGATAGATAGATAGATAGACAGATAATTTTATCTTTTAGTCTATACATATATATATGTTCAAGGTGACTAGAAGATAAAGTGATTTACAAATTGAATGTTCAAGGTGACTAGAAGATAAAATGATTTACAAAAATGAAGTAGCAGAGCTCATTCCTGGCATAGTGGATAAGGGCACACACATTGGAGTCAGAGAGATTTGATTTTGAATTCTTGCTGTAGCATTAATAAGGCCATTTAGTGTAAGGCTTAAAAGCAAGGGTTGCCTGGGATTTGAATCCCAGCTCCACCATTACTGAATGTGTGACTTTGGGCAAGTCATTTAACTTCTCTATGCCTTAGTTTCCTCACCCAGAAAGTGAGGATAATGATACTACTTGCCTTGTAAGAAGATTAAAAGAGTTAACATTAGTTTAATGGTTAGAACAGTGCTATGTGCATGCTTGACTTTCCCCTCTTCCTTTGCCTTGTCTGGTTTTCTTTTTTTTTTTTTAATTTTAATTTTAATATTTATTTTAAGTTCTGTGGTACATGTGCAGGATGTGCAGGTTTGTTACATAGGTAAATGTTTGCCGTGGTGGTTTGCTGCACCTAAATACCCATCACCTCAGTATTAAGCCCAGTGTGCATTAGCTATTTTTCCTAATGTTCTCCCTTCCCCCACCTCACTCCCAGACAGGCCCCAGTGTGTGCTGTTCCCTTCCCTGTATTCATGTGTTCTCACTGTTCAGCTCCAGCTTATAAGTGAGAACATGTGGTGTTTGGTTTTCTGTTCCTGTGTTAGTTTGCTGAGGATAATGGCTTCCAGCTCCATCCATGTCCCTGCAAAGGACATGATCTCATCCTTTTTATGGCAGTATAGTATTCCATGATATATATGTACCATATTTTCTTTATTCAGTCTATCATCATTGGGCATCTGGGTTGATTCCATGTCTTTGCTATTGTGAAAAGTGCTGTAATGAACATATGTATGCATGTATCTTTGTAACAGAATGATTTATATTCCTTTGGATACATACCCAGTAATGGGATTGCCAGGTCAAATGGTATTTCTGGTTCTAGATCTTTGAGGAATCACTACACCATCTTCCACAATGGTTGAACTAATTTACATTCCCACCAACAGTGTAAAAGCATTCTTATTTCTCTGCAAACTCACCAGCATCTATTGTTTCTTGACTTTTTAATAATCACCATTCTGATTGGCGTGAGATGGTATCTCATTCTTTTAATGAAGACCCATTGTGGGACGCCTGGAATCTCAAAGTAGCATGCAACCATAGTTTGCAAATGAAAGGTGAAAGCTATAGTCTGTCTTATCAATACCTTTTTTTTTTTTTTTTTGAGACAGAGTCTCGCTCTGTCACCAGGCTGGAGTGCAGTGGAGCAATCTCGGCTCGGCTCACTGCAATAACCGCCTCCCTGGTTCAAGCAATTCTCCTGCCTCAGCCTCCTGAGTAGTGGGGATTACAGGCATGCGCCACCATGCCCAGCTAATATTTGTATTTTTAGTAGAGATGCAGTTTCACCATGTTTGCCAGGATGGTCTTGATTTCCTCACCTCGTGATCTGCCCGCCTCGGCCTCCCAAAGTGCTGGGATTACAGGCGTGAGCCACTGTGCCTGGCCCCAATATTTTTAAGAAAAGTGACGACTTTAATGTTGTGTGTTACTCCCACCCTGAAGTCACAATTGGCTTCTGGCAGGCCAGTAACAGACTCCATGAGCAAGGATAGCATGTTCTCAGTCATGACGTCTTGGATATTGTGAAGTGCAACCAAAAGAGAGACTTGTAAAGGATCTCTTTTGCAAATTCATCTATTTCATCCATTTCCACTTCTTCCATTTTATCCACTCTTCTGGAAAGTATTACTTTTGTGCCTGAATGTTCCAACTTACTGATTTTTAAGGAGACAGAAACACTCAGGATATTTTTATATCTGATTTGAGATTTGAAAGGATTTGGCCTTTATATTACTTCCTATTTTTAAATACTTTGGAAGAATATAGATTTGACTCATTGCTTTATTCTTTTAATAACAAGGAAAATGGTAACTCATTGGCTAAAATATTGCATAAAGTTAAACATTATATTTTGTAAAGTCAGATTTACTCACCAAATCATGGGGAAAAAAGTAACAAACATGATAGTAAATGATGGCGATCATCCACTGATTTAAATTAATAGAGCTACAACATTTTACCGCAAATAAAGTTTCTGTTAGTGCATAACAAAAGGGCAGTCTGCAGATGTAACCAAGACACAAAAGTGTTGCATATTCAGAAAGAAGACTGGGTTTAAGTAGACTTTTATCACAAAGGAAGGGGACAATAGAGACTCTGACTTCCATTTTTCATTGTTTTTTATCTTTGAAAGAGAAATAAAGGAACTTTCCCTTAGCATAATAAAGAGTCAAAGTCAACAGTATTCACAGTGAAGAAGAAGTCACTCTCCTTAGAAGTAGTAAAAATCAAAATAAAACAAAAATCAGATATGTATACTGATATGTATACTTTGCTTCAATATATTATTTGGGGCTGGGCACGGTGGCTCACGCCTGTAATCCCAGCACTTTGGGAGGCCGAGGCAGGTGGATCACGAGGTCAGGAGATCGAGACCATCCTGGCTAACAAGGCGAAACCCCGTCTCTAATAAAAATGCAAAAAAAATTAGTTGGGCGTGGTGCTGGGTGCCTGTAGTCCCAGCTACTCGGGAGGCTGAGGCAGGAGAATGGCATGAACCCCAGAGGTGGAGCTTGCAGTGAGCCGAGATCATGCCACTGCACTCCAGCCTGGGCAACAGAGCGAGACCCCATCTCAAAATATATATATTATTTGGAACTCTTCTTGGTCATCCAAATAAGGTGAGGAAAAGAAAAGAGGGTAAGTATAGAAATGAAAATGATAAAAAGTTATGCTTTACAGGCCGGGTGCGGTGGCCCATGCCTGTAATCCCAGCACTTTGGGAGGCCGAGGCGGGTGGATCATGAGGTCAGGAAATCAAGACCATCCTGGCTAACACGGTGAAACTCCGTCTCTACTAAAAATACAAAAAAATTAGCCAGGCGTGGTGAAGGGCACCTGTAGTCCCAGCTACTTGAGAGGGTGAGGCAGAAGAATGGCATGAACCCAGGACACAGAGCTTGCAGTGAGCCAAGATTGTGCCACTGCACCCCAGGGACAGAGCGAGACTCTGTCTCAAAAAAAAAAAAAAAAAAAAAGTTATGCCTTACAAATAATACATTTTGTGAAAATAAAAAATAACATGAATGAGAAAGTGAAAAGACAACTCACAGAATGGAAGAAAATATTTTCAAATCATATAGCCAATAAGACTTGTACCTAGAATATATAAAGATCCCTTACAAGTCAACAATTTTTAAAAAATCCAATTTAAAAACCAACAAAGGATTTGAATAGACATTTCTTAAAGGAAGATATACAAATGGCCAATAAGGACATTAAAAAGATGCACAACATCGTTAGCCATTAAGAAAGTGGAAATCAAAACCACAATGAGGTGCCACTTCACCCCACTAGAATGACTAAAATGAAAAAGACACATTGCTGGTGGAAATATAAAATAAGGCAACGATTTAGGAAAATAATGTATCAGTTCCTTAAAAAGTTAGTTACCATGTGACTCAGCAATTTCACTTCAAGGTATATACCCAAGAGGCGTGAAAACATACGTCCACACAGTAACCTCTACAAAAATACTATGGACTGAATGTTTGTGTCCCTCTTTAAATTCTTAAGTTGAAGTCCTAATTCTCAATGTGATTGTATTTGGAGTTGGGGCTCTCGGGAGACAATTACGTTTAGATGAGGTCATGAGGGTGGACCCCATGATGGGATTAATATAAGAAGATGAAGGGACAAGCCCATGTGAGGAAACAGCAAGTAGGGGCCATCGACAAACCAGGATGAGAGAGCCCTTACTAAGAACTCTACCATGCTGGGACCCTGATCGCAAACCTCCAGCCTCCAGACTATGAGAAAAAAAGTTCATTTTTGAAGTCATCCAGTCTATGATATTTGATACAGCAGCCCAAGCTGACTGAGACAACAAATGTTCACGGCAGCATTATTCACAATCATCAAAAAGTAGAAACAACCCAAATGTCCACCAACTGAATGGATAAATAAAAGGTGATATATTCATACAATGGAATATTATTTGGTTAAAAGAAGAAAAAGTAATGAAGTTCTTATACATTCTGCAACATACCTGGAAAAAACATGCTAAGTGAAAGAAGCCAGTCACAAAAGGCCACATATTGTATGAATCCATTTATGTGAAATGTCCAGAATATATAAATCCATGAAGACAGAAAGTATAGTAGTGGTTACCAGAGTTTGGGGGAGGAGGAAATAAGGGGTGACTGCTAATGCATATGGAGTTTCTCTTGCGGTGATGAAAATTTCTTTGTTTTATTTATTTTTATTTTTTAGAGACAGTCTTGCTCTGTCACCCAGGCTGGAGTGCAGTGGCGCAATCATGGTTCACTGCAGCCTCAATCTCCCTGGCTCAAGTGATCCTCCCACCTCAGCTTCTGAAGTAGCAGGGATTATAGGTATGAGCCACCACACCTTGCTGAAAATTTCTAAAAGTAGATAGCAGTGGACTCAGTAAACATACTAACAACCACTGAATTGCACACTTTTAAAGAGTGAATTTTATGGCATGTAAATTATATCTTAATAAAGCTGGTACCAAAAAACAAGAATCAATAAACCAAAAAAAAAAATCAATAAACCAATTCCTAGAAAATATATAGATATGATACATTAGCTCATAGTAACAGAATAACTTAATTTTAATGGCAAAAATAAGCCTCAACAGATATCCTCTGCTCTTGCATAAATATATTACAAATAATAATAGTCTCCAAGGTAATTATAGATATAATAAAATAAAACTTAATCTCAAGACACTAACATGATCAACTATAAAATTTGGTAAAATGAAAGCAAAATGTAGATATTTTTAAAAAGATAATACCAAAGGAAATGATTAGGAACTTGGCTTGCTATACTTTAAAATGCATCTTTCCACAGACTGGGAGAAAATTTTTGCAAAAGATATATCTGATAAAAAGAAGTGTTATCTAAAACATACAAAGAACTCTTAAAAGTCAACAATTTTTTTAAAAAACACCAAATTTTAAAATGAGCAAAAGATGTGAACAGACACTTCACCAAGGAGGATATACAGACAGTAAATAAGCATATGAAAAGATGCACAATGTCATGTTAGTGAGTTGCAAATTCAAACAACAATGAAGCAGGGTGAAGTGGCTCACACCAGCCTGTAATCCTAGTACTTTAGGAGACTGAGAAGGGAGGATTTCTTGAGCCCAGGACTTCAAGACCTGGACAATATAGTGAGACCTCATCTCTACAAAAAATAAACAAAATAAGCCAGGTGTGGTGGATTATAGTCCCAGCTACCAGGGAGGCTGAGGTGGAAGGATCACTTGATCCCAGGAGGTTGCGGCTGCAGTAAGTGATTGTGCCACTGCACTCCAGCCTGCGGGACAGAGCGAGACCCCAGCTCAAAAAATAAATAAATAAAAATAAAAACAAAACAACAATGAGCTACCCTATACGCCTGTTAGAATGGTGAAAATCCAGAACATTGGCAACACCAAATGCTGGCAAGGATGTGGAGCAACAGGAACACTCATTTGTTGTTGATGGGAATGCAAAATGGTACAGCTACTTTGAAGACAGTCTTGCAGTTTCTTACAAATCTAAACATACTCCTCTCATATGATCCAGCAGTCATGCTCATTGGTATTTACCCAAATGACTTGACAACTTTTGCCCATGCAAAAATCTGCACATAAATATTTATAGCAGCTTTATTCATAATTGCCAAAGCTTGGAAGCAACCAAGATGTCCTGCAGTAGGTGAATGGATACATAATCTACAGTACATTCAAACAAGGGACTATCATTTAGTGCTAAAAAGAAATGAGTTATCAAGACACACACACACACAAACACAGAGGAAACTTAAGGCATATTACTAAGTGAAAAAAGTCAATCTGAAAAGGCAAAATACAGTATGATTTCAACTATATGACATTCTGGAAAAGGCAAAGTTATGGAGACAGTAAAAAGATCAGCTGTTGCCAAGAGGGAGGATGAATAGCAGAGCACAGAGAGTTTTTAGGGCAGTGAAATTATTCTGTGTGATACTGTAATGGTATATACATATTATTAAACATTGTCAAAATCCACAGAATGTACAACAGCCAGAGTGAACCCAAATATAAACTAGGGGCTTTGGGTGATAATGATGTGTCAATGTAGGTTTATAAATTGTGACAAATGTACCACTCTGGCGCTGGATGTTGATAGTTGGGGGGATTGTGTGGGGGTGGGGTGTGAGGGGTATATAGGAACTCTGTACTTTCTGCTAAATTGTGCTGGGAACCTAAAACTACTCTAAAAATTAAAGACTATTTTTTAAAAATGCATCCTTAAATACCAATTATAAAACTAAATAGTTCTAAGTTAAGAATGGATAATATAAGAACCACAATAGCAATTCTAGAAATAAGCCTTAATCTCTCAAAAAGTTTACATATGGGTTGGGCATGTTGGCTCATGCCTGTAATCCCAGTACTTTGGGAGGCTGAGGTGGGAGGATCACTTCAGGCCAGGAGTTTGAGACCAGCCTAGGCAACACAGCAAGTCTTCATCTATAAAAAAGCTTTTCAAAAAATTAGCTGGGCATGGTGGTGTGTTCCTGTAGTCCTAGCTACTTAGGAGGGTGAGGTGGGAGGATCACTTGAACACAGGAGTTCCAGGTTAGAGTGAGTCATGATTAGGCCACTGCACTCCAACAGAGGTGATAGGAAAAAAAAAAATACGTTTAACATATGAAATATTAAGAATAGGAGAGTGAAAATATGAATCATCACTTAATAAATATTGCTGGGAAAGTTGGGTTTTATTATGAAGAAAATTAAATATCAATTCATACCTCACAACCAACACCTAATCACAGTAAAACTAACACTGATGGGTTACAATTTTTAACTTTTAACACCCCAAAAGTAGTAGAATAAAAGTTCTATATTTATTTAACTAACTGTACTAAGGTGAAAATGTGTCAACTAATAAAGCAAATAGAAGATCTACCAATGGCAATTGATAGGGATTCGCATAAAATACTAAAACATTAATCTTTAAAAAAGACATTTGCAAAACAGCAGTTACTCAAGAAATGTCGGTTCATAAATTGACACAATGGAACACAAGGCTGTATCCTCAACCAGGGTGGTAAACTGTCTAAAGTTCCAGAAATGGAATAGGGGATGGCAGTTTATGGAGTCCATGTGATAAATCAAAACAGTCTTCTATCAGATGATTGACGAAAGGGTGAGTTCAGTATGCAAAAATGTAACTGTATCAGACCAATCTGGTTCAGCTTTTATGTAACAAAGTTGTAAGTTGTTTTTCAGTTGCCATAGACCCCCAGGTTGAAGGTCACGTAGCTGAACACCCAAGTGTGCAACCACGGGCAGAACCTAAGTGCTCAGGAGCAAGGAATGGGGACCATATTAAGTAGTGGACACTACATGGCAGGATCCAGGATCCAATCAGATAAAGTCCTGATGTCACTCCATAACAGGATCCAGTCAGATCATGTCTCTTAGCACTACCTCTTTGCAAGATCCAATCAGATCATACCCCATTATTCTATGGCTATAAAATCTGACCCAGCCTCCAGATTGGAGAGACAGATTTAAACAAGGTCTCCCTCTGTCACCCAGGCCAGAGTGCAGAAGTGCAAACACTACTCTCTGCAGCTTTGACCTCCTGGGCTCAAGCGATCCTCCCACCTCAGCCTCCTGAGTAGCTAGGTAGATTTAAGCACTTCCTCCTGTCTGTGTCAGCTGACTCAAAATAAATCTTTCTCACTGCAAAAACCTGGTACTTTAGTATTTGGCTTTCCATTACACAAGCAAATAGACCCAGTTTAGTTCGGTGACAAAAGGGCACTTCAGAGAGATCAATGTTTAAAGCACTAGAATATGAGTTACATAAAAGTCAAGCAAATCAAGAATGGGTGAGTTTTTGAAAATCTATTACTATGATTCACCATATTAATAGGTTTAAGGAAAAAAACCAACATGATTATTTCCAAAAATACTGAAAAAACTTAGACCAAATTTAACACCGATTCCTAACAAAATCTCTTGAAAAATGGAAATGGGCCCGGCGTGGTAGCTCATGCCTGTAATCCCAGCACTTTGGGAGGCCACGGCGGGTGGATCACCTGAGGTCAGGAGTTCAAGACCAGCCTGACCAACGTGGTGAAACGCCGTCTCCACTAAAAATGCAAAAATTAGCCAGGCATGGTCACACATGCCTGTAATCCCAGATACTTGGGAGGCTGAAGCAGGAGAATCGCCTGAACCCGGGGTGTGGAGGTTGTAGTGAGCCAAAATTGTGCCATTCATTGTACTTCAGCTTGGGCAACAAGAGTGAAACTCCATCTCGGAAAAAAAAAAAAAAGGAAAGAAATGGATGAATATTTCCTTAACATGATAAAAACAGATGAACTTCAATCCCAAAGAAGCATCTTACTTAGGAAAACTTTGTAGGTATTTTTTCATTAACGTCAGGAACAAGGTAAGTATGGTAACTATGACTTAACATTGTTCTGTAGGAACTAACTAATGCAATTATATTGGTCAAAAAACAAGATCATAGAATAGAAAAAGATGAAATAAAACTGTCTTCACTTGAAGGTGACATGATTTATACCTGGAAGACCCTAAATTAAGTGGAAAATAATAATAATAATTTTAAAAACTCAGCTGGCAGTAATATATAAAATGAGCATGCAAACATCAAAAGCTTTAGGACTTCTACTTAGGCAAATATGAGTAACACACTTCCTATCCCACTTTAAACAATTAGAAATTTTGTTAAAAGATATCTAAAATATTTTTTGAGATATTTGATAACAGGCAATATGGGACAGTGATTCCTTGGAGAGAAGAAACAAATAAGGTGAATGCTACAATTGCTCCACATGGAGCTTACCACATAGGCTTACCACATAGGCTTACCACATGGAGAGCGGTGCAAGCCACAAAGCAGGAAAAAGAAACTCAGAAGAAGCCTGGAAGCCTCACTGAGTTGAGGAGACAGACAGACTTGGGACTTACCGGAGGCTAAAGTGACTAGAAATTACAAGTCAGAGTACTGGAGAGGAGAGAGTTGCGCAAAGAGCTCCAGAAGTCTACAGAGGATCCCCCTTGAGTCTCAAATGACAAAAGAGCTAAGAATAGTGCCTGTTCTCAATAGCCACAGTAGAAAAATCTCATAATTCTTATGGTATAGGGTAAAGCATTCAGAAGGGTTTTGCCTCCATGGTGGAAAAATTAATTATAGATTAAAGATCACTCTGCTCCTGCCTAACAAAGCTTAAAAGCAAGCCTCAAACAGGTGAAACATTTCTCAAGTAACTTAACTGTAACCCAGATACAATCTCAAGAATATTTGTTAAAGTGCAAAAATATTCAGGACTCAACAAGGTGAAATTCATATAATGTCTGGCATCCAATCAAAAATTACTAGGCATGAAAAAAGTAGCAATATATAATGCATAATGAAGAGAAAAATAAATCAATTGAAACTAATTTAAAAATGATACAGACTGTGCTTGGTGGCTCACGCCTGTAATCCCAGCACTTTGGGAGGCCGAAGTGGGTGGATCACCTGAGGTCAGGAGTTTGAGACCAGCCTGACCAACATAGTGAAACCCTATCTCTACTAAAAATACAAAAAAAAAAAACTAGCCAGGCATGGTGGCAGGCACCTGTAATCCCAGCGTTTAGGAGGCTGAGGAAGGAGAATTGCTTGAACCTGGGAGACAGAGGTTGCAGCGAGCCGAGATCATGCCATTGCACTCCAGCTTGGGCAACAAGAGCAATACTCCATCTCAAAAAAAAAAAAAAAAAAAAAAAGATACAGATGATAGAATTAGTAAACAAAGATATTAAAACAATTATTATAATGGTATTTCATACTTCCAAGAAGGTAGAGGAAAACACGGGCATACTTAGCAGACACTTACTATAAAGGAGAACCAAATCAAACTCCTAGAGAGAAAAAATACAATGCCTGAGGTAAAAAAGAAAAAAAACACTGTAAACACTGTATGGGATTAACAGCATAATTATATACAGCAGAAACAAAAGACAAGTGAAATTTAAGTCACAGCAATGGAAACTATGCAGAATGAAAGACACAAAATAATGAATAAATTATTAGTAAGCTATGGCAAAACTTTAAGAGGACTAATACGAAAGAGAGAGAGGAAGGTACAGGAGAAAATATTTGAAGAAATTATAGCCAAAAAAATTCAAATTTGATGAAAACTATAAACCAAGAAGCACAATAAACATGAAGAAAAACTACACCTAGACACATCTACTTGATTAAAACCAGTGATAAGGAGAAAATCTGAACAGCAATTAAAGAAAAAAGAATTACACACAGAAGGGTAAAGATAAGAATGACAGCAGACTTCCAGTTAGAAATAATGCAAGCTAGAAAACAGTAGAGCAATATCTTTAACTGTCAACTTAGAAAATGTCATTCATGCTGGGTGCAGTGGCTCTTACATTTAATCTCAACACTTTGGGAGGCTGAGGTGAGAGAATTGCTTGAGTCTGGGGGTTCAAGACCAGCCTGGGCAATATAGTGAGACCCCATTTCTACAAAAAATGTTTAAAAACCAGCTGAATGCCAAGATGGTGCATGCTTGTGGTCCCAGCTACTCAGGAGGCTGAGGTGAGAGGATCACTTGAGCCCAGGAAGTCAAGGCTGCTGTGAGCAGTGTTTGCACCACTGCATTCCAGCCTGGATGACAGAGGGAGACCTTGTTTCAAAAAAAAAAAGGAAATATCATTCACAATAAATGTGAAATAAAAACCTTTCAGACATGCAAAAGCTGAAAGAACTCATCACCAGTAGACCAGTGCTATAAGAAATGTTAAAAGGTTTTCAGAGAGAACAACAATAATGCTAGATGAAAATGGTAAAATGTGAGTAAATATAAAAGACTGGTTCTCTAATTTTTTAAGTCACTTTTAATCTCCAAATAACCAAAACTATCTTAAGAAAGAACAACTAAGCTGGTGATCTTTCACTTCCTGATTTCAAAACATATTACAAAGCTACAGTAGTCAAAACAGTACAGTACTGGCATAAAGAAGACATATAGAACAATGGACCAAAAAAGAAAAGCTTGATGGCATTGAATTTGGCAATGATTTCTTGGATATGACACCAAAAACACAGGCAATAAAAGTAAGAATAAACAAATGGACTACGTGAAGCAAAAAACCGCATAGCAAAGGAAACAATCAACAGAATAAAAAGGTGACCTACAGAACAGGAGAAAATATTTGCAAATCATATATTGGTGAAGAGGTTAATATTCAGAACATACAAAGAACCCCTACAACTCAACTTCAACAAAAACCTGATTTAAAAATGGGCCAAGGACTTGAATAGACATTTCTCTGAAGAAGATATACAAATGGATGACAAGAATATAAAAAGATGCTCAACACTGCTAATCATTAGGGAAATAAAAATCAAAAGCATGGTGGAATATCACCTCATACCCATTAGGATGGGTGCTGTGAAAGAAAAGGAAAGGAAAGGAAGATGGGAAGGAAGGAAGAAAGAAAATAAATAACAAGTATTGTCAAGGATGTGAAGAAATTGGAATCCTTGTGTACTGTTGGTGGGAATGCAAAAATGATTTGGTTGCTATGGAAAACAGCATGGCAGTCCCAAAAAAATTAAAAATAGGATTACCATATGATCCAGCAATCCCAGTTCTGGATATAAATACAAAAGAATTGAAAACAGGATCTTGAAGAGATACAGTAATCTGTCACTTAATGATGGGGATACAGTCTGATAAATGTGTTATTAGGCAATTCTGTCATTGTGTGAACACCATAGAGTGTACTTACACAAACCTAGATGGTATAGCCTACTATACACTTAGGCTATATGGTATAGTCTATTGCTCCTAGGCTACAAATCTATACAGCATGTTAACATACTGAATACTACAGGCAATGGTAACACAATGGGATTTGTGTATTAAACATATCTAAATATAGAAAAGGTACAGTAAAAACACAGTATTATAATCTTCCAGGACCAGCATGGTTTACATGGTCGGTCACTGACTGAACTTCATTATGCAGAGCATGACTGTATTTGTACAGTCATTATTATTAGCCCAAGTTCATTATTATTAGTCACAATAGCCAAAAGGTGGAAGCAACCCAAATCCATCAGTTGGTGAATGTATAAACAAAATATGTTTATATATACGTATAAAATATTATTCAGCCTTAAAAAGGAAGGAAATTCTGACACATGCTATCACATGGATGAACCCGGAAGACATTATGCTAAGTGAAATGTCAGTCCCAAAAAGACAAACACATACTGTTTCAGTTTTGCAAGATGAAAAAGTTCTGAAGATTGCCTATGCAACAATGTAAACACACCTAACACTACTGAACTGTATACTTAAAAATGGTTAAGACGGTAAATCTGATGTTATATGCATTTTATCATTATTTTTAAAAATAAAAGAAAAAGAAACTTGGTAGATTTCAGTGCAAATATTATCAAGGGTAAAAATGTCATTTCATAATGACAAATGAACCAATTCATCAAGAGGAAATAATCCTAAACATTTTATTCCTAATAACAGAGCTTCAAAATATATGAAGCAAAATTGAGAGAACTCCGAGGAGAAAATAAACAAATCCACAATTATAGTTGGAGATTTCATCATCCTCTCTAAATAATTGATAGAACAAGTAGACATAAAATCAGTAAGGACATGAGGACTTGAACAACAACCAACTCCACCTAATTGACATTTATAGAACACTCTATCCAATGAGAGAATGTACTTTGTTTTCAAGTGTGCTTGGAAATTTACCAAGATAGATCATATTGTGTCCATAAGACAAATGTCTCTGTGTGTGTGTGTGCGCGCGTGCATATATATATATATATATATATATATATATATATATACATATAGTTGCTGTTGTTGTTCAGACAGAGTCTTGCTCTGTCACCCAGGCTGGAGTGCAGTGGCGCAATCTCAGCTCACTGCAACCTCTGCCTCCCAGGTTCCAGCAATTCTCCTACCTCAGCCTCTTGAGTAGCTGGGACTACAGGTGTGTGCCACCATGCCTGGCTAATTTTTGTATTTTTAGTAGAGACGAGGTTTCACCATGTTCGCCAGGCTGATCTTGAACTCCTGACCTCAAGTGATCCACCTACCTTGGCCTCCCAAAGTGCTGGGATTACAGGCGTGAGCCACCGCGACCGGCCCTCAATACATAGATTTTAAAGAATTCAAATAATGAAAAATATGTTTTCTGACCACAATGAAATTTAACTATTAATAGAAAGCAGTAGCAAATTAGTGATACCTAAGGCTCCAAAGACTCTCTGCTGAATGATTTCATGTACATGACGTTCTGGAACTACAGGGACCAAAAGATGACCCTAGTGGTTGCCAGGAGCTCATCTTGAGTGAAGAGGTTGAAGACAAAGAAACTGGTAGAAAACTCTTTTATATCTTCATTATACTGGTAAACATTTGTCAAAACTCACAGAAGTATACACTAAAAAGTATGAATTTTCTAAATATAGAAAAGCTGTCTGTAAATTACACCTTAATTTTTAAAATGAAAGAAAACATCAAAGCATACATACACGTAAATAGACAACATAGCGAATGAGTAAACCTCATATATAATATTGAGAAAAAAGAAAAATTGAAATGTTTTATGTGAAGATAACTATAAACCTTCTTTAAAGACACAAAAATAGACTTAAACAATGAAAAGGCATCCTTTGTTTCGCTTCCTTTTCTATGTGCTTCAAAACATTCCTTCATAATGGAGATTTCATTGGTTGTGTCGAGGATCAGTACACAGATATTTCAATTTGTACACTATTCTTAACATACACACACAAAAAAGTTTAAAAAGTCATGTATTGTAATTGTTTTTAAAAGTTATTCTAGTGACTTTCCAGCTTAAAATTTGGAGGCAAATTTTCCTTAAGAGGATATGAAGTACCAGTATCTACAATTGTTGAAAAGCTGTTACATATGTCCCACCAATTCACAATTTAATATCATATACATTACATACTCAAATTTTCAATCTTTCACAGCACAGTAGGTTAGACCATGTCAACACCACCTAAAGATATCAGCTCTCTGTAATTTATTAATTTAATGCAATCCCAATAAAAATTCCAAAGAGCTTTTCTTTTTTTTTTTTAAACTGATCATACATCAGAAAAGTTCATAAGGAAAAATAAACAACAAGAATAGCTAGGAAAATAGTGACAAGGAAGCACTCTCTAGGAAGACTAGCCCTGACATTAAAACATACAGCAAAGCCTCTCTAAAGCAGATGAATAAACGGGTCAATGGATGAAAATAGAAGGTCCAGAAATACCCGAACCACATATGAAAGTCTAGTACATGATAAAGCTGGTATCTCAAGTTACTGGGACAGTGACGACCTTTATAATAAATGGTGTTGGGACACTTGATACCCATTTGAAAAAAAATAATTAGATTCACTCCTCAAACCACACACAATAACACACTCCAAATGTATTATAGATCTAAATGTAAAAAATACATCAGTTCAAGTACTAGAAGCAAGCATGAGTGAACTCTTCTATAACTTGGGTGTAGGGAAGAGTATGACTAAAAGTCATATATTAAAATATGACTAAAAGTCTAGACGTCATAAAATAAAAGACTGGTAAGTCTTGCCACACAAAATTTAAAATATTTGCATGGCAAAGAGAAACAAAAGCCCCCCATAAGCAAACTCAAAAAACAAAAAATAAATTGGGAGGACATATTCATAACACATATCACGAATAAAGGACTCATATCCTTTCAAACTTTATAAAGAACTTTTAAATTTTAAGGGAAAAAAAAAAAAAACCACCAGAAATGCTAAGGAAAAAGAAGCAGCACGCATCCCCCTCTTCCGGAACAGGGAAGTCAGTGTAGTCGGCGCCCCCTAGAAGAGAGGGTTGTGCGTGGCGTGGGGTCTCTGCGCCCGCTCGGGCTGCTGGGTCTTGCGGGCCCCAGGCTCAGCCCTGCTGTCCCCTTCCCGCACCCGTCCCCCGCGCTCCTCACCATACTCCGGGAGGAAGAGCGCCGGGAGGCCTTCCGCGCCCCACGGTTCCCGGCCGGCAGCACGCTCCCCGCCTCCCGATCTCGTCCGGCTCTGGAAGTAACACCTGCAACTCCGTGCATAAGTTCTCTGGGGGTCGGAGCCCCTGGACTCAGAGCAGCGGCAGGAAGGGGGCCTGGCGCAGCCATCCTCAGCTCGCTGGGACTGCAGTTGCGCCCCACCCAACAGGCTTGTGCCTCGAACTTCTTTTCTCTGAAAACCGCTTCCGTCAAAGATTGAGGCCTCGAGTTTGCGAACAGCTGCCTCAGGATTGTGTCGCCCTTTGGGACAGACGTTACTGCCAGACAAATCCTGGGTCAAAATCCTGAGGTCTGCAATTTTATTAGTTATGTAGCCTCAGTCAATAGCATCTGTACAGTGGGCACAGCCATAACTATTTCATGTTATTATAATGAAGATTAAATGAGATAAAGTCTGTAGAATGCCTGGCACATTAAAACACAGGAATCAGTATTCCTTTCCTTTTCTGTTGGGCATCCCACTCCTTTCCCCCCAATTCTCCCTACACACCCATATTTAGAAAAATACACTGGGTTCTCTCCTGTGCTCCCTAAGCCAGGGCTGGAGTCAGGTTCCCCTCTGGCCCAACAGGGCATTATTTAATTCAATCAACGCGTATTGAAGGCCTTTGATATGCCTGGCACTGTGTTAAGATTATAAAGATGAATTAGACACAGATCCCCTCTCTTTGGAGTGAGGGGTGAAGTAGGAGGTGGAGAAATAAAACATAGATTAATACTGTTACCTGGTGTATCACGAAAAGTCCTGGCAGTATACAGATGGTATACTCAAAATTAATAATTGAAGATAATTTAATAAAGAAATTATTTACACAGGTGTGGGCAAAGGGTTAAGGAAACCATTGAGAGATGGTGAAGTAGCCTCCTCCCCTTACCATCTAGGCTGAAGGGGCAAGGGAGGGGGCATCTCCTGAACTTGGTAAGAGCTATACCAAGTGCCAGCAGGTAGAACCCATGACTGCTTTCGGAAGACAGCCAGGGGAGTATAAGCATCCCAAGTACTCTCTCCGTGTGCCTTCCAATCTCGTGCTGGTACCTCCCACTGCAGAACCCAATGAGTAATCAGAGAATGGAGCTGATGTGGTACTTAGAGGTCAGCCCTCAGTACCACCTCCAAGGCAGAGAGCAGGGTAAAAGGTTTTGGTATCGTATTTGCATTGAGATACATATAAAGTATTAGGATAACAGAAATCAGTGGTTCGTTGTAATTTAGAGACAAGATTGGAGAAAAGTTTCTATAGTAGTGGCATTTCAGTAAGACCTTGCATGATGAGTAGGGGACTTTCTAAGAGGAAAATCAGGTGAAGAATGAGAATGAGGTGTGTCTCTCTCTCCCTCTCTCTCTTCAGAGTTCCCTTTTTCATCATCTGTCATGCAGAGAGCAGCGATGGGGGTGGATTACACAGAACAAAGATCACATGAATGAAAGCATAGACTGTGCTTTGGAAAATCTTGTAGTCTGGTGTGACTGAACCCTAGGGACTTGGTGGTGAGGAAGGAGCACAAAGTATGCAAAGTGGCATGAGCAATCGCTAACGGCCATGCTGCTGAGTTTAAACTCTATTTTCTAGGCCAGTGGATCTCTAAATGTAATTCCCAGACCAGCAACATCAGGTTCATTGTGAAGCAGTAACCAGGGTGATAACCCCTAGCACCGCGTTACATTACATCTTACTTTGCCTCACTTCTCTTTTTGTTTGTCCTTGGGCTTGGACCTCCAAAATTATTAATATCTTAATCTTTGCATCAAGCTCTATGTTTTAGATCTGATCAATAAAAATGACCCAATCGATAAAAAAGGAAATAGCACCTAACTTCTGTATGGAAATCAAACCAAAAACAGTACTAAACATTTTTTTTTTTTTTTGAGACAGAGTCTCGCTCTGTTGCCCAGGCTGGAGTGCAGTGGCCTGATCCCAGCCTACTGCAACCTCTGCCTCCTGGGTTCAAGCAATTCTCATGCCTCAGCCTCCGGAATAGCTGGGATTACAGATGTGTACCACCATGCCTGGATAATTTTTGTAAACACTAAACTATTACGGTAAGTGTAAGGAAGTCCAATAAAGATCTTATTTTTCTCCTAATGATTACTTTGATGCTATTTTCAGGGAAGCATCAAATATGTATTATTCTTTTATTTTATTTTTTCTTTGGAGAGAAGGGTGCCCCTGATCTAATAGTGCTCAATGACCTGTCTGGGTACTTCAGCACCAATGTTGGAGAGGTGAAACAGAACCTCAAGAAGCAAGGAGAGGGCAAATATAGTTTGATAGGGTATTGTATATACTCTCTCCAGGAGAGAAGAGATGATATCTGCAGCCTACTTTTATCTTTATAACCTATATGTTATAAGGAAAAAATACTGAGAAATGTGATTTTTACAGCCAAAAGTAACAGCAGTGAAGTCAAGAGTAGTTAAGTTGTACTGTGATCATATTTAGGAAGCAGCTACACACAAAATCAACCAAAGATCTCCATGCACATGTTATACAACTGTATGCTGTGTGTGTTGTAGGAAACACCCAGAATCTCAACCTAAAGGAAAAAAAAAGAAGCAAGGGAAAGAACACAATTTGTTCCAAATCTTTAACTTTATTTAAAG
Source organism: Homo sapiens (assembly GCF_000001405.40). NCBI lineage: Eukaryota > Metazoa > Chordata > Mammalia > Primates > Hominidae > Homo > Homo sapiens. The sequence goes on along the minus strand of NC_000003.12, from coordinate 122,575,173 downwards.
CAGATACAGATGATAACAGCTTCCAAAGAGTAAAAGCAGTAACCCAAATGCTCTGCAATCTCCCACACCATGAAACTTGCATGTCACACACAGTGCAATCTCCCATCCAGAATCCAGAACTTAGTAGAAACCAAACTTTTGCTTCTTTGGAACAAATTTAGCTAAAAGATGAACAGCTAGAAAATAACTATAATAGTAAAGAATTTAATGAATCACCAAAAACTAAATTTATAATCTGATTTTTTTTTAAAAACATGTATCATTTAGCTTAAGCTTCCTCAACTCTCTGGACAAAGAAAAAGATTCTGAGTTTTTAAGTTCTTCCAATAGGATTTCCTCTGGGGAAATTTGCTTTGAATACTGTGTGGGAATCCATTTCTGAGAGAAGCCCAGAATAAAGGGATCGCCTCAGGCTGCTCCATGGAGAAGTACCCTCATGGGAGACAGTACAGCTCTGGGGGGCAGAGCTATGGGGGCAGACTACCTGGTTCATACCCCAGCATTTCCACTTATTAACTGTGTGACCTTTGGCAAGTTGCTTATCCTCTCTGTGCACCAGTTTTCTCAGTTATAAAATGGGAATATGAACTGTATCAATCACACAGATGTAAAGCTGTTGTAAAGGGGACAAACTAAGGTAAGTACTCATTAAATATTAGCTATTATTATCTGATAAAAAAATTTGTACATGTGTGTATGTGTATCTTTGGGAAAAGAAGAAGACATCTTGTTTACTATTTTTTTGGAGAGAGGCTGGGACATGGATAATCACATAATTTGCTATTATTACTTTAATCTGACTTGAAGAACCGTTTAAAAATAAAATTTAGCATGTCATATATTCCTTATAGTAGGCTTATTTCACCTTTTTTCTGTCCAGAGAGAGTATCAGTGAGAAAGATTTTAAGGGTGAAAACATGAATTGGTGGGACTTAGTAAAGAGCTGAAAAACTACTACAATGTGGGCTACGGTTATTATAAAATGATAGAGATGGAAACTAGAGTAAGTTTATTTTGTCTGTTAAACCTGGAAGTGAGCTAGGCATGGTCACTCACGCCTGTAATCCCAACACTTTGGGAGCCCAAGACAGGAGGATCCCTTGAGTCCAGGAGTTCAAGACCAGTCTGGGCAACACAGGGACACCCCATCTCGACCAAAAAAAAAAAAAAAAGCCAGGCATGGTGGTGCACTTCTGTGGTCCCAGCCACTTGAGAGGCTGAGGTGGGAGGATCACTTGGCCCCAGGAGGTTGAGGCTGCAGTGAGTCGTCATTGTGCCACTGCACTCCAGCCTGGGGGACACAGTGAGACCCTGTCTCAAAACAACAACAACAAAAACAAAGCAAAACAAAACAAAAAACACTTGGAAGTGGGGTATACTCAAAAATATAAAATTATCTAGAGAAAAACAATGCTCAGAAATATATAGCATTACTGTGGCAGGGCAAGTGCACCCAATATGGCAGTTTACAAGGAGCAGAAAGCAAAGGCTCAAGTGAGGGGCCTGGTCAGAGTTCAGGCTCCAAGTGTTCTAGAATAAGAAACTCAAGTCAGGCACCGTGGCACATGCCTATAATCCCATCTACTCGAGAGGCCAAGGTTGGGGGATGGCTTGAGCCCAGGAGTTCAAGTCCAGTCTTGATGTCTTCCCTTGAGAGACAGGGCAATATAGTAAGGACTTGTCTCTTAAGGGAAAAAGCAATGAAAGAAAGAAGCTCAGTTTTCCAAATTAGTAGCAAGGACTCCAGAAATGGCTTCCTTACTCCTGCCTCTGCCAAAGATTTAGGAGGCAAATATCCCTCTGCTGGCTTACTAGCAACCTGAGTCAGGCAAACAATTTTATGAAACACTGCTACAGTTTAGTTTGTTTGACCTCCTCCAAATCTCATGTTGAAATTTGATCCTCAGTGTTGGAGGTGAAGCCTAACGGGAGGGGTCTGGGTCATGGGGGCAGATTCCCCCATGAATGGCTTGGTGCTGTTCTCATGGGAGTGACTCACTCTTAGTTCCTGAAGAACTGCTTGTTAAAAAGAGCCTGGCACCTCCCCGACACCTCTCTCTCTCACTTCCTCTCTGTCATTTGATTTCTGCACACACTGGCTGCCCTTTGCTATGAATGGAAGCAGCCTGAGGCTTTCACCGGATGCCCAACCTTCTAGCCAGCAAAATTGTGAGCCAAACAAACCTTTTTCTTTATCAATTACCCAGTCTCAGGTGTTCTTTTATAGCAACACAAACAGACTAAGACAGGCACCAACTATATACTAGGCTCTTGGTCATTAAAAATGATAGTCTTGTGTGGGTGTGGTGGCTCATGCCTGTAATTCCAGCACTTTGGGAGGCCAAGGCAGGAGGATCATTTGAGCTCAGGAGTTTGAAACCAGCCTGGCCAACATGGCAAAACCCCGTCTCTACTAAAAATACAAAAAATTAGCCGGGTGTGGAGGCACACACCTGTAATCCCAGCTACTCAGGAGGCTGAGGCAGGAGAATCGCTTGAACCCGGGAAGTGGAGGTTGCAGTGAGCCAAGATCACACCACTGCATTCCAGCCTGGGTGACAGAGTGAGACTCCATCTCAAATAATAATAATAATAGTCTTATTCCATTTATTACCAATGCTTGCCCAATCTCTACTCATGGCCACTTTTCTTACCATGAGTAAGAAAGCAGAATGTGGGTCTTTAATTTTTCACAACCAACCCTTTTTCCTCCCATTTACAATAGAATTTCACTTTCACAGGTAGAGATGAAGGGGAAAACACACAAAAAACCAAAGAACCACCCCAGAGATGGCAATGAAAAAGAGATCAATTGGCAGCCGAGAGTCCAACTGAAGGACACAGAAGATTATTTCGGACCCACCTCTAACCCCAGTGATGACACAAGAGGGATGACACCTTTGCAGCAGATTTTACACAGATTTGGGGGGCTTTTGTCTTCCATAAAAAGTATCACTCCAGGGCTGGGCGCGGTGGCTCACGCCTATAATCCCAACACTTTGGAAGGCTGAGGCGGGCGGATCACGAGGTCAGGAGATCGAGACCATCCTGGCTAACACAGTGAAACCCTGTCTCTACTAAAAATACAAAAACAAAAATTAGCCGGGCATGGTGGTGGGCGCCTGTAGTCCCAGCTACTCGGGAGGCTGAGGTAGGAGAATGGCATGAACCTGGGAGGCGGAGCTTGCAGTGAGCCGAGATCATGCCACTGCACTCCAGCGCGAGCGACAGAGCAGACTCCGTCTCAAAAAAAAAAGTATCACTCCAGAAATGACAGACTAGCAGATTGTTATTCTTATACAAACCATTTCTTGAGAAGAAAAATTTCAAAGTCCTTTCTACATAAGGATTTAGACTGGCATTAAATCAGCCTCCTAAAATATATTTTTTTGAAAGCTTGATTTAAGACATCTTCCAGCAGTTGTCTTACTCAATTCCTTTGGCTTTCAGCTCCTCTTTGACACGTTTCAGGTAAGAAGGATCAGGATAGCCATACCTGAAGAAACAAAAATTCCTTTAGTGTCACCACAAATTGTTCGGATATGTGCAATAGATATCCAGCATTTAAGGATTTAATTAATATCCAGTGTTGCAAACATTCACAAGTAATCCTGAAGGTGGATGACGTATCATGACTTTTAAATTCGCAGATGCGAGTCATTTCGCTAGCGAGTGAGCCTAGCTGTCTGGCCAGCATCTGCCTTTCAAGCTGGCTTCTACCCTGCCAACTACAAAGTATTAATATGATGTATTTATTACATTTCGCATCAAAGGGCAGGGGGTTTGAGAATCCAAGATGAATAGTAATACGTTGATTTACTTTGAGGCTTCATGTCTATGTTAATTCTTAAAATTTTTCAGTTTATGGTAAGTAGTGACTCTCCTAAAAATATAATAATATACTGTGTTTTAGGGGGGCATCGTAATCACATGCTAGTAGGATTTTCAAATTTAAGGTTTTGGAAAAGTCTCAGGGTATATATTTTTTCTTTAGTGCCAAGGGTCTGAGGAATCCTATTTGGGTTTCATAAAGAACAATTGGATTTCGTATAATACAGTTTCTACCAATAGTCTCCTCACAACTTAGACTTTTTCTAGAATATTATTGGCCAAGTGATTTCAGGTTCTCTGTGGACTGGTGGGGGAAGGGGTGAAAAAGAAAGGTGACCTTAAAAGGAAGCAAAGTGACATTCCGAGCATCTAGCCTTCAGATAGACACAACGCCTCAAATTAAATCAGCTTATATAGTATTCATCTCGGATTCAAAAGCCCCCTGTCCTTTGGTGCAAAATTTAAATAACTCCATAGTACTTTATAGCTGGCAGGGTAGAAGTTGATGGGGACCAATCTTTCTGTCTTTGAGATTACCATCCCCGATCAGCAGCTCTCAAAACACCAATTCCACTGCTATAGAGTCTACTTATATCCACATCCAGAAATTGCCGTATTTCATAATCCCTATACTCTGTTGAGCAGCCATTACATCCCAAAAGGATCTCACATTTCTGGTCCTCCAAACCGGGATGTTTTGTGGTGAATATCATTCCAAGTGATGACATCTGAGACTCCTAATACGCGAGAGTACCCCACTGTAAAAATCAGCTTTTGGTCAAAGGCCCTATAAAGCAGTTTCAAAACCTTCCTTCCTTCCTTATTATCAGGCAAGTATGCAGTTCGCTGTATTCCAGGGTATCTCTTTCCTGGGTTTGGGTGTTCTTCCTGTGTGAGAACAAGAAAATGTCATGTGAAAAGAGTGCCCTGTCTAATTTTTACTATAGGTATAGATGTGTTCATTTGTAGATAAAGCAAATCAAAAGCAAGAAAGGTATTGAAGTTATGCTCATATTCCCAATAACTCATATTTCTCCTCTTTCCTTGAATTCATGCTGGAAACACTGTCCACCTTCCTGATACCCCCATCTCAAGATATAATCTCCACCCACCCTTTCTCTGTCTTAAGAAATAGACACAAAAGGTATTTGAATTACCAGCAAACATTGTGACCTTTACCACTATTTCAGTCCCTTGCACATGACCCTGGAGATAATTCCTTGGGAAATCTATTGTCTAATAGGCAACAGGACAGTCTCTTTTGCCCTGGTAATCGTAGCATAGTGGCAAGAAACCCATGGACTTGAGAAATACTTACTGTTTGTATGCCTGCTTTCATAGAATAAGTAATCACAATGGTGCCAAAGGACTCATAACCTGGAAGTGAGTCTCTTGAAACAGTGAAAACCATGCTTCCCTCTGGCTGATTTCCTTTCTGAATACCATAGGAAGTCTGGCATGTGGGACAGATTGGCTTATATGACATGGCTTTGTTGATACAAGGGGCGCAGAATTCATGCTTGCACTTTGGTAGCACTTTTTTGTTACTAATGGTGTCCATACAGATGACACAGATGCCCTTTTCCTTCTTGTCCAGTTCTGAGGCCTCAGAACTCACAGAGCCCTTGAGTGGCGGAGAAGCTGCTTTGGAATCATCGCTATCAATGTCCATCGGTGTTTCATGACCCTCTTTCAATTTCTTTCCAGCCAATGAAGACATTCCTCCTCCTTTTAGAACATACTGCTTCGCCTTTGCAAGGTGATTTGGCAAACCAGTCAAAGTCATTGACTCTTGATTTAGCACAAAGTGTACATTTGGATGTCTTTTTCTAAAGTCATCAGCAAACTTGGTCTGATGTAAGTGCTTTCTCTCCTTGCCCAAAGACTTCAGTAAAAGAACTTCTCTCATCAACTGACATGAGGCATGTTGAAAGGCATCGATGAAACTTGCATAAGCATGCACAGATAGATCTACCTGCCTGTCCTTGGATTCAAACAGAATGCAGGTTTTCTGACCTTTCTCAGAAACCTTGCTGCAAATGTCATACCTTTTTTCGATCTCTGATATCTCCTGTAGTAATTCAGTTTCTAAAAGTTTATAGTGGGCACTATCAACCTCAATTACATTCATCATGTAATTGGCAGCAAATAGTTTCACAGGTATCTTGACAAAAGCTTCAGAGATTTTTTGTTTGGCAGCTGAAATGTCATCTTGGGTCCCAAGGAGAGTTAATTCGCCTCCTTTCTCCTTTATAAGGAGCTTTGTAAACTGGTGATTCAATTCCTGTTTGAATTTATTTGCCTGCTTACTGTCTGCTAAAGAGACACATTCTTGCTTCAGAGGTTCTGTGTTCTTCTGAAATTCACTAGCAAAAGACTCACGAGCTGCTTCCAGGTCACCTGATCGACTTGAGGTGAAATCTAAACAGACCATATTTGGAGAACTCTCCTGGATTTCAATGTTTACACCAAATCTTTTCTCTATTGAGTTGATTTTATCAGGACAGATATATTTAAAGTATTCAAAGTAAGGCAAGGGAACTTCAAAATAGTTGCTTTTTTGTTCTGCCTTGGTTTCTGGTTCAGAAGGAGAAATGCAGCTGTCCCTCTCCTGCTGACTGAGTGGCTTCCTCTCTGTCATTGAAGGGGAAAATTGTTGTTTCTGCTCACTTTCCAGGAACTGCTCACTCAAAAATTGATGTATTCTTTCAATGTCTTGGAAGTCACCACACACCTTCTCAATTCCATCGTGACCTTCCATTTTTCTGATACTAGGGCACAGTGTGGTTATGTATGCCCTCTGCTCTTTGGAGAACAGGTTACAGTTCAGGTCAGCTGTTACAGTAAGAAAGATCTGAAATTTTAAAAGGAACAGGAACAAATAAAACCTCTCAGCATGCAGGCCTACCATCTTCTCTTCAGGAGAATGCATAGAGACTAGAGAAACAACCACTACATCTTTCCCAAGTGGGGGCAACTTCTTTCAAATCCTATTTATTTATTTATTTATTTATTTATTTATTTATTTATTTCAAGATGGAGTTTCACTCTTGTTACCCAGGCTGGAGTGCAATGGCGCGATCTCAGCTCACTGCAACCTCCGCCTCCCGGGTTCAAGCAATTCTCCTGCCTCAGCCTCCTGAGTAGCTGGGATTATAGGCATGTGCCACCACGCCCGGCTAATTTTGTATCTTTAGTAGAGACGAGGTTTCTCCATGTTGGTCAGGCTAGCCTGGAACTCCTGACCTCAGGTGATCCACCCACCTCAGCCTCCCAAAGTGCTGGGATTACAGACATGTGCCACCGTGCCTGGTCTCAAATCCTTTTTAGAGGATACAGCACGCTACATCCCAGAGGTTCTCAGCCCTGTCTGCATATAAGACTCACCTGGCGAATTCAGGGAAAAACAAACCAGCCAAAGCCCAAGCACATCCCCAGAGATTCTGATGTTAACTAATCTGCAGTGGAGCCTGGGCATGAGCATTTCTAAAAGCTCCATGGCCAAGAGATCCGTGTTCTACAACTGCCACTAGCTGTTTGATCTTGGGAACAGCAGTCAAGGGAAGGCACCTGTGCTCTCTGGGCAAGTTGTTGTGGCCCTCACAAAAGTTTGTGAACTTGGAAGGGAGCCATAAAACTGAGGGCAATGGCTTTTCCTATTACTATTTTTTCTCTTCTTCACTCTTCCTCCTTTATTCTTGTTTCAACTAAACACTCGACTGCATGCAAAGTTGTGGACCCTTCTAAACCCTGGCCTTTAGAAGCTCAAATATAAGACACGCCAGGTTAAGATAAAAAGGACAGAGACCAATTGACTGTAATATAAAAGCAAAATTCCTAATGTTTTGTTCCTTCTCAAGGACTTTGCATGTTAAGATCCTTCCTCTAGATCTTCAAAATGTTTCCTGAATCCAGCCATTTCTCACACCTCCATCAAGGCCACCAAAGTGCATGCCATTATCATCTTTCACCTGGCGCACTGCAACCCCTCCTAACCAGGCTCTAACTCTCCATTCTATCCCCTTTCTACGTTCAGTTTTCCAACAGCAGCCAGAGTGACCCTTTAGAAATATAAACCAGATCGCCCTCTCCCCTGGCTCAAAACTATCTGATGAATCCCCTAACATTTTAAGTTAAAAATCCAAAATCCTTACCTTCAGCCCCAAAGGCCTGTCTTCTGGGTACCTTCCCGAGTTCCTAGCACCTCTCTCCATTGCTCACTGCCCTCCCCACCACACTGGCTTCCTTAAAGCTTCTGGGCCTCAAAATGTCAGCTCTTGGGGACTTTGCACCTATGCTTCCCTCTAGGACACTTTCCGCCCAGAAATCCACTTGGCTAGAGATGTCACCTCACTTGAGGTTTTTCCAGACATCCTATTTTAAATGGTGGTTCTGTCACTGTCTGTCACTTATTCTTCTTCCTAGCAGGTATGACTGGCAGACATTTTATTATATATCTATTGTTTACTAATATTGTCTGTTTCTCTCTCTAGAAGGTGCCGTCCCTGGAAGCCGAGTCTGCCATGTTCCTGGCTGCCTCCCCAGCTCCTATAACAGTGCCTGGAACACAGTAGGCAGTGGATATCTATTGTTGAATGAATCTTGTCATCATTCAAGTTTCAGGCCAAACATCACCTCCTCAGTCAAGTTGTCTCTGATTTCTGGTTAGAAGTAGCACCAGGCCAGGTGCAGTAATTCATGACTGTAATCCCAGCACTTTGGGAGGCCAAGGCGGGCAGATCGCTTGAGCCCAGGAATTTGAGAACAGCCTGGGCAACATAGTGAGACTCTGTTTCTACAAAAAAAAAAAAAATTGGCTGGGTGTAGTGGCGCCTATAGTCCTAGCTACTCAGGAGACTGAGGTGAGAGGATCCCTTGAGCCCAGGAGGTCAACTCTGCAGTGAGCCATGATTGTGCCACTGTACTCCAGCCTGGGCGATAAAGTGAGACTCTGTCTTGGGGGGAAAAAAAGAAGTAACACCACCCCCATCTTCCCCTTGCTTGCCCTGGCGCTGTTTCTCTCCAAATAAATAAAATGGTTTTATTTATTTTGTTTACTTGCCTACTGTCTTTCTGTGCATGACCTGGCCCCCAGTATAAGCTGCCTGAGAGCAGGGGCCTTGTCTGTTATATTCATCTCTGTGTCCAGTGCCTAAAACAGTGCCTGGCTCCCATGTACGTGCCCAGCACATGGGTGTTGGATCAATAATACATGAGGCTGGTGACTGGAGAGGAGGCGCAGGCACAGCCAGCTCCTTCTTTCAATACTCACCTTTTGGAGACAGGAATCCACAGCATTAGGAATATGTCCTTCATGTTGATGCATATCACCAGACGGTGTTTCTGCTTGTGATTGTGTCAGTGAAGAAATTTGAGGTCTCGTGTTCTTCTTTATTGAATTTTCAGTGGGTACCAGGAAAATGGGCACAGGTTTTTCGTCAACAAGTATTTGGTGCTCTCCTTTTTTCAACACTCTCTCCTTAGCTTCAGTGGAGACATTAAACACACACATATACACACATAAAAATGGGAGAGATTTCAAGTAATCCTCTCATTCCTGTGTCTGTACTCTGCCCCAGCACCTCCCAGTAAGGCTGCTCCCTGCATCCTGGAATGGTGGGTTGGCGATGGAGAAAGTCGGGGAGCTATTAAGAGCTCTAAAGTGTGCGGATTAAGTTTTACTATAGAAGTGAAAGCTTAATGACAATGGAACATTGTCCACCGATTAAACATCATGTTTCTAAAACTGTCTCCAGTCTCCCCTTTCCTTCTTCCTTCTTTCCCTCCCTCCCTCCCTTCCTTCCTTCTTTTTTTTTTTTTTTTTTTTTTTAGACGGAGTCTCACTCTGTCACCCAGGCTGGAGTGCAATGGTAGGACCTCGTCTCACTGCAACCTCTCTGCCTCCCGAGTTCCAGCGATTCTCCTGCCTCAGCCTCCAGAGTAGCTTGGATTACAGGTGCGCACCACCATGCCCGGGTAATTTTTGTATTATTAGTAGAGACGGAATTTCCCCATGTTGGCCAGGCTGGTCTCGAACTCCTGGCCTCAGGTGATCCACCAACCTCGGCCTCCAAAGTGCTAGGATTACAGGCGTGAGCCACCGCACCCGGCCCAGTCTCCCATTTCAATACTCATTATACAGGTAAGTGACAACAGCAGGAATCAAAAGTGCAGACTCCGAATTTTGTAAATATACATGTGTTTGCTGGCATTCATAAAAAAAGGCAGGAAGGAAATACACCAAATGGTCACATTGTTTATCTTCAGGTTGTTTTCTTTTTTACTCTTTTATTTCTATAGTGAGCATATATCACTTTTGTAATCCTCAAAAACACAAAATGGAACATCCTTTTGTTCATGGATGGAACAATGGAACCATTATTTAAAACATAAAAGTGGAATCCCTGAATGACAAGGACAGCAGCTGGCAGGCATCTGGGGGAAGGAAGATGACAGCTGAGAAATTAAGTTAGAATGAGGATATGGAAAGCATCCACACTAAGGCGCCGTCAGCCAGACCCGCACCAGGCACATGTGAGGCCCCATCCTCCACCGAGTGTTCACTGTCTCAGTGAGTCTCTTGGCAGTAGGGCCCCGTCCCTGTCCGCCACCGCACAGTGACATACTTTCTCCCGCCCTCTCCCCTAGGTCAGCTGGAACTGGGTCCGCCTGGAAACCCGGGGGCCGGGCCCCCAGAGGGCTTTCGCAGCCTGGCCGCCCGAAGCTCACCTGCCCTTTCACTGAACTCCACCCGGAAGGTGCCCGGGGCTTCGTGTTCCTGGGTGCTGACCGTGCACTCCCCGCCGCCCGAGGACTTAGAGCTCTGGAAGTAGCTCTCCAGCTTCCTTCGTACTCGGGGGCCGGACTTGTACACCCGCACGAGGAGCGGGGACGGCGGGCGCAGGTGGGAGGCCATGGCTCTGCGCGTCGGGAGGGCGCGGGGGCTCCGGGAGGCAGCTGGGCGGTAAAGGCGCGGCCCGCCCTGCGGACTGGGCGCAAAGTTTCAGTTTCGCTTCCCTGGAGGTCCCTCCCTGTTCCCGGCAGAGCCGCTTCCCCCTCCTCCCTGTGCTGTCTGCACCGAGGAGAGCGGCCTGCCGGGTGAGTAGGTCCGGTGCCTCTGGGCCCTCGGGGTCCCCTCTCCTGCAGGCTCGAGGTGGGCGGGGAGAAGGGGGACGGGCGCGGACCCGGGTCCCAGGGCCAGGCCTCCCTTGTGAGTAGACTATGCAAAGAAAGTAAGTTTCTCCTGTGTTTCTTATTCTTTGTAACTCTTACTGCTGTTACCACTATTATTTGATCCTAAAAAGTAATTCACATTCTGAATCCATGTTAAACTTACCCATTTTTGAAAATTTGAATGTGTTCATCTGGTAATTGTGACCTGTTACCCCTTCCCTCCCTCCAACTCTACCCTTTAGACGGGCTTCTGCGGGCTTTTCTCCTCCATTGCTTGATTTAACCAACAGCACTGAATTGTTTCTTGCTGCCCAAAGAGCAGAGCAAGGCCCTGATGTCAAGGGCTGGTGAGGGGAGGCGGACCTGTGAACCAAGGAGCAAAACTTCTCCAAGGCCTCCAAGGGGAAGTTTCAAGCAGAATCTTAATAAATTGAGTGTGGCGGCGAGATGGGGAGGACAGGATTGGGGGGAAAAGCACCTGAGGCTTAGGGACCACTGTGGTCTGAAGCACAGAGTGGGCCTGGGGCCTGGGAGGAGAGGAGATGGGTGAGGGGATGAAGGAGGGAGAGCCTACCTAGATGGGCACTGTCCAGCAGAAATACAATGGGAGCCAGTAGGTTCATTCTAAAATTTTTGCAGCCATATTTTTTAAAGGATAAAGAAACAGATGAAATTAATTTTAATGATTTTTAGGAAATTTTTAAAGGATAAAGAAACAGATGAAATTAACTGTAATGATGTTATTTAGCTTGACATATCCAAAACTTAATCATTTCAGCATGTAATGAGATTTTTACATTCTTTTTATCATACCACGTCTTTGCAACCCAGTGTTTTTCTTATACTTACATCACATCTCGATTCAGACTGGCCACATGTAGCCTCAGTAGCTATGTGAGGCTGATAGTCCACCCTGGACAGGACATATTTAGATGGTGAAAAGCCTTGAAGAGCAGTGAAGATGACCTGAAGGGCTTTAAGCAGGGAAAGCAAGAAAATGACTTGCCAGATTTGCATTTTAGAAATATGGTGCTGACAACCGTGTGGAGGACACATTTACAAGCAGGGATGAGTGGCGGCAGAGAGGCCTGAGATAAGGTTTTTGCACATGGCTGGTAAGACTGGAAATGGGCCCGTCTTTACTGTGAACAATTTGGCAATACTGTCAGAATTACAACTGCATATACTTTTTGGTTCTGGAGTTCCATTTCTAGGAATTTGTCCCATTGATATATTAGCCCCTGTGTGAAGTGACCTGTGTACAAAGATGTTCTTTACAGCCTTGTTTACAATAGCAAAAGATAGGGAACTCTTTAATGCCCATAAATAGGGGGACTAGCAGTTTAATAATAATAGTATATCTATACAATGGAATACAATGGGCAGTAGGAAAAATGAAAAAGCTCTCTATGTGCTAACATGAAAAGATCTCTAGGATACATTATGTGGGAAAAATAAGATGCAGAAGTGTGTGTATAAGCTACTACCTTTCGTGTAAAAAATGCCACTGGAAGAATACAGGAGAAGCGCTGATTGACTCTGGACAGGGAATTTAGCAGCGGAGACAGGAGGAAACCTTTTACATTTTCTAAATTTGAACCATGTAAATGTAATACCTATTCAAACAATAAAATGTCAAACTAGGTACATTTAAATCTTTGAAAAGAGTATATTGATGGCTGGGCGCGGTGGCTCACGCCTGTAATCCCAGCACTTTGGGAGGCCAAGGCAGGCGGATCATGAGGTCAGGAGATCGAGACCATCCTGGCTAACATGGTGAAACCCCGTCTCTACTAAAAAAAATACAAAAAAAAAAAAAATTAGCCAGGCGTGGTGGTGGGCGCCTGTAGTCCCAGCTACTAGGGAGGCTGAGGCAGCAGAATGGCGTGAACCCGGGAGGCGGAGCTTCCAATGAGCCAAGATCGCGCCACAGCCTGGGCGACAGAGTAAGACTCCGTCTCAAAAAGAAAAGAAAAGAAAAGAAAAGAAAAGAAAAGAAAAGAAAAGAAAAGAGTATATTGCCACAGCTCAGGCAAAAGTTGCTGAGACTCTGAAGTGAGGCAGTGTCAGTGGGCGAGGAAGGAAGGGGCATATTTGAAAGTGATTTAGTTTGTCAGGTCCCAGATATGAGACAAAAAAGACTCAGGGAAAGTTCCTAGATTTCTGATTTGAGTACGTAAATGGTATTATCATTTACTGAGCTGTAGAATCCAGGAGATAAAGTATGGATTTGGTGGGGGTGGGATGGAGGATTGGGGACCAGGAGATAAGAGGTCTACTTTTGCAGAGGCTAATTTGAGGGGACTGTGAGACCTCCAGGTGGAGTTGAAAAATGGGGCTCAGGAGAGCCATGGCCTAGAACTGCAGATATAAGAGTCATATTTGCAATTGGTGAGTTGAAGCCATGGAAATGGATGAGATCACTCCTGGGGAGTATGCAGAATGAGATGAAAAACGCCTTAGACAGAATCCTGGGGCAAACAATTAAGAGGGAGATGGTGGAAGTGAACGCAGGGAAAAGGCCTGTAAAGGCAAAGTGAAGGGTAATAGAAGAACCAAGGGAAGATGGCATAGGAGAAGCCAGGAAAGCAGAATTTCAGGAATCAAAGAGTGAAATACTATAGAAAGTGGTCCAGTAAAGATGGATAGAAGATAATCCATTGGCATTAACCACATGAGGGATTCTGATGAGCAGTTTCTCTTCTTTTTTTTGAGACAGGGTCTCATTCCTCTTGCCCAGGCTGGAGTGCAGTGGCACAATCACAGCTCACTACAGCCTGAACTTCCCACCAAGTGATCCTCCCATCTCAGCCTCCCAAGTAGCTGGGACTATAGGCATGCACCAACATGGCCAGCTAACTTTTTGTATTTTTAGTAGAGATGAGGTCTTGCCATGTTGCCCAGGTTGGTCTCGAACTCCTGAGCTCAAGCAATCTGCCTGCCTCTGCCTCCCAAAGTGCTGTGGTTACAGGTGTGAGCCGCCATGCCTGGCCACTGGCAGTTTCAAAAGGGTGCTGGGAATGAGGCAGGGAGCCAGGTTATAGTAGGCTGAGTGGGCAGGTGGACAGAAGGAGAGTCCACTACTCATTCCAGAAGTTTGGCTGCTTATGAAGAGAAGGAAACACAGTAGGAACCAGTGATGGAAAGTTGGGAAGGCTTTTCTGTTTTTAAAATGGAAGAAATGGAATGCTTAGGGCACTATGCTCCTTGTTTGGCTATCCATAGGCCTGTAAAACTTGGCCTGAAGACAGAAACAGGTGCAACATTTAAAGCAAAAGCCCATGGCCAAAGCAGATGAAGTCATCCTTCTTTTTTGAAAACAGCAGTGCCCTCTGGAGGCAAAAAATGCATCTTGTCTTTGCATTTTAGAATGCAAAGGATTGTACTAGACCTGCTGCTTTCCCTTGATGAGTAAGAATAGTGCTCTGATGCTGTAGATGGTTGTACAAAATGTTTCTATTGCAAAGACATTAGAAATCATTTCGACCAGGCGCGGTCGCTCACGCCTGTAATCCCAGCACTTTGGGAGGCCGAGACGGGTAGATCACGAGGTCAGGAGATTGAGACCGTGCTGGCTAACACGGTGAAGCCTCATCTCTACTAAAAATACAAAAAATTAGCTGGGCGTGGTGGCGGGCGCCTGTAGTCCCAGCTACTCAGGAGGCTGAGGCAGGAGAATGGCGTGAACCCAGGAGGCGGAGCTTGCAGTGAGCCAAGATCGAGCCACTGCATTCCTGGGGGACAGAGTGAGACTCCAACTCAAAAAACAAAAAAACAAACAAAAAAACAAACAAAGAAATCATTTCGAGGCCTAAATATAGCAACAAGTGTGGGCAACTGTATCTTTAAGCATTTTCATCATCAGTCTTCTAAAAATTCATAATCTTTAATTCCTACCTATTAGATGGAAAATCATAACAAAGTATTTTTCCCAGATTTTCTGACTTTTAACCAGATATACCCCTATCATTAGGTCAAGGATGTTTATCACAAATTCAATAATACACCCCCCTCACAGGCTCTAGTGGCATTTCCTCTTTCTTCAAACGCTCTCCAGGGGGCTTCACTCACTCATAAGCTCGGTCTTCTTTACTGTTCTTTGAATGCTGTTCTCAGTCTCACCACTTTGTTATCACCCTCTTCTTCTAAATATGTAAAAACCTCCTGCATCCTTCATGACCAGGCTCTAGTCTCAACTCCTCCATATAGCTTTTCCTGTTCCAGGTCGTAGAGCATTTTCCCTTCTCTGAACTGCCATTATGATTTCCACTGGAACCTCTCTTGGAAAGGGTAGAAGGCAAACAGTAACAACAACAGCAAAACAATGTGTACATCGTTATCAAGGAAATTAAGAACTCATCAAGATCAGAAATCATGTTCAGTCCTCCTACAGTATATTCTTACCGAATTTCCTAAGATTCTGGCTAATGTTTATTGCATCTTTTCTAATTCATTCCTAGAAGTGGGCCACCATATCTGGAAACTACAGTCTATGCTTTGAAGCGCAAAAGGGAATAAACATTTAAAGACTCCCCCGGGGACCTGGAGGATGGACTTTTCCATGGTAAAAAGCATAAATGTGTATACGTCATGAACCTTGATCAGCACATGAATACTTCTTTATATAACAGCAAGAAATCTGGGGTGTTCACCAACAGTTGACATCCTCATCTGCTTTTAATAGCTCAATAAAGTTTTCTCCTTTCTCCCTTCTTGAGAAATGGGGAATCAAGAATATGCTAATCTAATAAATAGTGTCAACTTGAAGCTGGATGATTTTTCAGAATCATTTTAATTCTCAGCTCATTTAGTGATTCTGCTTTTTCGGGTTGGGGTAAGGAGAGTAATAGAGGATGAATGAAAAGAAGGGAATAGAGAAAGATCAGATTAGAAGTCACTTACTAAACTTGAAAATTCCACATTAAGGTTTGTACCATGACAAAGGCAATTAAAAGTGGATCCTTGCTGGTGGATGAGAGACAGAGCTGATGAGGCTCATGTCCCCAGGTCTTCTGTCTAGAGAAACCCCATGAGCTTTTGGAGATTGGAGTCTATCTGAGAGTTTGGGGTCATTTTGGTCTGTGACTTTTGGGCCTTTTAAAGTGTTGATCTCTAAACCTCATCTCATTCTGAATTAGAATGAGATGCACTGAGATGCATTGGCGGTGGCTGGCGCCTATAATCCCAGTTACTACAGAGGCTGAAGCCAGGAGGATCACTTGAAATCAGTAGTTCGAGACCAGCCTGGTCAACATAGCAAGACTCCGCTCATCTCTAAAAAAGTAAAAACAATTAGCTGGGCATGGTGGTGCATGCCTGTAGTCCCAGCTATTCAGGAGACTGAGATGGGAGGATTGCTTCAGCCCAGGAGTTCAAGGCTGCAGTGAACTGTGATTGCACCACTGCACTCCAGCCTGGGTGACAGAGTGAAACCTTGTCTCGAAAAACAATAAAATTAAATTTAAAAAAAGAAATGCATCGGCCCCTAGGGAAATGACATAGGGCCAATGTTTGCTGGCACATTTAGTATTTTAAGTGTTTCGGGCATGCAGATTTAAAAAAACACATGCTTCCTGCCCTCCCAAACACAGTGCTTTGAGCAGGATTTCCATTGCATTGTGTTTACTAGGGTGTATTGGTTATCAGTAAGCTGTAGTCATTCCACTTCCATTTTTTAAGAAAGCCATTCTCATTTTTCACAGGTGGCCGGAGCAGCAGCTTACAATGAAAAATCAGGTAGGATTACCTCGCTCTCACTCTTGTTTCAGAAAGTCTTTGCTCAGATCTTTCCTCAGTGGAGAAAGGGGAATACAGAAGAATGTCTCCCCTACAAGTGCTCAGGTGCGTGACTGCAGACCCTTGTGGGGACCCCCGCACATGCTTCAGAGTTGGTGTGGCACCGACCAGCAGGCATATTCTCTCAAGGCCTACACCATTCCTCTCCTTTGCCCGTAAATGTGAGACTCTTTTAACGACAGCCTATGGCTGAATTGACCAGATGGGGTGGCCAACTGATTGTCTCCTTGCTCAACGAGTACTATACAAGCTAAATAGTTCTGGCCTAATTCCAGGGGTCCCCCATTAAAGATTTTCAACCAAAGCTCAGGCCAATAGGGCCTGACTACCCAATTCCGGCTTCGTTTGGGTAATTGAGGCCACAAGAGGTCTTTCTAGGAGACTCAGATTAGAAATGGGAGTTGAAGCAAAATAAAAGTAATGATCACATTTTATCTATTTTAGGATGCACATTTTTTTTTCACATTTTAACAATACTGAAATAAGGTAGTGTACCTGTTATCAATTGATGGTATGCCCCAGTTTAGTTGGCATTTTTTTCCCTTTCTCAGAGGCATTGTAACAACAATATCTTAGACACCATGAAATACAGTGTCCCAAGCTGGGTCCTCCAGGAAGCAGAATTTGAGATGGAATTAGGAGTGCAAAAAATTCACTGTGAAAGGTAAAGAGAGGAAGCCGGACTGGGCAGACTAGCCATCAGACTGTAATAAAAACCCGACAGTCTCTGCAAGCCTGAGATTGACTGTTAGAGGTGTCCCACGTTGGGCATGAATGGCCTTGCTCAGCTACTGATGGAGGCTGCCCTGAGAATAGCATGACCTTGGCTGAAAGCTGAGATGAACCCTGAGGGGCTAACAGCTGGAGGCTGTCAGCTAACTGTATTTCCCACTTCATAGCCAATCGCAGGGAGATCTGAGTAGCACATCTTCTTGTCTGCCACATACGGTAAATAATTTTTAGTCAATTAGTTTTAATTTCACCAAAATTGTGCCAGACTAGAATATCATAAAGAATTATTTACTGAACTGAAGCAGACAGTATCAGTGCTCATTGGCTGGTCCAATGTCTCCCCTACTCCTCCTCACCAGGGAACTGCCTCAATCAATGACCAATAGAAGTTGGGTAGGCCAGGCATGGTGGCCTTTTTGAAGCCACCCAGGTGGGCAGATTGCTTGAATCTTTTGGAGCACTCTGGGAAATGCCTCTGAGAAAGGGGAAAAAATGCCAGCTAAACTGGGGCTTACCATCAATTGATAACAGGTATACTACCTTATTTCAATCGGCCCAGGTGGGCAGATTGCTTGAAATCAGGAGTTTGAGACCAGCCTAGGCAATATGGTGAAACCCCATCTCTACAGAAAAAAATACGGAAATTAGCTGGACACGATGGTGTGGGTGTAGTGCTGTGAGCCTGTAGCCCTGGCTACTCAGGAGGCTGAGGTGGGAGGATGGCTTGAGCATAGGAGGCAGAAGTTGCAGTGAGCCAAGACTGCATCACTACACTGCAGCCTGAGCAACACAGTGAGACCCTGTCTCAAAAGAAAAAGAAGTTGGATAAATACTCCAGCTCCTGTGGTTACTACCCCTCCAGTGGTATAACCCTGAGGCACAAGATCTACACTGTTTCCCAGTAGAGTTAAGTTCCATCTGCCTAGTTACACGTGCTTTGTTCATTTGTCTTACTTTCCCAGCCTGCCCTCCCCACCCCAAGGCCCTAGTATTTCCTAGGATCACCTCCCAAATAAACTACTTACATTCACATCTTTGTCTCAGGGTCTACTCTTAAGAAAACATAAACTTAGATGCTGACAAAGGCAAAAAAGTTATAAAACCTCCGCCTATTTTGGCTCATAATTAAGTCCCTTCCAATACCTGTGCCCTAAGCATTGGTCTTTCTAAGCTCGCCACTTTTATATATATTTTTAAAAATTCACAAGCCCCCATATACATGGTTTTCCTACCATCATCACTGCATCATAGTAACTACCACTTATGGAGTACTTAATATATGCCAGGCACAAGACTATGCACTTTATGGGTGACCTACCACTGAAAACTCTTAGATGTCCGTGGTCTAATTATATGTGTAGTTGAGAAGAAGAATCATGAAGAGCACTACATGAAGTTCATCTCTCTTTTGCACATAGGAAACACAGTCTCCTGGTATGAAGTGGGATTACAACCTTTCAAACTGTGCTTTTTTTTTTTTTTTTTTTTTTTTTTTTTTTTAATCTTCTCTTCTTTTCCAGAGACTGGTGCTCTTGGAGAAAACTATAGTTGGCAAATTCCCATTAACCACAATGACTTCAAAATTTTAAAAAATAATGAGCGTCAGCTGTGTGAAGTCCTCCAGAATAAGTTTGGCTGTATCTCTACCCTGGTCTCTCCAGTTCAGGAAGGCAACAGCAAATCTCTGCAAGTGTTCAGAAAAATGCTGACTCCTAGGATAGAGTTATCAGTCTGGAAAGATGACCTCACCACACATGCTGTTGATGCTGTGGTGAATGCAGCCAATGAAGATCTTCTGCATGGGGGAGGCCTGGCCCTGGCCCTGGTAAAAGCTGGTGGATTTGAAATCCAAGAAGAGAGCAAACAGTTTGTTGCCAGATATGGTAAAGTGTCAGCTGGTGAGATAGCTGTCACGGGAGCAGGGAGGCTTCCCTGCAAACAGATCATCCATGCTGTTGGGCCTCGGTGGATGGAATGGGATAAACAGGGATGTACTGGAAAGCTGCAGAGGGCCATTGTAAGTATTCTGAATTATGTCATCTATAAAAATACTCACATTAAGACAGTAGCAATTCCAGCCTTGAGCTCTGGGATTTTTCAGTTCCCTCTGAATTTGTGTACAAAGACTATTGTAGAGACTATCCGGGTTAGTTTGCAAGGGAAGCCAATGATGAGTAATTTGAAAGAAATTCACCTGGTGAGCAATGAGGACCCTACTGTTGCTGCCTTTAAAGCTGCTTCAGAATTCATCCTAGGGAAGAGTGAGCTGGGACAAGAAACCACCCCTTCTTTCAATGCAATGGTCGTGAACAACCTGACCCTCCAGATTGTCCAGGGCCACATTGAATGGCAGACGGTAAGTCTTTGTTTCTATTCTCTTGCACTGGCACAGGTGATCCCTGAAAATTAAATAATTTTTGAGTGTACACTATGCAACACTATGTAGAAACCATCTTGTTTGGATTAAGAATATGAGCCAGATGCAGTGGTACATGCCTGTAACCCAGCTACTTGAGAGCCTGAGGTTGGAGGACCATTTGAGCCCAGGAGTTGGAGGCCAGCCTAGGCAACATACCCAGACCCCATCTCTTTAAAAAATTTTAATTTAAGTTTTTTTTTAAAATAGGCTGGTCATGGTGGCTCATGCCTATAATCCCAGCACTTTGGGAGGTTGAGACAGGAGGATCACTTGAGCCCAGGTGTTCAAGACCAGCCTGAGGAACATAGCAAGACCCTGTCTCAAAAAAAAAAAAAAATTATCAGGGCATGGTGATGCACATCTGTAGTCCCAACTACTTTGGGAGACTAAGGCAGGAGGCGCACTTGAGCCCATGAGTTCAAGGCTGCAGTGATTCCTGCCAGGGCAACAGAGCAAGACTTTGACTTTGACTCTAAAAATAATAATAATAATAATATAGCATTCAGTGCCAGGCCATCTGGATTTGAATACCAGCTTTGCTATTTATTAACTGGGTAACCCAAAGCAAGTTACTTTATCTTTTGTTCTTCAGTTTCCTCATTTGTACATTGAGGATAATAATAGCATTTATATCTTAGAGCTGGGATCAATATACATAAAATGCTTAGAGTAGTGCTTGGCACATAATAAGTATTTATCATTATTATGGCTGTTGCTATTATCTTAGGCACCCGGAGGAATTAGAACAATCTTTGATCCCAAGGAACCTAAAATCAATTATATTCTTTATTATAAAAATATTCTTTATTTGAAAAATCTCTCTGGGGAGAAAAACCATCTCAACATTTCTGAAGCAACCTATCAATAGTAAACAAAAATAATACTTAAGAGTATGTAAATTTGTGACAAGAGTGGAGTATAGTGGACCAAGAAAGATTGCTTCAGAAGGTATGAGTTTTGAATGTGATCTCAAGTTTCGATGGGTATGATTGGCAGGAGGGGAAGCTTTCTGGGTGGTCAGAGTGACTTGATCAGAGAGATGCAGAGGAATTGACAGAAAATAATGGGCTTGACTACAGTCAGGAGACACAGGTGGAGCTCTAAGTCATAGTCTGTGTGTTTATACACAGAATATAACTCTGCCAGGGGCTGTGGAGAATGCAAGGTGCAACTAAGCATTTAGCTGGGGGTCACTGGGCACAAAGGTGAGGATGCTGGCAGGGAAGGGGAAGGAGTCAGGGTAGCGGTGAACCTAGGTATTTCTGAGTCAGTGCAGCTCCCCTGCTAGACGGAGAGCACCTTAAAGATGGAGATCTTGGCTTATTCATCCCTATAGCCTCAAGGCCTGGTCTGGGCATGCATCTAAGGGTTCAGCAAATTAAAGATAAATAAGTGGAGGGGGCAGGAGGGAGAAGGCACCACAACAGAGGGTGAGAATGAATATAAGGCTTTATTCTTTTTTTTTCTTCTGGATCAGTGATGTCACACTTAAGACTCTCGTGACCACAATCAAATAGTCTTAGACACTGGTAAAACAAACAAACCAATAACACTTATTGCCTATAAGACAATTAGAGGGAAGACTGAGGGGAGTTCATGAAATGAAATATTTGAGAAGTCATTAACACACAAATTTAAAACTAAAATGGAAGCATCCTAGTTGAGTAACTTATCCCTTTAACTGAATTTTTTAAGGTATATTTATTGCCAGCAACGTTAGGAACATTACAATTTTTAAAGGGTGTCGGTGCCCCCAAATTGCAAATTCTAATTGTGCTTTCAAAATGAAGCATTCATTAACATCAGTGAAGAAATACCTGAGTTACCCTGAAAGGGAGCCAAAGTCAATAGAATGATTAGGGGAATCTGGGCATGGGGGAAGGAAGGACACTATCATTTTTAGCACAGCTCTGAGGGTTAACTAGGAGACGATGTTATCTAAAGTACAGCTCATGTATATGTACAGTCTATTTCTGAAGAGAGAGATGAAGAACTTGGTTGCACATAAGATGGGTGGGTGAGTGGGGGGGTCTGGGAACCTGACCAAGAAGGGGACCTACTTTTCATTGAAGACCTTTTTGTCCCATTTGGAGTTTCTTTAACCTTGTTAAGTTTCTTATACCTTAAACCATAAAAACATTAGAAGGTGGAAATTCTCCAAGAAATTTTATTTCCTATTTAAAACGAGACAAAACAAAAACCCACGACGAAATAGCAAAAAGTCATGGTGGTCGGGCAGAGATGAAACCATTTATCGACAGAACTTAAAACAAATCACAGGGAATACTCAGAATCTAGCCATCTGGTAAGGTAATACAGCAAGGGGCAAACAGATGTTTGCAATGAAAATTATATCATCCGTACATTTACATAATTTCTGAATTATGTAATTCAGCTTCGTTCATGGCAATCAAATAATCACTCTTTGGAAATACGAGTTTCTATTCATTATTAATGAAATTTTTTAGAATTTAGGATCTTCAAAGAGTATTTTTCAAAGCTCTTCAGGGAAGTAAAGATTTAAATTAGTCATTTAAGAAGAAGGAATTTAACAATGAATCCTACCCTTTCTTCCCTTTTCAGGCAGATGTAATTGTTAATTCTGTAAACCCACATGATATTACAGTTGGACCTGTGGCAAAGTCAATTCTACAACAAGCAGGAGTTGAAATGAAATCGGAATTTCTTGCCACAAAGGCTAAACAGTTTCAACGGTCCCAGTTGGTACTGGTCACAAAAGGATTTAACTTGTTCTGTAAATATATATACCATGTACTGTGGCATTCAGAATTTCCTAAACCTCAGGTAAGTTTAAAATAAATGTGGCTTTATTTAGCTCCATAGTCTATACAGTCTTTTTTTTTTAAACAAATTTCCATCATTTCATTACATTCATGAAATATTTTGTCAAGTGGTATAGTTCTCAATTTTTAGCACACCTGCGAGTACCAGAAATACTGAACAGGTACAGTTGCCATAAGTTATCTTAAGAAGTTTGATTTAGGTCTGTCGCAGTGGCTCATGCCTGTGAGTCCAGCGCTTTGGGAGGCCAAGGTGGGAGGATCACTTGAGCCCAGGAGTCTGAGACCAGCCTAAGCAACATAGCAAGACCCCCATCTCTACCAAAAAGAAAAAAAAAATTAGCCAGGTGTGGTGGTGCACACCTGTAGTCCCAGCTACTCGGGAGGCTGAGGTAGGAGGATCACTTGAGCCCAGGAGATTGAGGCTGCAGTGAGCTGTGATCACACTGCTGCACTCTAGCCTGGGTGACAGAGACTGTCTCAAAAAACAAACAAAACAACAAAGAAGTTTAAAATGTTACCTAACCCATGTCTAAATTTTAAGTAGGCATACTGCAGATAGACACTGAAACTAGTATTCCCTCAGTCTGAACACTGGTTCACCCCAACATACCCAGTGACCTCGTTGGCCTTTTCCTAAGTAGGCAAGGGATTCAGCCTCTTATGTCCCTCCATGTGTTATATTCCTGGAGCAGCTGGGGTTCCCCCTCCAGCATCATTCCAATCAAATCTATTACCTGAGGTCTCTTCCCACCCATGCCTGCAGTGGAGCCTGGCTGTCTAGCCCACTCTCCACTGAGGCACATAAAATACAAGCATTAACGAACTCAGGAGGCAAAGGTTGCAGTGAGCCGAGATCGCGCCACTGCCCTCTAGCCTGGATGACAGAGTGAGACTCTGTCTCAAAAAATAAAATATAAAATAAAATAAAATAAAAGCATTAAAGAATAGGAGGAACCCACTCAGATGGTGAAAAGAGGGAAACTTAATCCCCTTCTCTGCCTTTGTCTATCTTTCTTCTTCACCATTTCTGGTCCCTTCTTGAGAGCTCTCTAATCCCAAACTGGTCCTCTAGTCTCCCTCTATCCCTCAGTTTTCCAAAGTCCTTCCATGGGCAACATTCCTGTATTACTTTGATGTTAACAGTTGGTAGAAATTTAAATCTGCCAAAAATATTAGCATTTCTCCAAGAGAAATTACATGATAGATCTTAATGATGTTGAATAAGTGCTGCTTTCTTATTTTAATCTCGATCTCCTTTATGAAAATTCAAGGGCTCTTGACGTTGACCTGGAAGGGGCAGGTGAATGGGGTAAACAGATGGTTGGCTCTCTGACCTGGGGGGATGGGTAAGGCTATATAAACTGGGAGAAATTCTAGTGCCCTCATGTCCTGAATAGCACAAGATGGCCACTCTATTGCTTCAGTTTCTCACCATCTAACCTTATACCATAATGGGTTCCCTCTGGAGTGGGACCTTTCCTGTCATCTGAGGAGGCAGGGACACGAACCCTGAGGGAGGGTGAAGGTGGACATTGTAAAATATGGGCAGGATCAAGGGGTAAGTGGAGTCTTGTTCTTGACTCAAATGCTGATCTTAAATTTGTGTTTTCCTGCAGATATTAAAACATGCAATGAAGGAGTGTTTGGAAAAATGCATTGAGCAAAATATAACTTCCATTTCCTTTCCTGCCCTTGGGACTGGAAACATGGAAATAAAGAAGGAAACAGCAGCAGAGATTTTGTTTGATGAAGTTTTAACATTTGCCAAAGACCATGTAAAACACCAGTTAACTGTAAAATTTGTGATCTTTCCAACAGATTTGGAGATATATAAGGTAAGTTAATATCTTAGAAATGTCCTACTGTTCATTCATTCATTCATTCATTCAGCAACATCTGTTTAGTATCTACAATGTAAGATGCAGGGGATGCAGGGCTAGGTGCTGTACAGTGTGGTGGTGTTCTAACTTGGTGAAGTTTAATTTTTACAGATTGTCCACCTCTGACCTAGTAAAACATGTCATTATAGAAGCCATGTTTGGCAAGACACGGTGGCTCACACCTGTAATCCCAGCACTCTGGGAGGCGGAGGCAGGCGGATCACCTGAGGTCGGGAGTTCTAGACCAACCTGACCAACATGGAGAAACCCTGTCTCTACTAAAAATACAAAATTAGCTGGGCGTGGTGGCACATGCCTTTAATCCCAGCTACTAGGGAGGCTGAGGCAAGAGAATAGCTTGAACCTGGGAGGCGGAGATTGTGGTGAGCCGAGATCACGCCATTGTACTCCAGCCTGAGCAACAAGAGTGAAACTCCATCTCAAAAACAAAACAAAACAAAACAAAAAACAAAGAAGCCATGTTTACCCACTACCTAGCTTCTGTCTTTTCTTTTAATGGCACTTATTCTTCCCTCTGCTCCTTAAAGGTAAGCAACCTTCTAGTTTCAGTGTGGGGTCCTTGCCCCTCTCTCATCTCTCTCCCTTCAAGAACACAACTGTTCTTACAACTTCTGTGAAGTCCTGTCTTCTTAGCCAATCCTCTCTCATTTCCACTTGGATCTCTGACCGTCATCTCAAATCCAGTGTATTTAAGGCAAATTCTTTGTCTTCTCTCTCTCTCTCTTTTTTTTTTTAAACAGATGTGATCTTGCTCTGTTGCTCAGGCTGGAGTGCAGTGGCACAATCATAGCTCACTGCAGTCTTGAACTCCTGGGCTCAAGTGATCCTCCCACTCCAGCCTCTTGAGTAGCAGGCACTACAGGCACATGCTACCATGCCTGGCTAATTTTTAAATTTTTTGTAGAAAAGCAGTCTTACTATGTTGCCCAATCTGGTCTTGAGCTCCTGGGCTCAAGTGATCTTCCCATCTCAGCCTCCCAAAGCTCTGGGATAATAGGTGTGAGCCAATATGCCTGGCCTGTCTTCTCCTCCTCAATCAGTTTTCCCTCTAAAATCCCCATCAGTCTCAGCTTTGCCTCTCGCTGGCTATATAACCTTGGGCAAGTTAGTTTACTTATCTGTGCCTCAGTTTCCTCATCCTTAAAAGAGGGATACTGATTACCATCTTATGGAGCTGTTGTGAAGATGAAATGAGTTAATACAGGTGGGTGAGGTGGCTCACGCCTGTAATCCCAGCACTTTGGGAGGCTGAGGCAGGCGGATCATCTGAGGTCACGAGTTTGAGACCAGTGTAGCTAACATGATGAAATCCCGTTTCTACTAAAAATACAAAAAATTAGCCAGGCGTGGTGGCACACACCTGTAATCCCAGCTACTCGGGAGGCTGAGGCAGGAGAATTGCTTGAACCCAGGAGGCGGAGGTTGGAGTGAGCTGAGATCGCACCATTGCACCCGGGCTTGGGCAACAAGAGTGAAACTCCATCTCAAAAAAAAAAAAAATGAGTTAATACCTGTAAAACACTTAGAATAGTACCTAGCACAGAGTAGAAGGTTAGCTGTTACATCAACTGTAATGAGCTGTAGTTCACTGAGTGCTGAATTGTTACTAAATTCAGTGAATTGTTTATCTTTTCTTTCCAATTTCTTTAACAGCAGTGGTATGCCTGGCTAGTTTTGCCATGTCTCCAGTACTGCCCTCAAATTCAACCCATTCTTTTTTAGCTCATCTGTAGGTGACCTCGGAAGGAAATCAGCTGTGGTCTAACACATTTGGGGTCCATGTGTTGGAGGGGAGCTTGTCTTATGTGTCTGAGTGCACTTCATCTCAGCTTTTTGTTTGGGTGGACAGATCAAGCTGAGTTCCTAGCATGTGAATAAACTGTGATATTTTCAGCATAATTAGTATATATTGCAGTGCTGTTCTGCCTTTAAAGTACCGACCATCTCTGCTTTATTCTCACTTAGCTGGCATTTTCGAGAAAGACTTTAATGATGTTAGGGAAGAATAAAAAGGAAAGGAAATAAGATACAGCAACCTAAAATAGGTTTTCAAGATATAGGTTTCTGATTCTGCCAACAGCAACATCCGAGTTTTAGAGAGACTTCTCGGCATGTGTCTGGATTTTGGATATAGAGGGCCTTGCAAGGTTTGCCTTGCAGAGAGTGGCTGCAAACATTAGTTCTCTGACTGCTCATATTCCCACCTCTTGGCCTGCTCTATGTGCATGGTTGCCATTTTATCTCTGCCTATATGGAAGTGAATTTATACTTGTTCCAGCTTGCTCTTTCTTGGAGCAAGTATAAAAGTTCTTATTCCTTCTGCTGCCCAATTAAACACGGGGAGATTTGTAGCATTTGCTGATTTCTGTGGCTGCTTTCAAGCTGTTGATATGACATCACTGAAAACAGATTTAGAAGAGATGGTCACAGCAAGCTGTCTTGAGTCATTGTATGCCAGCTCCAGTATCCCACTGCGCCTCACCCACAGCTAACTGGTGAGATGGTGGTGCATGACCCAAGGAAGTAGCTCACCTTCTGATAAAATGAATAATCCTGTCCTTCAGATGAAGTTCATCAGTTTCCCATGCAGAGGATTATCTCTAAGCCCAGATAGGTGCCCTGATCACCTCCCTGAACTATTTCTTTTTTTAATTTCCTTTTTTTTGAGACAGGATGTCGCTCTGCTGCCTCGGCTGGAGTGCAGTGGTGTGATCATAACTCCCTGAAGCCTCAGCCTCCCAGGCTCAAGCAATCCTCCCATCTCAGCCTCCTGAGTAGTTAGACCTACAGGCATGCGCCACCATGCCTGGCTAATACTTTTATTTTTTGTGGAAGTGGGGTCTCACTATGTTGCCCAGGCCAATCTCAAACTCCTGGACTCAAGTAATCCTCCCACCTCAGCCTCCCAAAATTCTGGGATTACAGACGTGAGCCACCGTGCCCAGCCCCTGAACTTTATGAAGCACCATTTTCATACAAGAGGAATTAACCACATCTAGAAAAGAAGGTTCATTCTCTCCAACATACAAACAAAAATATGCATGACAGTTTAAGAAAAATGGAAAGATCAACCACGGTCTGAGCGCTCCCCCAGGGACTAATAATAAAAATAGTGCCGTAGGGGGCCGGGCTTGGTGGCTCATGCCTGTAATCCCAGCCCTTTGGGAGGCTGAGCTGGGCGGATCACCTGAGGTCAGGAATTCGAGACCAGTCTGGCCAACATGGTGAAACCCCAGCTCTACTAAAAATACAAAACTTAGAAGGGCATGGTGGTACGTGCCTGTAATCCCAGCTCCTTGGGAGGCTGAGGCAGGAGAATCACTTGAACCAGGGAGACGGAGGTTGCAGTGACCCGAGATTGCACCACTGCACGCCAGCCAGGGCCATCTCAAAAAAAAAAAAAAAGAAAAAAAAATACGTGTATATATATATGTGTGTGTGTGTGTATATATGTATGTGTATATATATGTGTGTATGTATATGTGTGTGTATGTGTGTGTGTGTATATATATATATATATATATATATATATATATATATATATATATAGTGCCATGTATTGTGTCTGTCAGGCACTGTGCTGAGAAGGTGTCTTATCTCCTTCTCCCCTTAATCTTTTGATGAAGCCACTGTTGTCGTCTCCATTTTACAAATCCAAAAACATAACCCAGAGGTTAATATGCACACAGCTAGTTACATGGCCAAACCAAGATCAACCTTGGTGTCTGTCTGCCCTCAAAGCCTTGTTCTGAACCATTAAACAGAAACACAGAGAATGATACATCTTTCAGTTTTGTAACTCAAACAAGAGGATTATTTTACACAGTAATTTACATTAAAAGTGAATGTTGACCATTCCTTCAGGCTCTTTTCAGCATTAACACTACATTATATCCACATGGAGGTATGTGTGCAGACATAATGTATACATCTTCTAATAAGCCTTTTAATAAGCATGTATTTTCTTCCTAAATAAGTTGTAGTGAGATAAATGCATTTAATACACCTAACCTACCAAACATTATAGCTTAGCCTATCCTACCTTAAACATGTTCAGAACACTTATATTTGCCTATAGTTGGGAAAAATCATCTAACGCAAGCCTACTTTATAAAGTGTTGCGTATCTCATGTAACTTATTGAATACAGTGTTTACTCTTGTGATCACGTGGCTGACTGAGAGCTTGGCTTGCTGCCGCCGCCCAGCATCATGAAAGAGCATCTTACTACATGTCAACAGCCTGGGAAAAGCTCAAGATTAAAAATTCCAAGTACAGTTTCCACTGAATGTATATCACTTCTGCACCATCAATAAAGCCTAAAAGTCCTAAATCAAACCATTGTAAGTCAGGACCATCTATATTGCCAATTGTATCTACTTTGAACAAGGAAGACAGTGAATACCATGGCTCCAAAAGCTAAGTGAGATGTGTTATTTCTAATAGACATTATGTTAATGGATCTGTGTTGCAATATGCACAAATCTTTGTCTATAGACTTTCATATAATAACAATTACAATAGCTACCATGTACTTAATGTTTACTACAAGCCAGGAACAATTTTAAGCACTCTATAGGAATTAACTTACATAAAACAGATTATTTTATTATTCAATTTACAGACCAAGTTTGGTGTGTATACCATTTTTAAATGAATTTGTGTTTTATTAGTTACCTATAGTTTTCTTCTTCAGTGACATATCCACAGCTTTAGTTTAGCACAAGCAGGGCATTAAAATCTGTTGAATGAATGCACGGTTATATTTTGTCTCGGAATGTATAGTCTTCTTTATTTATACCAGATTTTGATTTCATCTCCATTTTTCCTATGCTTATTCTTTCCGTGTTCTAATAGACTGAGGTCCTCTTCTCTGGGACTTTCCTAAAGGCTGCTTTAGATTTGTGGTAGTAGGAATGGGACTGACAGAGTGGATGAAGTCAAGTGCTGTGTGTGCAGAGAGGGAGACTTTGATGACAATGGCTATCAGCCCTGCTTATGACTCTCTGCTCTGTTTTGCTTCTTGTAGGCTTTCAGTTCTGAAATGGCAAAGAGGTCCAAGATGCTGAGTTTGAACAATTACAGTGGTGAGTAAGAAATTCACAGGCCAATAAGTAGGGTCGCCCACCATTGGCTCATTCTATTCTTGATCATCTGAACTAACGGAGGGGAGAAGAAGAATAAATAAGCCAAAGGTATTGCATTGTGGTCCTGCTTGGATACCTGCCTACTCTCTACCCTGATCATGATTCTTTTCTTGCTTGGTCCAGTTTCATGATATGAACAGAGGAAGGTTGAGTTGCAGTGGATAATCCAAGATGTGGGTGGTTGATTCATAAATAGATATCTATAATTTTTTCCCAAGGAAAAGTTCTGGCTTCCATAAACTGGCATTCAGTCACTCTTTCTGCTCTGAACATCTAAATAGGGTTACTTATTGTAATTATGGAAAACACATCTCAGTAATGCCAGATAAATGGGTTAACTCAGTGTTACTCAAACCCAAGTAATCACTGGGATCATGATGGAAACTTTAAAAAACAAACAAACGCAAAACCCCCAAAATATGTATTTGTCCCAACTCTACAGATGCTGATTCAGGGACTCTGGGTCTGGGCCAAGCATATCTATTTTGAATGCTCCCTAGTCAATTTTGATGCCGAGCATATTTTCTTTTCTTTTTGAGACAAGTTCTGACTCTGTCACTCTGGTTGGAGTGCAGTGGCGTGATCTCAGCTCACTGCATCCTCTGCTTCACAGGCTCAAGCCATCCTCCCACCTAAGTCTCCCAAGTAGCTTGGACTACAGGCACATGCCACCACACCCAGCTAATTTATTTTATTATTTTATTTAATTTTTTTTTTGGTAGAGACGGGGTTTCGCCATGTTGCCCAGACTGGTCTTAAACTCCTGGGCTCAAGTGATCTGCCTGCCTCCACCTCCGAAAATGTTGGGATTACAGGCATATAACATCATTCTTTTAGTGGAGTTTGGGTGGACTGAGATGGAATGTTCAGTGGCCTGGCAGTGCTGTAAGTAAGGAAGGAGAGCATTAACAGTTCTGGCCTGGAACTGTGCCTTTTATGATCCTGTTTATTTATCTGTATAATGATGATAATAACAGACATTGTGAGGATAATAGATTATGTATGTAAAAGTGTTCTATAAATTGAAAGCATTAAACAAATGCCAGGCAATAAATAATGACTGGGAAGATAGACAAACTCCCCAGTTAGCTAAGGGGAGAAAGGGATTCCTTTTGACTGGAAAAGATCAAGAATGGCTTCATGAATGAGATGGTTCTAAGCTGGGCTTTGAGCATGGCAAGATTTCCAATGTCCAGAGAGGGTAGGGTGGGGCATCCAAGGTAGAGAAAACCCACAGGAGCAAAGAAATCCAGTGCATGTTTGGGGAACCACAGGGAATCCATGGTGGGTACATAAGAGGAGTTTTAGGTGAGGATAACATAAAAAAGGAACATAAAAAGGTCTGTATGTCATTAATCTGAATAATGGCGGCAAATGTCACCATTTAATTCAGTAATTCTTGCGGACATCTGTAAAGGAATTATATAGCACAGGACAATAATTAACATGGAGATGATTAATCAAGGGACATGGCGGCTCAAGCCTGTAATCCCAGCACTTTGGGAGGCCAGGGCAGGTGGATCACTTGAGGTCAGGAGTTCGAGACCAGCCTGGGCAAGATGTTAAAACCCATCTCTACAAAAAATACAAAAATTAGCCAGGTGTGGTGGTGCATACCTATAGTCCCAGCTACTTGGGAGGCTGAGATGGGAGGATCACCTAAGCCCGGGGAGGTCAAGGCTGCAGTGAGCCATGATTGTGCCACTGCACTCCAACCTGGGTGACAAATAAACAAAATGATTAATGATGATGATCTCAGATTATCAAGGAAAGGTTAAATAAACTATTTAGGAAGGGCCGGGCACCGTGGCTTACGCCTGTAATCCCAGCACTTTGGGAGGCTGAGGCAGGCGGATCACCTGAGGTCGGGAGTTCGAGACCAGCCTGACTAACATGGAGAAATCCCATCTCTGCTAAAAATACAAAATTAGCCGGGCATGGTGGCACATGTCTGTAATCCCAGCTACTCGGGAGGCTGAGGCAGGAGAATCGCTTAAACGTGGGAGGTGGAGATTGCAGTGAGCCAAGATTGCGCCATTGCACTCCAGCCTGAGCAACAAGAGGGAAACTGTCTCAAAAAAAAACAAAAAACAAACAAACAAACAAAAAACTATTTAGGAAGGCAGAGAGGTGGTACGTTATCATTAGAAATATTTAATTCAGCCGGGCACGGTGGCTCATGCCTGTAATCCCAGCACTTTGGGAGGCCGAGGCAAGTGGATCACCTGAGGTCAGGAGTTCGAGACCAGTTTGGCCAACATGGTGAAACCTTATCTCTACTAAAAATACAAAAAAGAATTAGCCAGGCATGGTGGCGTGTGCCTGTAATCCCAACTACTCAGGAGGCTGAGGCAGGAGAATCGCTTGAACCCAGGAGGCGGAGGTTGCAGTGAGCTGAGATTGTGCCACTGCACTCCAGCTTGGGCAACGGAGGGAGACTTGGTCTCAAAAAAATAAATAGATAACTCAGAGTTAAAATTCAGTGTATTTTGGTGCTAGAAGAGTTATCCTTTAGTGATCCGAACAATTTACTTATCTAGAAGAATAGTGCTCGCTTTGCCAACACATATACTAAAGTTAGAATAATAATTATTGGCCGGGTGCAGTGGCTCACGCCTGTAATCCCAGCACTTTGGGAGGCCAAGGCGAGCAGATCATGAGGTCAGGAGTTCAAGACCAGCCTGGCCAACATGGTGAAACCCCATCTCTACTAAAAGTACAAAAATTAGCCGGGTGTGGTGGTGGGCGCCTGTAATCCCAGCTACTCGGGAGGCTGCAGCAGGAGAATCGTCTGAACCCAGGAGGCGGAGGCTGCAGTGAGCCGAGATTGCGCCACTACACTCCAGCCTGGGCGACAGCCTGGTGTGAACCCGGGAGGCGGAGCTTGCAGTGAGCCAAGATTGCACCACTGCACTCCAGCCTGGGCAACAGAGCGAGACTCTGTCTCAAAAAAAAAATTAGTATTATTATTATTATGATTATTGGCCAGGCATGCTGACTCATGCCTGTAGTCCCAGTGCTTTGGGAGGCCAAGGTGGGTGTATTGCTTGAGGCCAGGAGGTCAAGACCAGCATAGTGACACCCTGTCTCTAAAAAAAAAAAAAAAAAAAAAAAGTAGTAGTAGAAGGAGGAGGAGGAGAAGAAAGGGGTAGGGGGAGGGAGAGGAGAAAGGAAGAAGAGGAAGAAGAAGAAGAAAAAGAAGTTTCTCTTGATAATAATGGATAAATGCAATATCACTATGCATTGTTTTTATTTTCTCCTAAAAAATAATATAATCTCCTAGACAGAACAAGGGTTTTAAAAAAAGTATGCCTCCAATATAAAACCTGGGTTACTTCTTACTGTTGTCTAAAACCTTGGCTTTTGTCTTTTTTATCTTTACTCAGAGGAAGGCCATCCTCCCCATCTTACTTCTAGGTCTGTCCTTATACTTCTTTTGTAGCTCCTGTACCACACAACTGAGATCTCAGGAGAAAGATGAGAATTTCCACTGCTATTCAGATATTACTCACTGGGAGGCATATGTGGGAGCACTGGAGTCAGATGCCCATACCTACTAGCTTCATGGCCACCACTAACTAGTCCTATAGCCATGGGCAAGTTACTTAATGACTCTGTGAATCAGTTTCCTTGTTGGTGAGATGGGACAACTACTAGTATCTTTCTCATAAGGTTGTGAGGAATCCTGAGTAGTGGAATTACAGGTATTTCTTCTTTCCATTATATGTCGATAATTTCCCAATTTTTAAATAATAAACATGTATTATTCTTAAAATCAGAGATTCATGTTTGTTTTTTAAAAAATAATTTTGACTCTTCAAGCTCTGTGTCTTTCAGAGATGTTTGATTTTAAAACTAGTAGCAAGAGGTTAAGGAAAATCCTATTCAGCAGGAAATAATACTTAGTTAACATCCAGGGTGAGATCACAAGGTGAACTCATCTGTGAACTGCCAAATGCAACATAGCAGAGGCAAGAGACGATAAAGCTAATCCATTACAAGCTAAACTCTGTGTTCCCAAGGAGGCTGTAAACGATACAGGTTGATTTCCTTCATACCCAATGCAGCTTTCAGAGATAGGTACTTAATTGAAGCTGCTACTGCTGACAGTGGTGACAATATCATAGGGGTAAAACACTGGCCATGGTGTTTTGTTCTGCACTGTTTTAAAACCCACTAGTCGGCCGGGCACGTTGGCTCACGCCTGTAATCCTGGCACTGTGGGAGGCCGAGGCAGGCAGATCACGAGGTCGGGAGATTGAGACCATCCCGGCTAACACGGTGAAACCCCGTCTCGACTAAAAATACAAAAAATTAGCCGGGCTTGGTGGCGGGCGCCTGTAGTCCCAGCTACTCGGGAGGCTGAGGCAGGAGAATGGCGTGAACCCGGGAGGCGGAGCTTGCAGTGAGCTGAGATCGCAGCACTGCACTCCAGCTTGTGAGACAGAGCGAGACTCCATCTCAAAAAAAAAACAAAAAACTGCTAGTCTTCCATGGTTGCTTATTATAGTCATTTCAGTCCCCCAGTCAACCAGAGAGGAGAAAAGAGAAAATGGGCTTGAAGCTAGATCTCCTGCCATCAATCTGATGGGATTCAACGTGGAAGAGATGTATGAGGCCCACGCATGGATCCAAAGAATCCTGAGTCTCCAGAACCACCACATCATTGAGAATAATCATATTCTGTACCTTGGGAGAAAGGAACATGACATTTTGTCTCAGCTTCAGAAAACTTCAAGTGTCTCCATCACAGAAATTATCAGCCCAGGAAGGACAGAGTTAGAGATTGAAGGAGCCCGGGCTGACCTCATTGAGGTGGTTATGAACATTGAAGATATGCTTTGTAAAGTACAGGAGGAAATGGCAAGGAAAAAGGAGCGAGGCCTTTGGCGCTCGTTAGGTGAGTAACTTTCTATCAAATTAGAAAGTAAATTCTCCCCATTGTTTCTTCTTTTGGGTGTGAGCGTGTATGTATGGATGTGGGTAAGAGACAGAAGGAGAGAGGAGGGATCAAACATTCTGGTTCTTTGTTAGATCATAAGCCTTTGTGAGCTATTTTTTTGCTCTCTTTTGACAATCAGGGTTATTTGTGAACACATACACAAACACAATTTTATTTACTTGTAATAACCTTGATTGTCTAAGAGGCAATTACATGGAATTTTGGCAGTGGTAAAACTCAAGCCCAAGCCATGGGGAAAAGTATACATTTCTAATTCTTCAGATGCAGCACTCAAGTGTAGACACATTCCATCTGATTAACTTATTTCTTTTATCAAGTTTTATTGTATTTATTTGTCACTGACAGCATTAGGAACGCTAAAATTACTTACCTTGAGCCCTCTCGCCAATGAAGTTATACATTGGTAATGTGAGGTACACTCAAGTATCTCCCATTCAGCGGGACTAAACTCATCAGGATACACGTGGGAATTTGGATCTGGAGAGATCCTTTTAACAGAGCCCTAGAGCTAACTAGGAAATTATACTATTGAAATGCCATCTCGGGGCTGGGCACGGTGGCTCACGCCTGTAATCCCGGCACTTTGGGAGGCCGAGGTGGGCGCATCACCTGAGGTTGGGAGTTCAAGACCAATCTGACCAACATGGAGAAACTCTGTCTCTACTAAAAATACAAAAAAAATTAGCCAGGCATGGTGGCCCATGCTTGTAATCCCAGCTACTCAGGAGGCTGAGGCAGGAGAATCACTTGAACCCAGGAGGCAGAGGTTGCAGTGAACCAAGATCGAACCATTGCACTCCAGCCTGGGCAACAAAAGCGAAACTCTGTCTCAAAAAAAAAAGAAAGAAAGAAAGAAAGAAAGAAAGAAAGAAAGAAAGAAAGAAAGAAAGAAAGAAAGAAATGCCATCTTGGGAGATAGAGATAGAGATAGATATAGATATCATTCAACTAATGCATATTGCACCCATGACGTGCCAAGCATTGTGCTAGGTGCAAGGACTACAGCAATAAACAAGATAGACATTGTTCCTGCTCAAAGTCTAATGGGGGACCTTGACGAGCACACAGATTAGTGATGATAGAGGAGAGCGAAAAGTGCTCTGGGAGCACTGCGGAGAGGCACCTAACCCAGACTTGGGAAGTCAGGGAAGGGCTTATCACAGGTGTCATAAATGGAGAACTGGATAATAGGTAGAAGTCAGGCAAAGAAAGAAAACGTCAAGAAATAAGATTGTCGCAAGGCCTGGATTATGCAAGACCTTATAAATCACGTGAAAGAGTACAGAGAGTTTCTTGAAACAAATAGGGAACCTTAAAGAATTTTAAGCAAAGTTAACATCAGACTTGTGTTTTTAGAAAGATCATTGGTTATAATGTGGAGAATGGATTTAGTAAGAGGTACAAAAATTCAGAGGCAAAATTTCAAAGGACACCTTATTTTCACCATGTGTTTGTAAAAATAATGCAGGAATAAATGATTAGAGTGAGCGAGAGTTCGCCATAAATGTTGTATTTACATCCCACAGAAAACACAGTGGCAAAAAAAAAAACATGGATAAAAAGAATACACAAGCATAAGAACCAAGATTATGATTTTCGCTTAGTTTTTGAAACAGTGAATGTAGGTATTGAAACTGACACCAGTGCCAGCTTAGGGGAACAGGATACAAAGAAACATGGATCTCCTATAAAACTTGTGGCATTATTTTGTTAGAGTGTGTGTGTGTGTGTGTGTGTGTGTGTGTGTGTGGCATTGCTTTAAATTAACTGAAATCATAAGGTGGGCCAATGCTCCCAGCTATTGACAATTTTGAGTCATATAAGTCTCTTGCTCTGCCGCACGATGGCACTTTTGGTAGTTGAGGACTAAGCATATTATTCCATAGAAGCCTTAGAGGTTCAGGCAAACCTGCCCTGTCTTAATCAGATTAAGATCTTCATTAACAAAATGGATAATTTTGAGATGAGTTATCATTATAAGGAATATCAAATATCCATCAGAACAATAATTTTATTTTTTAAATCAAAGTTAGGCATGGCCTCTCTTTTATGCCACTCTTAATCCTTCCTGGTAGGCATTTCCAACGGCAGAAGTTTGTGATCTTTGGGTCCCCAGTGCCCAGCCCAGTGCCTGACATGTAGGAGGAGCTTGGCAAATGTTTGTTGAACTCAAGTAAACTGAACTCTAATATTACACCTTATAAATATGAGCTATTGCTCCCCAAAGTTAATTTACAGTCTTCTGTTGTAGTTTCTGGGCTTTGCAACTCCTCTGCTATGGAGTTTTGTCCCTCCTACTTTCTCAGATTTACAACTTGGCTCTCTAGTGAGTTCCCCTCAATTCGTCACCTGCTTTTTGTGGTTAAATTGAGCCCATTCAATTAGATAATGAACCAGGGATTAGGTCATTTTAGTATACTTGGTCTTAAGTCAAACTAAAAGTAAACCAAGAGAAAACAAGTCTTTTTTGGTTTTCATTTGTCCACCTGTATATTTAGTCCAGTAAGGAGCTCCCTTGGACAAAAACAGGTTGAAAACAAGGATGGGAGGAAAAAAAGGAAGGAAGGAGGAAGGAAGGAAGGAAAGAAGGAAGTAAGGAAGGAAGGAGAGGGAGGGAGGGAAATGGGAGGAGGAGAAAGGAGGAAGGGAGGAAAAACAAGACATCATAGACTCTTAATCTCCAAATTTTGCTCTTCTTCATTGGGTGGTATATGAGTGATACATGTTCCAAGTATTTTGCCTTGTCACTTACAAAAAGCATTGGTGAAAGCCAGGTTTGTAATCTTAGTTCTTTACTTACTAGGTGTGTGATATGGGGCAAGTTACTTATTTGAACTTCAATTTCTTTATTTGTAAAATTGTGTTAATTATTACGTGGTGGTGCTATAATGATCAAATAAGGAAGGAAACTGAAAATTTTGAAGTGTTTTACAAATGTCATGTCATTTCCCATCATTCCTTACTTAATATTTTCTAATGCCTGTCTGTTTTTGCTGATAGGCATTGGGGCTAGAAATAAAAACATTTCCTATGAGCAACACAATTATTTCTCATCATTACAGCATTGATTGTGGAGAAGCAAGTATATATTATGCTCCTTTTACTCACATCCCCTTAGCCTCATGATTCAAATCATCCAAAGACAAATTTATTACCCCTTTATTTTATCCTGACCGCTCGTAGTATTATAGCTCTCCTCGCATGTCCTAAACACATGAGGCACACAATTTAAACTGGCTAATCCCTTCCTCTAAATTTCTAGAATTTGTTTCATTAAATTTCTTTTCTCCTCTCTCAGAGCATTGAAGTAAAGTTTTTGTGTTACTCATTTTTAGGACAGTGGACTATTCAGCAACAAAAAACCCAAGACGAAATGAAAGAAAATATCATATTTCTGAAATGTCCTGTGCCTCCAACTCAAGAGCTTCTAGATCAAAAGAAACAGTTTGAAAAATGTGGTTTGCAGGTTCTAAAGGTATACCTAACAAAGGGGAAGATTTGGCTCATTTTGTTGTTAATTAACTTGTTTCTGTAGCCAAAGGAAAAGCTCACCTGCTGATGATTCTAAGCTGGCTGCTCATGGACTTGGAATCCTAGGTCAGTAAGACTGAAAAGAGAGCAGGGCAGGGCAGGCACGAGGGATATAGTTGGAATCGGGAGGTAGGAATGACATCAGGACACACAGAAGCAAGGATTCCAGATCCAGGAAGCCCGTCTTTGAGCAAAATAAAAGAAGTGGAATAGCATTTATCACACTGTGTTATAATTGTTTACCTATTTTTCTATCTCACTAAACTATGAGCTTAAGAGGGCAGAGACTATGTCTAGGTCAGTGAATTTTTGTTAAAGGAATTTATTAGAGAAGGGGCAGGGAATTTTGAAGAACGAATCAAAATAGGAGAGGATTAGAGGGAGGAGAGACTCTTTTGCAACTTTCTATGAAAAGCGAATTGCATGCAAAGTAGTATTATGCACATAAGCTCCTTTATTTTTGAAGCAGTATAGCAGGCAATTTAAAGAGCGGTTCTCTAGCCTCTTTTTCAGTCTTTCTTTTCTATGGTTCTAGGTGGAGAAGATAGACAATGAGGTCCTTATGGCTGCCTTTCAAAGAAAGAAGAAAATGATGGAAGAAAAACTGCACAGGCAACCTGTGAGCCATAGGCTGTTTCAGCAAGTCCCATACCAGTTCTGCAATGTGGTATGCAGAGTTGGCTTTCAAAGAATGTACTCGACACCTTGCGGTAGGTGTCAATGCCTCATCATTGGGGCTACTCTGTGGAATTTGGTGAGCTGACATCAGTAGATTCTTCCACTGATAGCATTTGTTGTTGTGGGGAAGGGATCATTTGTGACTGTGATTTAGAGGTCACAAATGATGACCCAGGTCACAAAGTATTTTGGAAAGAGTGGTATTTTTTACTTTTCCTTCGTATCTTTTGTTGCTGATGCATTTTACATTGATGAAAAGTGTGAGCAGTAAGAACTACGGTTCACTGTTTTTCTCCTTTATGTGTTTCTGTGTCCTATCCGCAGAGAACACGTTGAGGCTTTTTTTTTTTTTTTTTGCCTTACTTATCTCAACAAAATTATTACCAACAGCACTGAACCGTCCTCATCCCTTAATTAAAAGGGCATTTTCCCAAATTTAAGAAAGTTGGTCTTTTCTCTTTCATCCCTTTGTTTCCTATAGCCTGCTAGTGAATGAATTAGGTATCATTTGGCAGGTGAAGTGCATAACATCTTAAGATCCTCTTCATCCATAGGAGTTCTATGTGTAACTCCCATGTCTCTTTTCAGATGTACAAAAACATTGCATATATAATTCTTATATTGCCCCCTCTACTCCTCAGTCACTAATGAAGATTTCTGGCTTTAGTTCTCTCCAAAAGAGGAAAAGAAATTTAGTAAAAATTATGGAGAGATACTTAGCGGGGTGGCTTGATTTTGCTTGGTCTATTAAATATGTGGCTCTTGATCTTTATCTTTCAACATATGTAGCATGATCCTTGCTGAGGAGTCAATTCCAATAGACTTGGTTTCTAGGATGCAAAGGCTCTAGAAATCATCTTTTCTTTGTTCTGGAGAGAACATAGGCAAAACTTGGGGTAAATGTTGAACATAGACAATTACTGGGGATAAAAATAGAGAAATGAATCCCTACCAAGAAGCCTTTTGGGGCAATCAGGAAAGTGATGATCAGTATAGTCCCTTCATTAGCAAAGTCTTAAAAAATCTATAATTTCCATTTGCTCCTAAAGCTGGCTTCTCTGCAATCCCCACCCACTACTTCTACTTAAATTACTTTCATTAAGATCATCGCTGTGCTCTTACTTTCCAAATCTAGTGAGTATTCTCTTTTCAGTCCTGTGACAGACTCTGCTACTTGCCTACCCAACATCTATACACATCTTTCTTACTAAAACATCTAAGACACCCACTATCCTCCCAAGGAATATGGTCCCAAGGTCTTAGCCAGACTCATCATCAGCTCAAGTTCAGGCAGTTCTCTCTTTATTTATTTATTTATTTTTCTGAGACGGAGTCTTGCTCTGTCACTCAGGCTGGAGTGCAGTGGCACCATCTTGGCTCACTGCAACCTCCGCCTCCGAGATTCAAACAGTTCTCCTGCCTCAGCCTCCCAGGTAGCTGGGATTACAGGCATGTGCCACCACGTGCAGTTAATTTTTGTATTTTTTTTAGTAGAGACGAGGTTTCATCATGTTGGCCAGGCTGATCTCCAGCTACTCGTGATCCGTCCACCTCAGCCTCCCAAAGTGTTGGGCTTACAGGTATGAGCCACCATGCCCAGCAGGCAGTTCTCTCTTAAAGCTTAAAGGCAAGATACTGCCCCCAACATACTCATTATATAGTGATATAAAAAGGAGCGGGAAAACTGCAATGAAAACTCTCATGTTGAAAGGGGAGAAGCAAAACACACAACAGCCACTGGCTCACACCACTTATCTACATGCTGCCGAACAGGTATAGAGAGGACTCCCTATTCCATGTTGTAAAACCTTTATTTTGCACTCTGGGAAAATCTTCCTTATATATTGTGGCCCTTGGCTATTTCCAGGTTCATTGCCTATCAGGGAGCCATGGATTTTCTCACAGGCTAGAATGTGCTCAGGCTGTTGCAACCAGGCTTGTGGTTTCTTCAGCAATACAGTTCCTTTAAAAATTCAGTGGGCACGAGGCCTAATTTCTTCTGGTTAAGTTTATGTCTTTATAACCTAACCACAGATCTTGTCTCCATATAGTCTTTCAACTCAAGATTTTGGTCTCTTACCTGCTGTCTGTGTGCTCTGCCCTTCTCCCTATCCCTTAGCTTAACAGCCACTGCCTTGAGGCAATTCAGACATGACTCATAATGTGACCTGCACCAATTGACTCATCTCTGTAGGCTAGAGAGAACTCTTAACAGAAGGTGCCAGACAAGCCCAGGAGACACCAATCTTGCTACCACTGAAGCTGTTGTTATTTGGAGTACAAAAGCTCTTAGCTTTTTCAGCCGTGCAATATTCCAAATTATAGGACTCTCAGTCAATTTAGATGGCCACCCACAGGCAAAGGAGACAGAACTTCTGTTAACAAACCTTTATTTTCTTTTTTCTATTTATGTTTGCATTCCAACCAGTTCTGAATAAATCTCTTGCTTGTAGGACTTGGTTGAGTGCAGCAAGAAGGCATCTACACATGCAGTTTCTTACTGGGTTGATTCATTTGTTCCACAGGTATTTATTAAGCACATTCTATGAATCAGGCCCTGTGCTAGGGGTACTAGAAATAGAGTGTAAATAAAAAACCATAGAGTTCTTGCCCTTACAATTTATAATCTCACGAGTTCACCTGTTGCCCATTCTTTATCTTCTCTCTTTTTTCCTCTACGATGTCCCCCTTGGTGATGGCACCTGTTCCCATGGCCTCAACTCCTACCTCAATGATGACGACTTAGGAATTTCTAACTCTTAACTCCCTACCTCTCTCCTGACCTGCAGGTTCATATGTCTCACTCTCTTTTTGACATCTTTACCCAGATGTCCCATAGGTAACTCAAATTGATCCCTTTTCTTGGTCATGATTTTCCCTAAGAAATATGCCCTTTGTTTGCTGATTCTCCCTAACCTGGTTAGTATCATCACCATCTACCTACCAGGTTTCCTAAGGCTGAAACATTATCATCCTCCATTCCTCCTTTTCCCTCACCCTTATACCCAGGCATTCACCCAGTCCTAGTGATTCACTCTCATGAAGATCTCAGCCCAGTTTCACCTCTCTATTCCTACTGCCTTAGTTAATCTTCCTTCAGACCTAGACTATTACTAGGTCCTCTCCTTGCCACAAAACACACCCCTACCTAATCTATCCTTTACCACCAGAATTATCACGCTAAAAATTACATTCTTGCTTAATATCTGTATTCCCAGTTGCCTACGGGATAAAAGCCCAAACTCCTTAGCAGAGAATATAAGGCCCTAGCTCCCACATTATTTCAGCAGTCATCACCCACTATGTTCCTCAAGACTGCAGCCATTAACTTTTTAGAGTTCCCTAAACATGCTGTTTACTTTCATGCCTCTATCCCGTTGTCTGTGGAATGACTTCCCTCCTTGCCCTTTTCAGTGCTACAAACCCCTATTCTTTAAGACATAGTACAAATGGCATCTCCTGGTTGGCATCTTTCCTGCAGGCCTACAGGCCTAGTAAGTATCTTCCTCCTCTGTGCTCCTGCATACCTCCATTCCTTTGTTATGACATCTATAACTTTAATAAGTACTAAAATCTGTAGTCCTACAAAACTCAGGCATAGAACTCATTTCCTTTATGGCTCTATAATGGAACTTTACCCAACTCTCACGTTCCCCATGACCACAGATGTGGAAAATTTGAATCTTGACAGTTCAAGGTGAACTCAGTCATTTTCAGAGTTTTCATAGTCCCTTCAAGATTGAAACTCAGTTCCTGCAATGTTTGCCCCTTTTCTCCTCTTTTGTCTATGCTGGGAGAGGCATTGTGGGGAGGGTTGTCTGGCTTATGGCTCCCATTGTCCTCTGCTTGATAAACCACCTGAGCTTTGGTCATTAGCAGTCTCCTGTGCCTTTCACACTCAGGTAGTGTCTGCACAGGCCACTCTATGTCTTTTCCATGCTGAAGAAATTCCTTTCCAGGCCATGTCTGTGTTCCTCCTGCCACACAGGAAATTTTTGAGCATGTTCATCCTCCAAGCTGAATGCAGGGTCTTGGGTAGTGGTCCTCACCTGCTCCAGAGACTTCTCCAGCCATTGCCACTCTCCACTCAGGTGATGAAGCTGGATGAGGGACTGCACCCACCAGAGTCAGGCCAGGGTCCTGTCTGCTCTGTGAGTCCCTCCAATTGTTCTTATTCCGAGATTTCCATTGTTCTGCCCCCTCTTGACTCCCAGGGCTCTCAAGGGAGTGGGGGTAGTGAAGGGAGCCCTTTCCCAAGCTCCCCCAAGAGCTCTAGTCACATCACTTCTGATACTTCTTTTCCCACCAGCTGGAAGAAAGAACTTTCATTTGTCTTGAAATGAGAAAAATGTTCTTAGAATATTTTGTATTACTCTCTGCTCTGTCATTTATGGTAAACAAAATAAAATAATAAAAAAAAACAACCCATGCTCTGAATCCTTCTGGTTTTTAGCTTTTGGTTCAAAAAGCCCTTTTCCTCTCAGAAAAGCTAACTCTGAAAGCCAGAATTTCAAGACCATACTCTCTTCTGTGAATTAAAAATAATTACATATATATATATGTACTTGTAAACACAAACATATAGATACATACAATTATATACATACAGTTATACGGGGTTTCACCATGTTGGCCAGGCTGGTCTCGAACTCCTGACCTCGTGATCCACCCGCCTCGGCCTCCCGAAGTGCTGGGATTACAGATGTGAGCCACTGCACCCAGCAGGCAGTTCTCAAAAAACTATACATATATTTATATATAGACTTTGTTCTCATCTTTATCCTTTTCGCCCTTAATAAGAAGTAGCAAGGACTCAATAGGTGGAAGAACAAAGAGCAAGAAGAAACTCCCGGGAAAGAAAATCTTTGATTTTTATCTCAAAATATTACCTTGCCACATAAATTGTACTATATTTTATCTGTTTACATGATGAGACTTCCCTTTGTGAAATGTTGAGAATAGGGATCATATCTTACTCACTTTTAAATTTCCAGAGCTGCACTGTTCAATATTGTAGCCGCTAGCTACATGCGGCTATTGAGCACTTGAAATGTGGCCGGTCTAAATTGAAAGATGCTGTAAGTATAAAATACACACCGGATTTCAAAGACCTACTACAAAAGAATGTAAAATATCTAATACTTTTCAAAATATAGATTACATGTTAAAATAACATCTTGAATGGCTTAAATAAAAATGTTAATTTCACCTTTTTTAAAAAAATGTTTTAAAATGTGGCTACTAGAGTAGCTGGGAATCCAGGTGAGTGGCACAATACCTGACTAATTTTTTTATTTTTGGTAGAGATTGGGTCTCACTGTGTTGCCCAGGCTAGTCTCAAACTCCTGACCTCCACCAATCCTCCTGCCTTGGCCTCCCAAAGTGCTGGGATTACAGACATGAGCCACTCAGCCTGGAAGTTTTAAACGACATGTGTGACTCATAGTACGTTTCTGTTGTTTAGTTCTGCTCTTGAGCCTAAAAGTGTTTGGTTACATCCCACATAAAGAAAGAGAGGGAAGAAATGAAAAAAGGAAAGGAAGGAAGGATAATATGGCATCAAAGAAGGTATAATTTTTTTCCCTCTAAGTGAGGTCAGAAAGGGCAGTGAACAGGGATTACTTCGAGATCCAGAATTTGGCCCTCAGCCTCCTGAGTGTTTTTAATACCCCAAAGAAGATAATACAGATCACAGGCAATGTGTCAGAATGGAGAGTACTCATTTCTAGTGGTGGGAATAGGGCATATCTTCCTTAGTATCACAGTCCC
The DNA here is from genome assembly GCF_000001405.40 of Homo sapiens. NCBI lineage: Eukaryota > Metazoa > Chordata > Mammalia > Primates > Hominidae > Homo > Homo sapiens. Next base: position 122,530,430 of record NC_000003.12, on the reverse strand, counting down.
CAGAGTGCTTGATGGGTGGAAAGTTGCCCGGTGAGCATGGACCTAGATAACATGCACGTGGAGATTCTTCATGAGGTATTGTGCCAACCCATGGAGAGTACACAATACCCTCCTGGTGACTAGAATGCCTCTGTCCTTCCAAATCCAGGAGTGCTTTTCCTAAACAATGAAGTATGCACACTGTCATTTTATATACTCCACATTCCCCTTGACATATTTTTCTTTTTCTTTCCTTTTTTTTTTTTTTTTTTTTTGAGACAGGGCCTTGCTTTGTCACCCAGGTTGGAGTGCAGTGGCACGATCACAGCTCACTGCAACCTCAACCTCCTGAGTTCAATCAGTCCTCCCACCTCAGCCTCCTGAGTAGCTATGATTACAGGTGTGCACCACCATGCCTGGTTAATTTTTGTATTCTTTGTGGGGATAGGGTTTTGCCATGTTGCCCATACTGGGCTTAAGCGATCCACCCACTTTGGCCTCCCAAAGTGCTGGGATTACAGGTGTGTACCACCGGGCCCAGATGACATATTTTTCTTGTAATGCTGTTCATGAGGTTAGGAGGCACTCCGTCTTCTCTTATTAGATGCTATTTTCAAACCATCTTCTTGAGAGTTCTGGAAATATCCCTATTTGTAGCATGTAGAAGTCAGACAATGTTCTTTTTTTTTTTTTTTTTTGGGACGGAGTCTCGCTGTGTTGCCCAGGCTGGAGTGCAGTGGCGCAACCTCGGCTCACTGCAAGCTCCGCCTCCCGGGTTCATGCCATTCTCCTGCCTCAGCCCCCGGAGTAGCTGGGACTACAGGCGCCCCCAACTGCGCCCGGCTAATTTTTTTGTATTTTTTTTAGTAGAGACGGGGTTTCACCGTGTTAGCCAGGATGGTGTCCATCTCCTGACCTCGTGATCAGCCCGCCTCGGCCTACCAAAGTGCTGGGATTACAGGCGTGAGCCACCGCGCCCGGCCGAAGTCAGACAATGTTCTAAGGGAAACAGAACCTTCCTTTTGTTATGCTCTGTCAGCTACTTAGTTGATAATACTGACTTGAATCTAAGTTCTTTGAATCTCAGATCTTTGTCTTTTACGTGGAGTTACTACCCAAATCACAGATAATTTAATCTAATCAATGTGCAATACTTTGAAAACCATTAACTTCTCTATGAACACTAATGGTTCTTTTTTTTTTTTTTTTTTTTTTTTAAGAGTTTCGCTCTTATTGCCCAGGTTGGAGTGCAGTGGTGCGATCTTGGCTCACTACAACCTCCGACTCCTGGGTTCAAGTGATTCTCCTGCCTCAGCCTCCTGAGTAGCTGGGATTGCAGGTGCCTGCCACCACACCTGGCTAAATTTTTGTATTTTTAGTAGAGACGGGGTATCATCATGTTGGCCAGGCTTCTGACCTCAGGTGTTCCACCCGCCTCAGCCTCCCAAAGTGCAGGGATTACAGGTGTGAGCCACTGTGCCCAGCCCTAATGGTATATTTGAATGTAAGTTATTATGATGTTGATGGTGTCAGTGATAATTTGTTTCAAGGAACAATTTTGAGTGTCTTTGCTATAGACACAGGAACTCAGAATCAGGAGGAAGTGATTATTTGGAAGACTAAAGAAAGAATAGATATTAGTACCCAAATCGGCAATATCATTTACCAGATTATAATAATCTTTTTATTTTATTTTTTCCTTTATCAGATCCAAAATACGGAGCTGGCATATACTTCACCAAGAACCTCAAAAACCTGGCAGAGAAGGCCAAGAAAATCTCTGCTGCAGATAAGCTGATCTATGTGTTTGAGGCTGAAGTACTCACAGGCTTCTTCTGCCAGGGACATCCGTTAAATATTGTTCCCCCACCACTGAGTCCTGGAGCTATAGATGGTCATGACAGTGTGGTTGACAATGTCTCCAGCCCTGAAACCTTTGTTATTTTTAGTGGCATGCAGGCTATACCTCAGTATTTGTGGACATGCACCCAGGAATATGTACAGTCACAAGATTACTCATCAGGACCAATGAGACCCTTTGCACAGCATCCTTGGAGGGGATTCGCAAGTGGCAGCCCTGTTGATTAATCTCTACATCATTTTAACAGCTGGTATGGCCTTACCTTGGGTGAACTAACCAAATAATGACCATCGATGGCTCAAAGAGTGGCTTGAATATATCCCATGGGTTATCTGTATGGACTGACTGGGTTATTGAAAGGACTAGCCACATACTAGCATCTTAGTGCCTTTATCTGTCTTTATGTCTTGGGGTTGGGGTAGGTAGATACCAAATGAAACACTTTCAGGACCTTCCTTCCTCTTGCAGTTGTTCTTTAATCTCCTTTACTAGAGGAGATAAATATTTTGCATATAATGAAGAAATTTTTCTAGTATATAACGCAGGCCTTTTATTTTCTAAAATGATGATAGTATAAAAATGTTAGGATAACAGAATGATTTTAGATTTTCCAGAGAATATTATAAAGTGCTTTAGGTATGAAAATAAATCATCTTTGTCTGATTAACTGGCTCTGAAAAATTATGTGTAAAATGAAACAATTTGAAGTGGAAGGACATAAAAAAGCTGATATTCTATTTGGATTCAGCTACATCAAGCAATGCCACTCAAACACCATGAGGACATATTATCTACTCACCAAATATATATTGACCACCAGATATATTTCAGTCACTTTGTGGGTCCCAGGATATGATGCCGGACAAGACAGATGTCTTCATAAACCTTTTAGCCTGAATAATCAAAAAGGCATGGACAACTTAACAAGTGTGATTAGATATAACAAAAAGAGAACTACAGAGTTTATGGAAAAATTGAAGACAGAGAGGGATAGATTAATCAGGGGCTTGGAGCAAGGCCTCCTAAAGCAAGTGAAATTCAAGCTGAGAACATAAGGGATGTAGCAAATCAGGAGCAGTCAGAAGAGTTGTTTAGGTAGAAAGAATAGCCTTTATAAAGGCTGAATCTGCTGTAACTATGCCCAAAGTTGACTACACGGTTCTACTTGCAATGTAGAGGCCAGCTAATTTCACCATGCATCTCTTGCCTACTTTTAAATCCATATTTCTCTGTACTTCCAAACTTTCCTGACCTCACATCCTCAACCTCTTGCACAGAACACTTCCTCCTCTTCCTTGCCTTACCTTACTAGCATTCTCCCTCTTGAAAGAAGTGTGCTTGTTGTCTCATATGGCACTGCCCTTGGATCTGAGTAAGAGGGGATCTGCCTTGTACCCCTGGATTGAGAGGCCCCCTGCCTTAGGCTCCTTACTTAAGAGGGTCTCATTCTAGCCTTCCTCCAGTTGTGCCCATGCTCACAAGGTGAGGAGTCCACACGGCCAAAAGATTGGATTCATCTGGACCCCACACTCTTCATTCCTAAATCACCCACTAGGAATGCAGAGCCCCAAAATTTCCTGCCCTAACAGCTCTGAGTCTACTTCCAGGGCTTGATCGGGTCTCTTTCTTGCATCCCTCCTCCTGAGGGTGGACTGTGCCAAAGTCTGCATCAAGAATAGCCAATAGATGATCATCTGTAGGTATGAGGCTTGGACATGGGTGCTGAAGCATCCACACATGCTTGAGGCCTGTGGTGCAGAGCTGAGCTGAGAGTGAGAGGACAGATTTGAAAGATCTAGTTGGCAAGGCGTAGTGGCTCACTCCTATAATCCCAACACTTTGGGAGGCCAAAGTGAGAGGATCACTTGAGGCCAGGAGTTTGAGACCAGCCTAGGCAACATAGTGAGACCTCCATCTACACACACACACACACACACACACACACACACACACACACATACACACACACAAATTACCTGAAGGATTGCTCGAGTCCAAGCATTTGAGGCTGCAGTGAGTCATGATAGAGCAACTGCACTCCAGCCTGGGTGACAGAGCAAGACCCTGTTAAGAAAGAAAGAGAGAAAGAAAGAGTGAAGAAAGATCTAGTTTGTGCTTAGTAGGAATTTTAAAAGAGAATGGAGGAGAGTCAGTGTTCACAAGGATAAATAAGAAATACATTCCAAGAAACAGCCAGATCTTAAAAGCAGCTAGAGAGAACAGCCAAATCATCTACAAAGGAAAGACAATTAGACTGACAGCCCATTTCTTTGTTTGGCAGAATAATGTCCTCCCCACACCCTGCAAAGATGTTTACACCTTAATCCCCTAAATTTATGAATATGTTACCTTACATGGCAAAAGGGACTCTGCAGAAGTAGTTAAGGTTACCCTTCAGATGGGAAGAGTAGCCAGGATTATCCAGGTGGGCCCAATCTAATCACTAAAGTATTTAAAAGTAGAGAATGCTGACTAGCTGGGTCAAAGAGATGGCAGGATGGGAAGAATTTGATCCTGAGATGTAGGAGGCTATGTGCAAGGATCAGAAAGGAGCTTCTAAGAGTAAAGGGTAGCTCCCAGTTGACAACCAGTGAGGAAACATACCTCAGTCCTTTAACTGCATGGAACTGAATTCTTCCAACATCTGCATGAGCAAGGAAACAAACTCAAGAGCCCTCAGAAAGGAATAAAGCCAGCTGACCAACACCTTGATTTTAGCCCAGTGAGATCCATTCCTGACTTTTGACCTACAGAACTTTGAAACAATAAATTTGTGCTCTTTTAATCCAGTAAAGTCATGATAATTTGTGACAGCCATAAAAAAATGAATACACTTTTCAATAGCAACAATGAAAGTCTGAAGACGTTAGTATATTTCCAAAGGGCTGACAGAAGTTAACTGTTAGCCTAGAATTCTACAATTAGCTGAACTTATATTCAGTACCACCTACTTGGGAGGCTGAGGCAGGAGGAACACTTGAGCCCAGGAGGTGGAGCCTGCAGTGAGCCGAAATCACACCACTGCACTTCAGCCTGGGTGACAAATTGAGGCCCTGTCTCCAAAAGATAAAATAAAATAAAATAAAATCAGACAAAATAGATGTTAAGTTGAAAAGGATTATTAGCAAAACCTGGCAGAATTATAGGCAAAGGGGACAAATCCACTATCATAATGATTTAACAGCTCTCTCAGTAACTTGTAGATGACCCAGTAAAAAAAAAAAAAAAAAATTAATGAGAATATAGAATTGAGTTACACAATTTTTATTTGATTTATGTGTATAGAATTCCCCACTCAACAATGAGAGAATACATAGTCCTCTTAAATAGACACTGAACAGTTATGTATATTGACCATATTCCAAATTTAACAATTTTCTTTTTATTTATTTACATTTTGCCAAAGACTCTAGATAAGAAATCACTAAATTCAACAGTTTTAAAGATATTCTCAGTTGGTCTATGTTCTCTAGCCATCATCCGTTATGCAATTAACATATAATTCAATTTTTAAAATAGCTTAAAATAAATCTGTTTGGAAATTAGATATAATCTTCAAAATAATATCCCATGGGTCATGAAAACATAACAAAATAGAAAATATTTAGAACTGAATGATAATGAAAATATTACTACCACAGCTTGTGACATAAAGCTAAAATAGTGCTTAAATTCTTTCTAAGCTTAAGGGTTATATTAAGAAAAATAAAGGAATAAATCAATGAGCTAGGCAGACATCTAACTTAAGGTAAGAAAATAAAATCAGAACAAACTTGAAGAAAGAAAATATAAACAGAAAATAATGAAATAGAAACAATATCCAATGCGAGAACAATAAAATGAATAGCTGTTTTTTGGTAAAGATTAAAGAAACAGACAAACCTTTGGTAAGACTGATCAAGAAAATATAAGAAAAGGTACAAATAGAAATTGTTAATAATAGAAGAATGTAACCAAGACACACTAGAGATCTAAAAGTAGTAACTAGAAACAGTTTTGTGCTAATTCAAAATTTGGACAAAATGTAGACTTTCTTAGAAAAATATAATTTAACAAAATTGATTGAAGAACTAGAAATCCTGAATTTTCTAATATCTGTTAAATAAATTGAATTGGTATTTAAAAATTTACCTACCAAGCAAACAGGTAAATACAACAGGCTAAGATGATTTTGACTTTATTAGTGAATTCTACAACATATTCAAAGAACAGAGTATTCCAATCTTAAATAAAATCTTCTAGAGAACAGAAATAGAGGGAACACTCCCCGACAAATTTTTTAGGGCAAGTATAACCTTGATACCAAAAAATAGAAAACAGTATAAGATAAAAAAATTATAGATGAATTAAATTATGTAAGTAGACGTACAAATTCTAAAGAAAATATTAACAATTATAATTTGGCTCTGTGTAAATAAGTAAATCATAGTCAACTTGGGTTTACCTCAGAAATGCAAGGATAATTTAACTTTCAAAAATCAATTAGTGTAACTCACCATATAAATATATTAAAGGTTGTGCTCATCTCAATATTTAGAGAAAAATCACCTGATAGACAATTCATTAAAGGATAGCTACCAAAAACAAGTATTTCATGATTAAACATTAGAATGATTCCCTATGAAATAATGAATGAGACAATAAATGCTTCCTATTACTTCCTATTACTACTCATCAACAATCAATTAGAGGTCCTGTCCAACATAATAAGAAAGAAAAGACGGCTGGGCGCAGTGGCTCACACCTGTAATCCCAGCACTTTGGGAGGCCGAGGCCGGCGGATCACGATGTCAGGAGATCGAGACCATCCTGGCTAACACGGTGAAACCTCTTCTCTACTAAAAATACAAAAAAATTAGCCTGGTGTTGTGGCGGGCGGCTGTAGTCTGAGGCAGGAGAATGGTGTGAACCCGGGAGGCGGAGCTTGCAGTGAGCCGGGATCGCGCCACTGCACTGAAGCCTGGACACCTCCGTCTCAAAAAAAAAAAAAAAAAGAAAGAAAAGAAAAAGAAAGAGTGAGAAAGGAAGGAAGGAGGGAGGGAGGGAAGGAAGGAAGGAAGAAAGGAAGAAAGGGAGAAAGGAAGGACAAGTAAAAATGGAGAAATAAAAATGTCATTGATCATAGAGAAGATGATTGTTTATAGAAAATTCAAGCCAGGCATGGTGGCTCATGCCTTTGGGAGCCAGCACAATCCCAGCACTTTGGGAGGCCGAGGTGGGCGGATCACCGGAAGCCAGGAGTTCGAGACCAGCCTTGGCCAACATGGTGAAACCCTATCTCTACTGAAAATACAAAAATTAGCTGGGCATGGTGGTGTGTGCCTGTTAAATCCCAGCTACTTGGGAGGCTGAGACACGAGATTCACTTGACCCCAGGAGGTGGAGGTTGCAGTGAGCCGAGATCACACCATTGCATTCCAGCCTGGGCGACAGAGACTCTTTTTGAAAAAAAAAAAAAAAAGAAAGAAAATTCAAGAAAATCTAGATACAAATTATTAGAATTAATAAGAGCATGCATCAAGGTTCTAAATATAAGTTATACGTAAATCAATTGCATTCCTATACATGTGAAACAGTAAGTGTAATAACTTACACTTTAAGTTTGGCTTAAAGCTGCCTCATACATAGCAAACTGCAACCTAATTTAATAGTATATTCTTGGTTCTTGGTTGGTTTTTTTTTTTTTTTTTTTGAGACAGAGTTTCACTCTTGTTGCCCAGGCTGGAGTGCAATGGTGTGATCTCGGCTCACTGCAACCTCCACCTCCCAGGTTCAAGCAGTTCTCCTGCCTCAGCCTCCCAAGTAGCTGGGATTACAGGGATGCACCACCACACCCGGCTAATTTTGTATTTTTAGTACAGATGGGGTTTCACCATGTTGGTCAGGCTGGTCTTAAACTCCTGGCCTCAGGTGATCTGCCCACCTCGGCCTCCCAAAGTGCTGGGATTACAGGCATGAGCTACTGCACCTGGCTAAGCATCTATTCTTTTAACAAGTAGCTGAGTCTCAGACAATCACAGGCTGCCAACTCATTAGAACATTCATGTAAGGCAAATGCCCCATCATATCATGCCCAGAAAAGGTAAATGCTGAGCTATAACCAATCAGGTTGTTTCTGTATGTCACTCTTTTTCTTTCTATAAATACTGCCTGCCCACATTGCTGGGTAGAGCTCTTGGAACCTCTCCTGGTTCTGAGTGCTGCCTGATTCATGAATCATTCTTTGGTCAAGCAAACTCTGTTAAATTTGTGTATATATAAGAACATACATATGTGTATATATATTATATATATCATATATATCACATATACATATCTCATATATAGATACTATATATCATGTGTATATATATCATATAGATGTGTATATATACACACATATATGATGTATATATCTATATTTATGTATATATTCAAGATACATGTGTTGCTCAAGTTTACATATAATGTATCAATTATATAAATATGTATAAATATTCTGCAATATTTTTTAAATACCTTTTCACACTGCAGGTTGCATGGTATCAATATTTTTAGGGTACATTAAAAAATTTCCAGCAAATATTTGCAATTAGAAGCTAAGTACCACTTAAAAGTTAGAATTTATATGACAAAGAATACAACTGAATCCTTATTCACTTTTTCTTTGTCTTTTTTTTTTTTTTTTTTGAGACGGAGTCTCGCTCTGTCACCAGGCTGGAGTGCAGTGGTACGATCTCAGCTCACTGCAACCTCTGACTCGTGGGTTCAAGCAATTCTCCTGCCTCAGCCTCCTGAGTAGCTGGGACTACAGCCATGCGCTACCACACCCAGCTAATTTCTGTATTTGTAGTAGAGACAAGGTTTCACCATGTTGGCCAAGATGGTCTTGATCTCTTGACCTTGTGATCCGCTCACCTCGGCCTTCCAAAGTGCTGGGATTACAGACTTGAGCCACCAAGCCCGGCCCACTTTTTCATACTAAAGTTGAAACTGCTATTTGGTGTTTGTATTTAAAAAGTTGTTTTTTGTTGTTTTTTATTTTTTTATTTTTGTAGAAGATGGGGTCTCACCATGTTGTTGCCCAGGCTGATCTTGAACTCCTGGCCTCAAGTGATTCTCCTGCCTCAGCCTCCCATAGTGCTGGGATTACAGGTGTGAGTCACCAAGCCTGGCCTGGTACTTGTGTTTTTGCTTACTGGTTTTTTTTTTTTTTTTTTTGAGATGGAGTCTTGCTCTGTTGCCCAGGCTGGAGTGTAGTGGCATGATCTCGGCTCACTGCAACCTCCGCCTCCCAGGTTCAAGGGATTCTCATGCCTCAGCTTCCTGAGTAGCTGGGATTACAGGCACCCACTACCATGCCCAGCTAAATTTTTAATTTTTAGTAGAGATGGGGTTTCACCATGCTGGCCAGGCTGGTCTCAAACTCCTGGCCTCAAGAGATCCATCTGCCTTGGCCTCCCAAAGTGCTGGATTACAGACGTGAGCCACCGTGCCCGGTTTGCTCACTGGTTCTGTTTATTTTCTGAGTATCATATGACTCTATGCATACATTTCTCAACATGGAGCTGTGTGTGTGTGTGTGTGTGTGTATGAATGACTGAGGTAAAATTGCAGATCACTTGGAATTCAGTGCACGAATCTCAATAAATGGTCTTGGACAACTGGTTAAGGAAATGGAAGAGAATAGGTTTGGATCTTGTCCTAGGTGATGTTTCCCTAGAAGCAGAACCTGAGATGGGAATTCATGTTTAATTATTTTTAGGGGGAGTACTCTCAGGAATATGGGAATAATGGAGACAGCACAGAGCAGGGGAAAAAGTTAGCAAGAAGATATTAATAGTCTCAGCTGAAGACTAGCTTTAGTCTAATTCTAAGGGGAAATTCTAGAGCACAAATTCTCTTTTTTTTTTTTTTTTTTTTTTGAGATGGAGTCTCACTCTGTTGCCCAGGCTGGAGTGCAGTGCCACGATTTCAGCTCACTGCAACCTCTGCCTCCTGGGTTCAAGTGATTCTCCTGCCTCAGCCTCCTGAGTAGATAGGACTACAGGTGTGCTCCACCACGCCTGGCTAATTTTTGTATTTTTAGTAGAGACAGGGTTTTACCATGTTAGCCAGGCTGGTCTCGAACTCCTGACCTCAATGATCTGCCCGCCTCGGCCTCCCAAAGTGCTGGCGTGAGCCACCTCGCATGGTGGGCCTACAAATTATATAATTAGAAGTAGCCCTCTGCAGCAGGGGCTGGCCTTTTGAACCCTGCTACAGTTTTTGGCCTAGGTCTGCCCTCTCTGGGGAGTGGAACCCTTCTAGCAAGGTGGCTCCTGTTAGACCTAGGGCAATTCAGAGAAGTGGGGCAGTAGAGTTACAAGCCCCACTCACAGTAGGTAGGGGAATGGGTCACTAGTCTGATGAAGGAGATGTGAGGAAGAATTACCAGCTGTCCCCATTTGTTTGACTTCCCAGATTTTAGCACTAAAATTCCCATGTCGTGGGAAACCCTCCCAGGACACAAAAAATCCTGTTTTTCTGTGATGGGTATGGAGGTTGGGATGAAAAGTGCAAAACTCCTATGACAGCCAAAAAAATAGGGGCTGAAAACAATACTGCTTTTAGTGTTTAATGGATATAGCATAGATTATTCACCTTATGTAGTCACTGTTATTATTTTCCTGCCCACTGATGTTGGCAACCATGATGTACAGTTCACAGTAATTATAATCCATTGTTGCATCACTCTATGAAACTATGTAAAGTTACATTTCCTGATTCAGAAAGTGTTCCCTTTGCTGGGTGTGGTGGCTAATGCCTGTAATCCCAGGACTTTGGGAGTCCAAGGCAAACAAGTGGATCACTTGAGGCCAGGAGTTTGAGACCAGCCTGGCCAACATAGCAAAACCCCATCCCTACTAAAAATACAAAAAAATTAGCCAGGTGTGGTGGTGCACACCTGTAGTTCCAGCTACTCGGGCGGCTGAGTCAGGAGAATCACTTGAATCTGGGAGGTGAAGGCTGCAGTAAGCTGAGATCATGCCACTGCACTCCAGCCTGGGTGACAGAGCAAGACTCCATATCAAAAAAAAAAAAAAAGTGTTCCCTCTAGCTCTTAGGTAATTTGACTTGAAAACTGAAGTTTCAAATTGTCATCTTGATGTCTATTAAGATTTTCACAAAATCACAGAAACACAAAACAAAGGGTATCATGTCTTGGCCAAATACAAACTAGGCTTGGCTCATTTATCTGCTTTTGATGTAAATGATAATTTTGACGAATTCTATTCAGTCTCTTAACTTCTCACCAAATAAAATGAAAGGATCTCATCTGCTAAACAATGCTAAAAGAGAGCTGTGATTTGCTTACCTGAGATATGGAGGCTTTGATAATGAAAGTTTTTGGTCATTTCAATTTCCTTGAAATGTACAGAAGCACTTAATGAAATTTTTGACTTTATAGAAATGGAAGGAGATAGCTTCCTTAAACATGTGTCTATAAGGTGGCTATCACTGAAGCTGGCCACAGAAAAGATGTTAAAATGTTGGCTTGCCATAAAATATCTGAGTGTGGAACAAAACAGCATGGTCTGCTTCAATTTGTAAATACACCGAAGATGAGAATGGAGAGAAGGTTTATAATAAAACAGAAATAAACCTGCTGGTTCTCTGAAACTGTCTGATAATCCTCTAAGAGGCCATAAGGAGACTACAAGGATAAACTCACTGACTTGAGTTGTTCAATGTTATGTGTAGGTTGCAATAAAAACTCCAACCAAGAAAAATAGGTCAACTTTCTGGAAATAAGATTGTTTCAGAACTTTTAAAAAAAGTATCCAGAAAAAGGCAAATTAAACAGAACTTTCTGGATTTCTTTACTACAGCTGTAAACTTACTTGAAATCTAACTTCAATTTTATAAGCTCAATTTTTTTGTTGTTGTTTTGCTGAAGAGTTAGAAGTGCATAAACCATTTTCTCTGGGGAAATGAGGTTTAACTGAGGATGACATCCAATGTGCTTCAGAGTGTTTAAAAATGATAGTCATTTCACATATGGAAAGCCTACATGGTTAATTTATAGATGCACAGGACATGACTGATAGACAAACAGCAGGTTTACCTGAATATACAAAGTGGATGGACCTTTCGGAGAGCTGGAAACGAATTCCTACAAGTTTAAAAATGTGCTGTGCTAGTAAATAAAATCCTAAGTATTTTGTGCTCCAACAATTTTGTTTATAGAATATTTAGCTTTATGTTTTTACTTTGACAACAGAAGCAGTGTAATGTAGGCAGAGGAGCAAAGCTGCAAGTCAAAATTAGTTTTATGTTTGACTGTATTCAGTTTTACTATCACACAAAAGAAAAGAAAAACGTCCTAAAGATCCCAAGTAGTTCAGAAAAGTACTAATGGAAAAGGAAACAGAAAGAATAAAAATATCTCAAGCTATCATGGGACAGAAAGAAATATGTCATTATTTTTTATTTAATATAGGTAATATCTATCTCATTAGTTCTATTGTATACATTCTTTAAAAAATTCTTACACTTATTTATCTCAAGAATATAGGATGATATAGCCTACAAAATTCAAATATGCAATAGAGCTAAATTGCTATACCAGAGGAAAGAAAGAAACCTTATGAAATTGTTGCATTTTTCTCATACATATTATTTGCTTAATTAGTCTCTCTATTTATTACTACTAGTTGCTTTTTTTTTTTTTTTTTTGAGACAATATCTTGCTCTGCCACCCACGCTGAAGTGCAGTGGTGTGCTCAGACTCCTGGTCTCAAGTGATCCTCCCACCTCAGTCTCCTGAATAGCTGGGATTACAGGTGCGACTCACCATGCCCGACTAATTTTTTTGTGTGTTGAGATGGGGGTCTTGCTATGTTGCCCAGGCTGGTCTGGAACTCCTGGGTTCAAGTGATCCTCCTGCCTCAGCCTCCCAAAGTGCTGGGATTACAGGCATGAGCCACTGTTCCCAGCCTGCTATTTTATTTAATTGCATTTATGCAACAGAAAAGAAATACAACAGAATGCATAATTCTAAGTAAATATCTATTTTTCATGTTTTTATGTTCAAGTAATTTATATGTTAGATTGGCAAAAATTTAAAAAGCCAGACATTTCTAACTGTTAGCAAGTGAAGAGTATCTTATATACCGTTTCTAGAGTACAAATTGGTACAATCACTTTATGAAATAATCCAGCAATGTCTAGTGTATTAGTTTTCTATTGTATAATAAATTACCATAAACATAGTATCTTAAGACACATTTATTATCTCACAGTTTCTGTAGACCAGGAGTCTACGCACAGTTTATCTGTTTTCTTTGCTCAGGGTCTCACAAAACTGCTATCAAGGTTTAAGTCAGGCTGTCTTCTCATCTGGAGGCCACCTCTCAGGTTGTTGGCAGAATTCATTTCCTTGTGGTTGTGTGACTGAGGGCCCTGGCTTCTTACTGGTTGTCAGCTGCAGGCTGCGCTCAAGTTCTAGAAGCCGTCTGCAGTTCCCTGCCATTTAGTTTTCTCCATAGGCAGTTCGCAACATGACAGCTTGCTTCTTCAAGGCCAGCGAATCTCTAGCTCCAGTCTGGAAAGACAGTCTTATATAATGAAACGGAATCATGGGAGTGACATTCTATCACCTTTGCCATATTCTGTTGGCTAGAAGTAAGTCAAAGGTCCCACCTACACTCAAGGGGTGGAGATTATATAGGCAACACCAGGGACCAGAGATTATGGGGGCCATCTTAGATTTCTGCCTGATACATATAGTAAGGTTAAAGATGCAATGTCCTAGGATCTAGCAGTTTCCCTATACACAGTAGAGATGTACAAGAATGTTCACAGCAGCATTGTTTGTGACAGTAAAAAATACTGTTCTATACTTTCAAATTTCTCAAACTATAAAATGATATTGTCAGAGAGACAGTAGCTTATAAAACACCATGTATGGTATGATAACATTTTTGTAAAAGTAACATACATAGGAATTCAACTTCCAGCAATGGCCTACTGTTGTTTTCAATCAACCTTTCCACTACAGAGAACAACTGAACAAAATATAAAAACGTTAATGTACTGAAGAGCTACCAAGGAAGTGAGAATTTGTGAGTGCAAGGTCTGGAAGAAAAAGGAAGCCACCAGAGGTTAGCCTGATATTTGCCATCATTTTTCCAAAGCTAAGGTGATTGCTGACTCTGAAAGCAGTGGCTGAAACAGGGAGAAGAGCTTATGGCTGTCTCATGGGGCTTAGAAGGCCCACCAAAGAGAAGAGGCCCTAGTAAATACCCCAGACTTTTGGATGGGACCATCAAGGACTAGCTAGGAATAAGGGTGAACCGGAAATAAATTAGCTTTCCCAAAGACTGAAGACCGGCTCTGAATAATCAGTCTTAGTTCCTTATTGGAATAAGGTGATCTGTCTTCAGTCTAGCTGTGGTCAGGCAAACTTGCCCTTAAGTCTCTCCTGTTGAACACACCTTCCCTTTCCCCAGCCCCCTTGCTCAAACTCAACTCTGATCTTAGTAAACACAACATCAGCGGGAGAATGCTGATGCAGCAGAGAGAAGTCCAGGACAAATGAACATTGCATAACCTAGGATTCAGGTAGAGTGGTCCTCTCTCCTCTCCTCTTCCCTGGGACATTTATAAATGTATTAATCTACCTCATCTCTTTCACCTTGCTTCTTGGCATGTGTTTTAAATCTGTCTACTATTCCGTGATCCCTGCTAGGCTGGCTTCAGTTTTTCTTCTTTTGAAGCCACTACTCCATTTGCTCCCCCAAAGAATTCCATGAAATTTAACATTAGCAATCATTTGCTCCAAGTTTTCGTTTGAGAGCAGTTGAGAGTAAAACGAGTATGTGTTTCATGTAGTTTCATTATTATTATTATTATTATTGTTATTATTATTTTTGAGGCAGGGTCTCACTCCGGTTGCCCAGGCTGGAGTGTAGTGGCGCGATCTCGGCTCACTGCAGTCTCACCGTCAACCCCGGGCTCAGGTGATTCTCCCACCTCAGCCTCCCGAGTAGCTGGGACTTCAGGCGCCCGTCACCACCCCCTGCTAATTTTTGTGTTTTTAGTAGAGACGGGGTTTCGCCATGTTGCCCAGGCTAGTCTCAAAACTCCTAGCCTCAAGTGATCCACCCACCTCGGCCTCCCAAGGTGCTGGGATTACAGGTGTGAGCCACCGCGCCCGGCCCTTAATTATTTTTGATACTACGCATACGTTATCAAGCAAAGGGGATGGGAGATAACTAAAAAAGGAATGTCCAGAAGCTTCCTGCATTCATGCTGCATGTGAGCCCTTTAGACACGAGGCGCTGACCTACTAATTTTGTAATACTCCCTCAGCCTTCAATCATTCCATCATTCATTCCATCAACGCGTATTAGGTACTTAGAAGCTATACAGAGGTGAGCATCGATCCGCCCTGGAAGAGCTTAGCAAAGACAGGTTTGTACATATAACTTTCTCCAACCTTTGCCATGGTCTGCAAACCTCCTTCTTAGCGAGACCCCCTCCCCGACCCCCGACTCTTCACAGGCTGGGCGCTAACCATTAGGAATGTCCGGCGAGAGAGCGTTACAAGACTACGTCTCCCGGCAGCCTCTGCGACAAGCGCCGGAGGGGCGCGCGTAGGCGCTCGGGCCGGCCCCCGCACGCAGGCGCACTGCGAACGCCGGCTGAGCTGAGTCTCGCTGCTCGGTGCGAGGCGGCGGAGAGCGAGGCCTGGTGAGCACCGCCGAGGCGCGGGCCAGCTCTTCGAGGTTGTGCGCGGGAGTGGCACGGCGGGCGGGCGAGCGAGGGGCTAACTTCAGCGGTGGCACCGGGATCGGTTGCCTTGAGCCTGGTGAGTGCTGGGGCCTTGCGGCCCCGGCCCCTCCCCCTCCCGCCGGCAGATCCGGGCAGTCCCGGAGGGACTCAGGAGAGGCCCTGGGGCGAGGGCGGGTGCCGGCAGGGCCTAGAGCCGGGGTTCCTGGGCCGGACGCTCGCGCCGCGTCCGTGCGTCACGGGCCCGGCTGTCCTAACGGCCACAAGGCCGGCGGAGGAGAGGGTGGGGGTGGGGAGCCCTGGTGTGATCGCCATCGGGAACGCCGGTCGAGGCTAGGCGGGGCGGGGCGGCGTGGCGCGGCGGCGGGGCTGTAAGCGGCGCCGGGGACTGCGGGGCGCCGAGGCAGCGGGCGGAGAGGAGGCGAGCGCGGAGCCTGCGCCGCGGCCGGGCGGCGGGCGGGAGGCGGGGGTGGGCCGCGCAGAGCGCTGTGACAGAGGCAGGAAGGAGCAGGGGTGGCGTGTAAAAATTCTAACCCTGGCAAAAAGGGACCGTCTTGGGAATTCACAAGTTACAGACCGGGTCGGAGCCGGCGGCCCGGAGGGAGGTGGGGGAAGCGGGGGGTGGAGACGGCCGGCTGCAGTTTACCGATGTCATAACAACATGGGCCTGGAGCGGCTGATCGGGGGTGTGGTAATTATAGCAATGACAGAACTTGGTCTGCACGCCGCGTGTGCGATGCGAGGGAAGCAGCGAGGTATCGGATTAAGCTCAAAACGGGAGGAGGAAACAAGGATGACTGGAGTCAAGGAAGTCGTCATGAAGTAATGTTTTAGGATTGGGTCGTGTTCCACTTTTAAATGAAAGCGTTCAAAATATTTGATTTTTAAGGTTTCAACTCAGAACAAACGATTGCCGAGTTTTTGTTTGTATTTTAAAGAGATGGGGTCTCGCTATATTGCCCAGGCTGTACTCCAACTCCTGAGCTCAAACTGTCCTCTTGCCTCAGCTTCCCAAGTAGCTGGGACTAGTCTTGGGCAACCACACCCAGCTCTGCAGAGTATTTTTTTTTCTGAAACGTACTGTCAAGTAATATTAACTTGAATTTCACCCTTTTTTCTTAAATAAACGGTTGCTTAAAAATCTCTATTAGTAGATGAAGTGATTTCCCCCCTCCTGTTTTGTTTTTTTTTTTCTTAAGAGATGGAGTCTTGCTTTGTTTCCCGGGCTGATCTGGAACTCCTGGCCTCAAGGCATCCTCCCTACTAGCTGGAACTACAGGCGGATGCCACCAGCAAGGCTCATTCTCGACATTGTTTTTGTCTTAACTAGCTTTTGCATTTGTAATATTTTGAAAGCAGTACACAAGTTATTTTTCCCTCCTTTTTAAAGATCAAAGAGATGAAAATTTAATTTTTCAAAGGAAAGTAAGAATGAGTTCTGTTGTATTTTTACTGAAATATTCTTGGAAGACACTGTTTTATGGATAGATGAGACGTAAGAGAAAGTAAAGGAATTAACATTTATTGAGTTCTTTTTTCAGGTATTGTGTTAAATGCTTTACATATATTAAAAACATTTGAATCTGAAGTATCTGTTAATTTTTCTATTTTACAGATGAAAGCATTGACAATCAAATGTTAAGTAACTTACCTAAGGTCTTCCAGTTCTTGTTGAGAACAACCTTAGAACCCAAAGTTACTGCCATTTAAATTATTTCTCTCCTTTCATACTTTTTCGTTGTTTTCTTTATTTAATCCGTTCAATCAGCGAATACTTACAGAGTGATCTTCTAGACTTGGGGGGATATAGTCGCGATCAAAACTCACTGTCCCTGTTCTCATGGAATTTATAGTGTAGCAGGGAAAGCTAATATTACAAATATTGACTGCATAACATTTTGTCAGTTATTATAGTTGAGTAGCAACTGTAAAGCACTCTACTAAATAGTAAAGGCAGTTCAAATGGAAGCAGACAACATAAGCCTTGAGGAGTTTACAGTCCTGTAGGGCAACAAAACATACATTTATGAAAACCTAGAATAAACTAAATTAGAAAGGTATCACCTGAAATCACTATACTTGCATTATGGTATTTTTTATTTTATTTATTTATTTTTTTGGATGCTTGCTCTGTTGCCCAGGCTGGGCAGTGACGCGATCTCGGCTTACTGCAGCCTCTGCCTCCCTGGTTCAAGCAGTTCTCCTGCCTGAGACTGCCTGAGTAGCTGGGACTACAGGGGCATGAGGCCACACTCGGCTAATTTTTTGTATTTTAGTAGAGACGGGTGGTTTCACCGTCTTGCCCAGGCTGGTCTCGAACTCCTGAGCTCACGCAATCCGCCCTCCTCGGCCTCCCGAAGTTCTAGGATTACAGGCATGAGCCACCGCGCCCAGCCGCATTATGTTACTTTATAAAGTGGTTCTCGTAGAAGTTTCTTCACAGAACTATGATTTAATATACATCTTATCTAGAGCTGATACTTACCAAAGGGGCCATTAAAAACATCTTTTCTTCATTAATATCTAATGAAGAAATTTCTAATTTATGTATTGGTTCCTATAAAATACAGACCTTAGAGACAAATTCTTCCTAAGACCCCAGTATTAAGCTTTTTTTTTTTAAACTAATGATTGGTTTTATTAGATTATTTTTGTTTTGTAAGCCATCCTGTTTCTCTATACTTTGACTGTCAGGAGTCTCAGAGCTGTGTTCAATTTTTATAATTTTCTTTAGTCTCAACTATGTTAAGAATTATTTTATACGTAACCTGGAATTGCTGTCAGTTGTTTCTTGCATTATTTTCTTTATTCTCTGTTGCTCTCAATGGTCCTTTTACCTTTTCCCTTTTCCCTTTACATTTGAGAATAGGATTATATCTTATTCTTTGCATCTTCAGTGTTTTAGCACAGTGTTTGTTGAATTAATGATAAAATAGAGTTTTAATGATTTATGATGTCTGTGCTTTTAAGTCTACCAGATTGTTTTTAGATGTATGAGTACTGTGTATAAAATCAGTTAAGACCTTTGATTGGTCTTGCAAGTAAAGATGACTGACCTAGTGATAAAGATAACTCCTTGTTTTGTTTTAAGGTATCTTTGTACTTTGCATGGTGTTATGAATTTAGCCATAATAGGGAAGAAAACACTGGAAATGGTAAACAGTTAAATTAGCTGATTTGGGCTGATTTCTGTCTTTTGCTGCAGTAAGCAGGAGATGGCCTGAGGCCAACTGAGGGCCAGATAGGGCCTGCATTAGAAAATTTTGAGGTTGTACATTGGAAGAGTAGGGATGAAGACTGTGGGAATGTATGTTTCTTTCTTTCTTTTTTTTAAAGATGTTACAAACCTACAAAACAACATGAAAAAATGGTTCTGTCCAAGTGTTGTAGACTAATTGGGACAGTTCTTGAAAGCAGGCAGTAATCCAGAATGTGGATAATGGAGATAATCTCCTTCATATTAACAAGAATAATGCTGCCCTTCATATACAAAGATAAGTCTGCTTACTCATCATGATTGTTTTTCCAGCGTGAGGAGGGATATGTGCTGAGTCCATGAGTGCCTATATACTCTGTGAGCAACAAGGCAGGTTGGGGTCAGAATAGGCAGCTTGGGGTCAGAATAGGCAGCTTGGGGTCAGCTAGGGAACAGAAAGACCCGCTGAAAGTACTCTGACATCTATTGATGGGTCAGGTTCTGCATCAGGTGCTTTCACTTACTTGTTCTTGCAAAACCATTTTGAGGAGGTGATTACGTGTGCAAGGTGATTGGGTAACTCGCCTTACTTCACAAAGTAGTGGAGTTGGGATTCAAATAGGGCTGTTTGTACTGTGTTCACATTGATCGTTAAAGATTGGTTTTAGCCGTTCAGTCTCTTTGGCAGAACAAACTAGATGTAGTTTAACACCATGAAATAATACTGAAGATCTAATATAACCGTCGTGAGATTGTTCAAGTTCCTTGTTTTATCAACATTAAAAAAATAAAATTTTGGAATTAGAATACCTGAAAAGCAGCTGTTCCCTGTCCCAGCCTCTGCACTTGAAAAGCTACCATTTTCTTTCTTCTAGCTGTTTCCTCTTGTGTTTGCTTTCATATTTATAAATACAGTGACTTGCTTTTATTGCTATATCATGATATAGCAATTATAGATATTATTGGCTTTCGTCTAAGCAAGATGTTCCTTAGTGTTTCACATATATATTCACCTCACCTGCCATATGCACACACTGTCTCTACCATCCTCCAAATATAGTTATCACAGGTGTGTCTACTAAACCAATATTTAGTGTTTACAATATTGTAACTCTATAAATGTTCACAGCTGACCCATGTAGAGTACTGTGATATCATTTCTTCTCTTAATAAATTTTTGTTTTTCTACAAGTTAGTATTTTTTGTTGTTGTTTGCTTCATTTCCTGAGACAGCTAACCTGGAACCTCTTAATGCAATTAGGACTGGTTACTTTCTAGGCCTATTTCATAGTTGTTATCCAGGGACTTCTCTTTTCATCATCCTTAAACTTCTTTGCCCTCTTTTGTACTGGTTCCCCTGTTTACTGTTTCCTGTATTTTCTTTCTTGGTTTACTTATTTCCTTGGAGTACATTTTTTAGTAGCTTTCTGAGAAAGGATACATGGAAAACAAAAACTTCCTGACATCTTACATGACTGAAAAAAATCTTTATTCTTCCTTCGCATTTGATCAGTAATTTGTCTGGGTATAAAATTCTGAGTTGAAAGTAACTTCTACTTCAAGTTTGCAAGTCATAGTTCTATTGTTTTCTTTCTTCCAGGGTTACTCTTGAAATCCAAAGCCAATCTGATTCTTTGTTTGTATGTGATCTTCCTTTACCCCAATCTCTAGAAGCTTTTAGGATATTTTTAACCCTCAAAATTCCATGATGATGTGTCTAGGTATGGGTATTTTTTTGTTTAAGGGCATTCCATGGACCTTTATAAGCTGGGAGTTCATGTCCTTTAGTTCTCGAAAGTTTTTGTTATTATTTGGATGTTAGGCAAAAAGAATTTTAGAATGAATTATGCTTCTCAGTTCTTGTCACACATCAGATCGTACAAGGTCCTTTAAATTTTTATCTTAAATTTCTGAGCCCTACTTCTGTTACCTCTTTGTATAACATTGTGGTTGGTACATTCCTTGATTATATATGAAACATTGTAAAATATGTAGTGGAGCTGTGTATGTTTAGGTATTGTGTTATAGACCTTGCAAAGGTCTTTTTCTTTTTTATTCAACATTGATTTGGGGATCTTTCTGTTTTGTTGTAAGTATGTATAGTTGTGTCTAATGTAGAATTCTGTAATGCAGATCTACCACATTTTACTTTTCATTCCCTAGGAATTGATCCCTGAGTTGCCTTTCTGCTATTTCAAATACCCTGTGTTATATATACTCTTGTACATTATTATAGACCTGTATAGAAGTTCTCTAGGATATATACCCAAGATTGTGATTCCTTGGGCATAGAGTGGGAGAATTAGTGTATGTGCCTACTTGAGTGCTTGAGAGTTCTTTTTTGCTCACATGTTTGCCTTTACTTGGTTTTATCTTTCTTTTTTTTTTTTTTGTTTGATAGAGAGTCTTGTTCAGTTGCCCAAGTGAGTGCAGTGGCATGATCTTGGCTCACCGCAACCTCTGCCTCCTGGGCTTAAGCCATTGTTCTGACTCAGCCTCACGAGTAGCTGGGTTTACAGGGGCCCGCCACTACGCCTGGCTAATTTTTGTATTTTTAGTAGATACGGGGTTTCACCATGTTGGCCAGGCTGGTCTTGAACTCCTGACCTCAAGTGATCCACCCTCCTCGGCTTCCCAAAGTGCTGGGATTACAGGCGTGAGCTACCGCGTCCAGCCTCTCATTCTTATTTTATAGTATATTTGTGTTGTTTCATAGATGCTGTATTCTTTCTGGGGATATTAATGATAGTTTTAAAAATTTTGTTACCATTGTTGTCTTTTCTTTATTGAGGCTTTCCCCAGATGTCTGGTAGTCTTGTGGCTGTCCATTCATATTTAAGAATGAAGTGCCAAAAACTGAATTGGAAGCTCTATTAAGTGTGGCTTGTTGAAGGGTGAAGAGAGTAGCTGGTGGCCATTTTTTTTGTGGTGGGTGGAGGGCATATACTCATAGGTTTGTTTCTCTTGGGCTAGTCAGTTTCCCTGAGAGTCTCCAGTCTCTTGCCAGGAGAATGTGTGTCTGGCTGCCATGTTTTGAGAACTCATTTTAGAAAAGGAGCTTGGGTTTTTACTGTTGTGCTCATGTAATTCTGTTATCAATAAGGCACCTCACCCCCACCCTCACCTGCATTGGAGCACCCATTTGAAGGGATTACTGAAGGATGGTTGTCTGGTTGTGAAGAGTGGAGGAGGAAATCTGGGCATGTGATGGCTGTTTTGTAGACTTTCAACAAACCTTCTGATTTTGAGCCCAACTCCTCACTACCTTAAGGAGGGATAGTACCTGGATGATCTGTCTGAAGCATCCTGTTTGTGGGTAGGTAGTGTGAATCAGCTTGTTTCTTATTGCCTTCTTCGTTTGCAGGTTAGGCTTCAGAGTTTTCCACTTTGCTAGTGACATATAATTTGTCTATTTTATGGCTTCTTTTAGGTTTTGACACCATCTCTGATTCTTTTGCTTACCTATTCTCTTTATGCCGTGGTTCTGGTTCATTTATTTGAAAAAAAAATTTCTTTATAATTTTAGTATTCTACCATGTCTACCATTTTATTTCTTTACATAAACTCTTTGTTTTCTCCTCTGTTCATTTTTTCACAGCATTTGAATGACCACTGTGTGCCTATTGAAGATTAAAATTGAATTTCTGGCTTTGAGTTAATATGATATGGGAAGAAAAGTGCAGTCTATATGTGCTAATTCCTGATTTGAAATTTGAAAACCCTCATAAGTGTTCTTAAAACAGATATATTACAGTGGTTATTAAATTCATTAATGGATATGAATTGAATGAAGGCAAGTTTTTGCGATTAAAAATTTTTTTACTACTGAGGGAACGAACCCTTTATGTCATCTTCTGGAAAGATTTGTCTTTTTTTTTTTTTAACCCCCCAAAAAATCATTCAACTTTTAGATAAGAGATAATTTTTCTCCTTCATAAAGACCATAAAGATCAGAACTTCTGAAGAAATAACAGCATACTCAGTTGAAAAAATAGTAGTGAAAAGTATAGAAATTCAGTGTTTTAGGTAGGTTGATAAGCTTTATCATAGTAAACATATGCTTTCAGCTCTACTTTTTGAAAGTTTTTTTCTTGTATAATCAGTATATTGCTTATCACAGAAAATTTGGAAGATAAAATAATATTTCCATATTCAAATTTTATATGCTGATATCTTCTCTTTTCTTTTTTTTTTTTTTTGAGATGGAGTCTTGCTCTGTCGCCCAGGCTGGAGTGCAATGGCACAATCTCAGCTCACTGCAACCTCTGCCATCTGGGTTCAAGTGATTCTCCTGCCTCAACCTCCCGAGTAGCTGGGATTGCAAGCGCCCGCCACCACGCCCGGCTAATTTTTGTATTTTTAATAGAAATGGGGTTTCCCCATGTTGGCCAGGCTGGTCTCGAACTCCTGACCTCTGGTGATCCGCCCGCCTTGGCCTCCCAAAGTGCTGGGATTACAGGTGTGAACTACTGCGCCCAGCTATATTCTGATTTCTTAAGTTACGAAATATTTTTCGAAAGTATAGAGAATAGTGTAGGTTGGGTTTTTGTTCCCAGCATTCAGATTTTTCATGTTAGTGTTCTGTTTTCTCAATACATTGTGAACATTTCCTTTAACCAAGCCCTCATATTGGAACTTTTAGGTTTTTTACAATTTTTCACTAGAATAATCACACTGCAGTGAACAGTCTTACACATACTACTAGTTTTGTTTCCTTTATGTACATTCTAAAAGTGGAAGTATTCAATTCAGGGTTTGAGTTCTCCAGATCCTTGACAGATATTTTCCTTTAAGTGTTTTGATATTGAGAATGTCTTTGGAGAACTTCCCAGCTTGGGAACCTATAGATACTGGGAGTTGGGGGTCAGAATTTGGGGCAAAGGTTATGATAAACCTCTCAAAGGAAAACATTTGAAACTGGGCTGTGAAAGAAAATATGTATTGCCATTGGATTATTGGTTAGAGCTATAAGATGAGGCCAGAGATGAACACCTATGAATCATATGTCTGCCACATTGACTTCTCACAGGAAAAGCTTTATTGAAGGGTTTTTCAAACTTTGCTTTCATTGAACACTGAAATGCTCTTAATAAAAATAAAGCTACTCCTTAATTATCGTATAGGAAAAGAATGGGTAGGATATTTCAAATTTTAATTTTCTTTTCTAATTTCTATTAAAATATTTTAAACGGACCTACTATCGTTTGACTAGAAGCTGTTAACATCAATAATTTATATTTTCAAATGAACTGAACACTTTATACTTATACTCCACTTATTTAAATTCATAACTTTTTTGTAGTCATACTTTCTTGTAGTTTTGGTTTTTAATAGTAAATGCATATCATATACTTTCTAATAAAATTATGCCTGATTTATATGGTGGAATTAAGTATATTAGGATTTCAAGTTGTTCCACAAGAGTATTATGGATTTTAAATATTCAGAACATTTAGAATGTGTTTGAGATTTACTGATTAGGTGGGCTGACCCAGTGCACTGAATATATAACATCTTGAATATAATAAAAATATAAAAAGATCTACACTCATTGTTTTGGGTTTAGAGTGGTGGAGAATGGTATTGAATGAATCCAGACAAAAGGATCTTGCAGGACCAAGAAGTTTAGACTTGTTCTAAGAAGTGGTTAAAAACGTTGTAGTTCCTTATCCATTGAAGTGATACAGTGAAAAGGGTGTTGAGATTAATCTGAGGGCTGTGTAGGATGAATTGAGGAGCAAAGAGTCTGAGGTTAAGAATGCTGGTTTAGAGCTGTTGTAGTTATCTAGGTGTCAGTTGACACAGACTTGAGCCAGGCTGGTGGCAGTGGGAATAGATCGGATCAGATAAAATCAAAGACTTTGGATAGAATAAGCAAAATTTGATAATTGAGTAACTAGACATGAAGGAGAAAGTGAGGGGATCTGTCTTTGAAAGAGTGTGTTTCTATTTCACCACCAGTATTGCATCTTGTTTTTAAGTTTATTGCTTCTTTGGCTTTATTTCTCTAGAAAACAAGAGGAAATTTAGGTATAATGGCTTTAATTTTGAAGGCTTCTGATTCCTGAGAGGGTACTTTGAAAAGTAACTTACAATTTTTAATTAGTAGCTTAGGTGATAACACCTAAAAATATTTGCTTAGGATAAACTAATTTTCTCATACAATTACTTTGTTATTCCTCTTATTACAGACATAGAGATTTATTTCCTTTCTTTCCTATCAAAGCTATCTTCAGTCCAACTTCAGCCTTCATTTTCAACTGTATTTTACATTGTTTTAAAATAAAACTTTTGCTCTACTATAGTGATTTTCAACTGCAGATGCATATCAGAATTTGCTTGGATTTTTTTTTTTTTTTTTTTTTGAGGCATGCAGTGGTACAATCCTGGCTCACTGCAACTTCTGCCTCCCGGGTTCAAGCCATACTTATGCCTCATCCTCCCAAGTACCTGGACTCACAGGTGCATGCCACTATGCTGGCTAATTTTTGTATTTTTAGTAGAGGCGGGGTTTCACCATGTTGGCCAGGCTGGTCTCGAACTCCTGACCTCAAGTGATCTGCCCGCCCCTTGGCCTCCCAAAGTGATGGGATTACTGGTGTGAGCCACTGTGCCTGGCCCACTTGGGGATCTTAAAAGGAAGAAAAACCCAGAGGTGTCTGTCTGCTTCAGACACATTAATTAGACTCTTTAGAGGGACATTTGAGGCTTGTGTTTAAAAAAAAAAAGAGTCTCTCCCAACAGAACAAATGTAATCCCCTCTCCATCCTAAGAGGGGGCAACGAATCTCATTTATGGATACTGATGAGATATTTATGTTTTAAAAAATCTCTCTCTCTCTCTCACCCAAAGTCTAAATGCATCCATTGAAGTAATAGAGTGAAAGGAGTGAAACTTAAAAATCTCACCAGTATCCATAAATGAGATTGGTTGTCCCCTCTTGGGGTGGGAAGTCTAAATACACACATACATGCGTGTGCGCAGACACACGCACACACACACAGACAGTTTCTTAGAGCAGTTTTGGGTTCATAGCAAAATTGAATGGAAAGTACAGGGTTTCCGTCAACCCCTTGCCCCCACATGAATATAGACTCTCCCACCATCAACATTGCACAAGCTCCAGAATGGCTCATTTGTTACAAGTAATGCTGTAGACTGAATGTTTATGTCCCCTTACGATTCATGTGTTGAACCCAATCTCCAGTATGGTGGTGTTTGAAGATGAGGCCTTTGGGTGATGAAAATGGAGCCCTCATGAATGGAATTAGTGCCCTTACACGAGATCACAGAGAGCTCCTTAGCCCCTTCTGCTATGTGAATACACAGTGAAAAAAATGGTCATCTGTGAACCAGGAGGTGGGTCCTCACCAGATACTGAATTAGCCAGGGTCTTGATTTGGACTTTCCAGCCTCTAGAACTGTGAGAAATAAATTTCTATTGTTTATAAGACACCCAGTTGATGGTGTTTTGTTACAGTAGCCTGATCAAGCTAAAACAATTGATGAACCAACATTGGCACATCATCCTCACTCTAAGTCCATGGTTTACATTATGGTTCATTCTTAGTGTTGTACATTCTTTGGGTTTTGACAAATGTGTAATAGCATGCATTAACTACTATTGTATCATACAGAATAGTTTTCCTGCCCTAGAATTCTTCTGTGTTCCACCTGTTAATCCTGCCTTCCCCCAAAACACCCAGCAGCCACTGGGTTTTTTGTTTGTTTGTTTCTGGTTTTACCTCTTCCAGAATGTCATATAATTGGAATCATACCCGTGTTTTTTTTCAAACAGCTCTCAGTGTGACAAATATAACAAATAGAATTGGAAAGGGGTAATACACACCATCACCAAGTGTGTTTATCCAAAGAAACAGGATCATTTGGTATTAGAAAGTCTATTAATATAATTCACCATATTTAATAGTTCAAAAGAGAAAAAATAATGACCATTTCAGTAACTCCCAAGTATAAACTATACAAGGGCCAGACAGTGGGAAGTATGCTTTTACATGTTCTTCACCTTATGAGGTATCATTATGTCCATTGTACAGATGAGGAAACAGGCTCACAGAAGTCTACTGTCTTCTGTATGTGATTGGTCTGCAAAGCAAATTTGAACATGGGACTTGTGGAAGGCTAGGCTTCATTTATTCAACTTGCTGCCTATGACACTTTAATAAAAAAGCAGTTGAATATTTAATTTTTGCGTAACATTTCTTTCCTTTTAGATTTTTTAAAAAGTTTGGAATCATTTCAAACTACAAAAACGTTTTAAGAAGTGCACGAGACTTCCTATATGCCTTCATTGACATTTCTCAATTGTTTATCTTTTGCCTTATTTATCATTTATTCTTTCTTTCTTTATATATATATATATGTATGCATGCTTCCAACACTGGCTTTAATTGCTTACCCTTACAACTCCACATTGAATACAGACCTCTAAGTTACTTCCTTAAGTCTAATTTTAGGTTTTTGGTTTTGTTGGAGTTTACTGTTGGCTTTTTCCTTTTTTTGACCTGAAACTGAAACTTAACGAATCTTTTTTTTTGTTTTGAGATGGGATTTTGCTCAGTGGTGCGATCTTGGCTCACTGCAGCCTTGACCTCCCAGGCTCAAGTGATGCTCCCATCTCAGCCTCCCAAGTAGCTGGGACCACAGGTGCCTGCCACCATGCCTGTCTAATTTTTTTGTATTTTTTGTGGAGACAGGGTCGCTACAAAACTCGGCTCAAGTGATCCTCCCACCTTGGCCTCCCAAAGTGCTGGGAATACAGGCGTGAACTACCGCGTCCCACTCAGATTTTGAATTTGGGACATCATTGCAACACTACTATTATTGTGCCATATTGTGATATTTCATAGCTAAAATGCTGCCTGCTTCAGGAAACCAGCACTCTTCTTTATATCATTTTTCATCACCTTTAAATATGATTCCCTTGGAATTATTCACAAGTTCTCATCCGTATTACACCCACCTTTTAGTCTGATAAAGTTTCTGCCAGATTTCCACTGAGTAGACATATTAATCTGCTCAGGCTACCATAACAAAATACTGCAGACTGTGTGGCTTAAGCAGAAATTTATTTTCTCACAGTTCTGAAGGCTAGAATTCCAGATCAAGGTGCCAGCAGAGTTGATTTCTGGGCACTCTTTTGCTTGCAGACAGCTGCATTCTTGTCTTCTTATGTAGCCTTTCTCTGTATCTCTCAGAGAAGTCTCTAGTGTCTCATTCTGTTATAACGACACCAGTCTTATCAGGGTGGGACCCTCATGACCTCATTTAACTCTGCCTCCTAAAAGGCACTATAACAAAATACAAGTCACACTGGTGGTTAGGGTGTCAACATAAGAGTTTTGAGGGGACGGCACAATTCAGTCTCTCTCAGTAGATCACTGGGTGTATAATGAGACCTGTGTTCATATCCTAGCTCTATCTTGTATTTAGTGTGTAACCCTGGCCAAGTCACTCTGTGAGCCTTCTGATTCCTTATCTGTAAAAGGTGAGAATGATATTTTTTGCCATAAAGGTTTGTTAAGAGATCCAAATAAAATAGAAGATGTGGTAGCATGTTATAAATTAGTGATTCTCAACCCAGGTTTGCATCAAAATCATGTTCGTATATGTAATTATTTATGCAGCTTTTAGCATAATAAGGAGCTCTGCTGACCCACTACCCAGTAAACTTAGGGTAAAGTATTTCAAAAACAACCATGGAAAGCCTCTGGAAATGGTCCTAGGATATATGCAGTAAATGAATGAGAGAAGCAAAAACTGACAGAAACAGAGAATTCAGTAATAAGAGTTGGAGGCTTTAGTACCCCACTTTCAGTAGAGGACAGAACAACTTGGTGGAAGGTCAAGAAGGAATCAGTACAATAAACCCACTAGACCTAACTGACATGTATAGACCACACTACCAGCCAGCAGCAGTCAAAAATATGTATTTTCAAATAGAAATATGTATATCCTGGAAATATGTGTTTTCCAGGATAGCAAGTGTTATGTGTGCATTTTGCTGGGCTACAAAACAAGCTAGATAAATTTTAAAAGGATCCTGTTCTTTGATCACAATGGAAAGAAATTAGATCAGTAACAGGAGGAAATTTGAGAAACTCACCAATATGTGTAAGTTAAAGAACATACTCCTAAATAACTGATGGGTCCATGAAGAAATCAAAAAGGAAATCAGAAAACACTTTGGGATAAATGAAAATGAAGACATCGTGTAGGAATACTTAGGGATACAGCTAAAGCAGTGCTTAAAGGGAAACTTAGTTGTGAATGCCTTTGTTAAAGAAGAAAGGATGCTGGGCGTGGTGGCTTACACCTGTAATCCCAGCACTTCAGGACGCGGAGGTGGGTGGATCACTTGAGGTCAGGAGTTGACCAGCCTGGCCAACATGGTGAAACCTCGACTCTACTAAAAATACAAAAATTAGCTGGGTGTGATGGCAGTCGCCTGTAACCCTAGCTACTTGGAAGGCTGAGGCAGGAGAATCACTTGAACCTGGGAGGCAGAGATTGCAGTGAGCCGAGATCATGCCACTGCCCTTCAGCTTGGGCAATAGAGTGAGACTCTGTCTCAAAAAAAAAAAAAAAAGGAAAGAAAAGAAAAGAAGAAAGATCTCAAATCAGTAACCTAACTTTCCACTTTAAGTGACTGAGTTAAGAAGAGCAGAGTAAACCTAAAGCAAGCAGAAGGAAGCAAATAAAGAGTAGAGTGAAAATTAATGACATAGAGAATAGGAAAACAATAGAGAGCATTAAAGATGAATAAAATTGACAAACTTTTAGCTAGATTGAGAAAAACTCAACATTTTTCAGATTTCCTGGGCACAGTGGCATATGCTTGTAATCTCAGCACTTTGAGAGGCCAAGACAGGAGGATCACTTGAGCCCAGGAGTTCGAGACCAGTTGCCCACATGGTGAGACCCTATCTCTATCCCCCTAGCCCCCCAGCCCAATATATAATAATAATCTGGGCATGCACCTGTAGTCCCAGATACTTGGGAGGCTGAGGTGGGAGGATTGCTTGAGCTGGGAGGTTGATGCTACAGTGAGCCATGATTGTGCCACTGTACTCTCCAGCCTGGGCAACAGAGAGAGAGAGTATCTGGGGGAAAAAAAAAATTAGAAATGAAAGAGGAGACATTACTAGTGACCTTGTAAAAATTAGTAAGGTTATAAAGAAATACTGTTAACAGTTGTGGCTGGGTATGGTAGCTCATGCCTATAATCCCAGCACTTTGGGAGGCAGAGGCGGGTGGATCTTCTGAGGTCAGGAGTTTGAGTCCAGCCTGGCCAACATGGTGAAACGCTGTCTCTACTAAAAATACAAAAAGTAGCCAGGCGTGGTGGTGCATGCCTATAATCCCAGCTACTCAGGAGGCTGAGGCAGGAGAATGGCTTGAACCTGAGAGACAGAAGTTGCAGTGAGCCGAGATTACGCCACTGCACTCCAGCCTGGGCAACAGAGTGAGACTCCATCTCAAAACAACAACAACAACAACAACAAAAAAACAGTTGTATCCCAGTAAATAAAATGGTTTAGATGAAGTGCACAAATTTTTGGAAAGACAAAAACTACCAAAACTGACTCAATAAGAGGAACAGACAATCTGAATAGACCTGTAACACGTGAAGACACTGAAATAGTAGTCACAGAACTGCCCGCAAAGAAACAGCCTAGGCCCATATGGCTTTACTGCTGAATTTTACCAAACATTTAAAGAAATAATATAATTCTTGACAAAATCTTCCTGGGGAATACTTTCCAACTCATTTTATGAAGCTGGTATCACTCTGATACCAAAGCCAGACAAAGACATCACAAGAAAATATAAACCCGTCTCTTTTTTTTTTTTTTTCTTGAAGAGACAGGGTTTCACTGTCACCCAGGCTGGAGTACAGTGGTGTGATCATGGCTCACTGCAGCCTGCAACTGCTGGACTCAAGCCATCCTGCTGCTTCAGCCTCCTGAGTACCTGGAACTACAGGTGCACACCACCAGCCTGTCTGATTTTTATTTTTTAAATTTTTTGTAGAGATGGAGTCTCACCATGTTGCCCAGTCTGATCTTGAACTCCTGGCTTCAAGTGATACTCCCGCCTTAACCTCCCAAAATGCTAGAATTACAGACATGAGCCACTCTACCCGTCCCTTGTCTGTTAAAAAAAAAGAAAAAAAAATCACATTGTGATATCAATAGACACAGAAAAAGCATTTGACAGAATCTGACACTCTTTAATTATAAAACAGTCAACTAGGAATAAGAGGGAACTTCTCAGCCCGATAAAAGTGCCTTTACAGAAAATCCAAAGGTAACATCATGCTTAATGTAAAAGACTGCTTTCATTCTAAGGTCTAGCATAAGACAGGGGTGTCTGCTCTATTTCTATTCAACATTGTATTGGAGGCTCTAGCCAGGGAAGTTAGACAAGAAAAAGAAGTAAAAGACATCAAAATTGGAAAGGGAGAAGTAAAGCTATATTGTAGACGACATGATGTGTATCAAATAAAGCATTAGCACCAATTAAACAAGTTCAGCAGGATTGTAAAATACAAGATCAGTATACAAAAATCAGTTATATTTTTCTAGATTTGTGAACAGTCTGAGAATTAAAACAATTTCATTTCCAATGGTATAAAAATTAAATACTTAGGAATGAATTTAACAAAAGTATAAAACATATTCTGAAAGCTACATTACATTATAGACAGAAATTAAGATCTAAATAGAGCTCCTATCTTAAATAAGTGGAAGATTTAGCATTAAGGTGCCGGTATTTCCCAAACTGATCTACAGACAGTGCAGTCTCTTATCAGAATCATAGCTGACTTCTTCATAGAAATTGACAAACTGATTCTAAAGTTCATATGGAATTGCAAGGGATCAATTATAGCCAAAACAATCTTGAAAAAAGAACCAAAAAAGTAAGAAGACTGACATTTTTCGAGTTCAAAACTTATTTTGAAGCAATGGTAACCAAGACAGTGTGGGGCTGACACAGGGATACACATAT
Organism: Homo sapiens; assembly: GCF_000001405.40. Lineage (NCBI taxonomy): Eukaryota > Metazoa > Chordata > Mammalia > Primates > Hominidae > Homo > Homo sapiens. The sequence goes on along the minus strand of NC_000003.12, from coordinate 122,498,607 downwards.
AGATCAGTGGAATAGAATTGAATGTCAAGAAATTAAACTATATATATGTATATAGTCAGCTGGTTGTCAGCAAGGTGCTGTCATGGTCCGTTTGGGTTGCTGTAATGAAATACCAGAGACTAGGTGGCTAACAGACAATAGAAATTTGTTTCTCACAGTTCTGGATGCTGGGAAGTCCAAGATCAAGGCACTGGCAGATTCAGTGTCTGGTGAGAGCCTGCTTCCTTGTTTACAGATGCCTTATCTTTTCTCTGTGTCCTCACATGGCTGAAGGAGCAAGCAAACTCTTTGGGGGGTCTCTTTTTAAGGGCTTTAATCCTATTCATATGGACTCTACCACTAAGGGCTAATCATCTCTCAAAGGCTTCACCTTCAAACACTATCACATTGGGAGTTAGGATTTAACATATGAATTTTGGGTGAGACACACATTCAGTCTATAGCAGGTGCCAAGACCATTCTGTGGAGAAAGAGGAGTCTTTTCAACAAGTATTGTTGGGACAGCTGGATAGACACATGCAAAAAAATGAGGTTGGACTCTCATACCATGCTACAAAGAAAAATTAACTCAAAATGGATCACAGACTTAAATGTATCAGTTAAAACTCTTGGAAAGAAACACAAGGTTAAGGATTCTTGGATATGACACCAAAAGCATGAACAACAACAACAGCAAAAAACAGATTAATTTGGACTTCATCAAAATTAAAACTTCTGTGTTTTAAAGGACACCAAGAAAGTGAAAAGACAGTCTATAGATTATATTTGAAAAGCATATCTGATAAGGGACCTTTATCTAGAATGTAAAAAGAACTCTTACAACTCAATAATAAAAGGACAACCTAATTTAAAAATGGGCTAAGGCACTTGAATAGACTTCATTTTAATGGGAGATACACAGTTACCAAATACGTATGTGAAAAGTTGCTCTATCTCATTAGTCATCAGGGGATTGCAAACCAAAACCACAATGAGTTGCCACTCACACCCACTAGGATGGTTTCAATGAAAGTTTTAATAGCAAAGTGCTGGCAAGGATGTGGAGATACTGCAAGCCTCATATGCTGCTGAGGGGAATATAAAATGGCACAGCCACTTTGGAAAAACAGTTGAGCAGTTTCTTAAGCAATTAAACATAGTTACCATATGACCTAGCAATTTTAGATATATAACCCAGAGAAATTAAAACATATCTGTGTAAAACTTGACCACAAATGTTGTAGAAGTGTTATTCATAATAGCTGAAAGGTGGAAACATTCCAAATGTCCATTAGCTGGCGAATGGATAAATAGAATTGGGTATATATATAGAATGGAATATTATTCAGCCATAAAAAGAAATGAAGTACTGATATATGCTACAACATGGATGAACCTTGAAAACATGCTAAGTGAAAGAAGCCAGTCACAAAATACTGCATATTATATGATTCTGTTCTGTTCATGTGAAATGTCCAGAATAGGGATGATAGCTTAAACAATACAGGATTTCTTTTTGAGGTGATTAAAATGTCCCAAAATTCACTATGATGAAGGTTGTACAAGCTGTAAATACACTAAAAACTGTTGAATAGCACATTTTAATAAAACTGTTAAAGTAACCTGGCCAGGTGAAGTGGCTCACGCCTGAAATCCCAGCCCTTTGGGAGGCCAAGGTTGGGGGATCACTTGAAGCTAGGAGTTCAAGACCAGCCTGGGCAACATGATCAGACCCTGTCTCTACAAAAAATAAAAAAATTCTCTGGGCATGGTGGCATGCACCTGTGGTCCCAGCTACTCAGGAAACTGAAGTGGGAGGATTGCTTGAACCCAGGAATTTGAGGCTACAGTGAGCTATGATTGCACCACTGTACTCCAGTCCGGGTGGACAGAGCAAGACCTTGTCTCAAAAAAGACAGGAGTGGGGGAGGGGAAGTAGCCATTTCTGATGTCCCTTTGGGATATGTCTGGGCATGTATATGTTTAAAAGACTGAGCTCTTAGAATAACAGAGCTCTTCACAGTAAACTCATTTGTTCTCTCCCCACTTGTATTGTAGAAATCATGACCACCCCAGGAAAAGAGAACTTTCGCCTGAAAAGTTACAAGAACAAATCTCTGAATCCCGATGAGATGCGCAGGAGGAGGGAGGAAGAAGGACTGCAGTTACGAAAGCAGAAAAGAGAAGAGCAGGTAAATCCTTTACCTTTATTCATTTCTTTTAAAGAATTTAATGTTCCATTTTAAGCCTGAAACTATCTTCATTTTAGCAAAGTTGGGGTGTGTGTGTGTGTGTGTGTGTGTGTGTGTTTTCCCCTTCTCCCCTGTAAAATCAACACTTTTTTGGAGTGGGGATGAGGAGGTACTGAAAAGTGGTATACAAGAATGGGGAAATCTCTCAGGTTCTCATTTTCTCAGCATAACTACACTATTCAATATTTTCACCTATTTGTGTTTAGTGTATTTTAGTTTTCTAAGGGTGCAACTTTCTTCTTTAAGATTTTTTTGATGTATGTTTGTTAATTAATTCACAAGTGACCACTAAAGTGTTGCTGTTCATTGTAAACTTAAAATTGGAAATGTAAAAATATACACAAAAAGAAAGAATAAACCTCATACATAAACCAGTCCTTTGGATTCAGTAATTGTCAACAGTTTGCTACACTTGCTTCGTGTTTGTCTTTACATTTCTTTGTTATCTAACATTTTAAAGTAAAATTTCATTCACAGAATATGTCTTTTTATTCCAGATTAATTCTGTATTATTCATAAAGACATTTAGAACATTGATTTTTTTTTTTTAAGCCTTCCTTTGAAAATGCTGTTGACAAATGGTCTGTTACATTCGGCAAAGAAATGAAAAGACATAAGGCTTAAGTGACTTTTTTTTTTTTTTTTTTTTTGCTAAGGAGAGACTTTGGAGCCTGAAGGACCATTTGACCCTCACTATAGAAATTCCATAAAGGCAGATGAATTAGAACCCTCATGCTTGAGAAATAAGATATTCTATTATAAATATTTTGCAGTTATAGTGAAATATTCTCAAAACACATTTTATGAAACACTGCGTTAGATAATCCATTTAGGTGAAGTCCAACAGTACATTACAACCTCAGTATTTTATTTGTTAGAGTTGTATGAATCAAGCACTTTATTATTGGCAAAGGTATTTTGTAATATTGTAATAGACTTTATATTGAGTGCAGCAAATTAAGTTATGAGTTCTTGACCTGCTTTATCATCTTTGAATGTATCCACTTAATTTTCTCTTATTTATTTTTTGAACTGAAAATGGATCCTTTTCTTTCACAGAGCTTTTAAATTAGTTCTGTTTTTTGGGTGAATTTCCTTTTCTTTTTTTTTTTTTGGTTTGTTTGAGGCAGAGTCTCGCTCTGTGGCCAGGCTGGAATGGAGTATGGTGGCGTGATCTTGGCTCGCTGCAACCTCCACCTCCCAGGTTCAAGCGATTCTCCTGTCTCAGCCTCCTGAGTAGCTGGGACTACAGGCGCGTGCCACCACACCCAGCTAATTTTTGTATTTTTAGTAGAGACAGGGTTTCACCATCTTGGCCAGGATGGTCTTGATCTCTTGTCCTCGTGATCTGCCTGCCTCAGCCTCCCAAAGTGCTGGGATTACAGGAATTTCCTTTCCTTTTATTCTCAGAAATCTTAACAGCATGATTATATATTTATATTCATATATTTAAGTGGAATACATGTATGATACATGTGAACCCAGGTAGGTATAGGTCTGAATATAACCACCAGTCTAGGGATCGTATTTGGCATAACACCATTTGAAGGTGTAGCAGTGGCACTCTTTGATTAACACGATGTTCATTTTATTCTGTTTCTTCTTGGTGACTACTGATTTCATGTAATTAAACTTCATTATAAAATTTATATACTACCGAAAGCAATCTACAGATTCAGTGCAATTTCTGTCCAATTACCAGTGTCATTCTTCACAGAATAAGAAAAAACAATCCTAGGATTCATACAGAACCAAAAAAGAGCCCCAATTGCCAAAGCCATCTTAAGCAAAATATAAAGCTGGAGGTATCACATTACCTGATGTAAAATTATACTACAAGGTTATAGTAATTGAAAACAGCACAGTACTGGTATAAAAGTAGACATATAAGTCAATGGAATGGAATAGAGAGTCCAGAAATAAAGCCCCATACTGTCAACCAACTGATCTTTGACAAAGTTGGCAAAAGTATATACTGGGGAAAGGATACCCTATTCAATGAATAGTGCTGGGAAAATTGGAGAGCTGTGTGCAAAAGAATGAAACTGTACCCCTACCATATACAAAAATTAACTCAAGATGGATTCAATAATTAAATGTATAACCTGAAACTATAAAAATCCTAGAAGAAAACCTGGGAAAAACTCTTCTGGACATTGGTCTAAGCAAAGAATTTATGAGTAAGTCCTCAAAAGGAAACAAAACCAAAAATAGATAAATGGGACTTAAACTAAAAAGCTTTTGCACAGCAAAAGCAATAATGTATTTAACAGACAACCTACAGAATGGGAGAAAGTATTTGTTAACACTATCTGACAAAGTTCTAATGTTCAGAATCTACAAGGAACTCAAACAACAAGAAAAAAACAACTCCATTAAAACGTGGGCACAGGACATGAAAAGATACTTCTCAAAAGAAGACATACAAGTGGCCATGAAAAAAGGGTCGACATCACTAATTATCAAATAAATAAAAGTTAAAACTATAATGAGGCTGGGCGGGGTGGCTCATGCCTGTAATCCCAGCACTTTGGGAGGCCGGGGTGGGCAGATCACCTGAGATCAGGAGTTCGAGACCAGCCTGGCCAAGATGGTGAAATCCCGTCTCTACTAAAAATATAAAATTTAGCCAGTGTGGTGATAGGGTAAAGGAGGGCACTTTCAGTATAAGACTATGTTCTTGGGAATTTTCCTGTGTTAATTCATTGAGAAGCTCCTTCCTTCCTCATATCCTGTAAGTCAAATGTTGGATTTACCAGGCTGGTTTTCTTAATTTTCTCTTTTTCAAACCGTGCCCTTGTTCTGCTGCCTCACCACAGCTTTCCGTTACAGCTCAATTAAGAAAAATTCCTGAGGCTTTCCAAGGCTCTTTGTGGTTTGTGGGCTTGCTTCTCAACAGTATATCCCTCCATAGGCTCTTAGGT